>NC_000004.12:184375926-184678956 GCF_000001405.40 Homo sapiens | reverse complement strand
AATTGGAAAATACACTAAATATAATCCTAAAAAGATATATAGAGAAAATTAAGTGTTCAAATATACGTTTTACTATTATCTTTTAGCTAATGGAGAAAAGAGAAAAGTTAACTTAGAACTGTAAGAACTGGCTGGGCGCGGTGGCTCACACCTGTAATCCTAGCACTTTGGGAGGCTGAGGTCGGCAGATCACCTGAGGTCAGGAGTTCGAGACAAGCCTGGCTAACATGGTGAAACCCCATCTCTACTAAAAATACAAAAATTAGCCGGGTGTGGTGGCAGGCGCCTGTAGTCCCAGCTACTTGGGAGACTGAGGCAGGAGAATGGCATGAACCCGGGAGGCAGAGCTTGCACTGAGCCTAGATAGCGCCACTGCACTCCAGTCTGGGTGACAGAGGGAGACTCTGTATCAAAAAAAAAAAAAAAAAAAAGAGCTGTAAGAACTGACATTTTCTTAAGGTAGAATGAATTTAGATGATTTACATTTTAGTAATATACAATGCCATTCACTGTTTAATAAATATTCATGAATACAAAATGGTTTGATGCTGCTACTACATACCTGACATTGCTGACCAAAGAAGAGAGAAAATATTGATATTCGTCAGAAACATCTTTTGACTGTATAGGAAAAAATTTGTTATCTTCAGTAACCTCCAAAGCCACACGCTTTCCAATTTTTGATGATTTATATAGCCGAAAGTTTCTATTTCTTGTATAAACTCCTACATCAAAAATTGATAAAACAATATGAAAGCATGTTTTCTGTTATTAGTTTCATAGTCAGCAAATATTAAGTTTTTATATAGCATTAATAAAAAATAATTATTTTCTATATATAGCTGTAAACAAAATAAAATTAAAGCACTATATAAATTAAAACAAATTGCAGTCAGCATGGAGGAATGCCACATTCTGAAACAGCAAACTCAATTATTCTGCAGCAATTCTGCAACTGAAACAAATGGAAAAGCTGGATGCAGGTACTAGAAAGTTTGAGACAACCAGAGAGCTTCCAAGACAGTGAAGCTGTGCGGAGCTAAATTCCAGAGAAAAGGGAAGGACCAAAACCAACAAATATCTAGAATAAATCTAACAAATATGGATAAGATTTCTATTCAGTACATTATACAACATTATAGAGAAACATTAGAGAATACCTAAGTAAACAGATGGGCCTACCATGTGCATAGATTGGAAGACTCAATATTATAAAAATGTCAGTTCTCCCCTAGGTGATCTATAGATTCAAGGCAATCCAAATAAAAATTCTAGCAGGATTTGTTTGTGTAAACCGGCAAACTGACTCTAAAATTTAAATGGAAGTGCAAAAGGTCAATAACTACCAAGAAATTTCAAAGAACAAACTTAGAGGAATTGTTTTTCCTAGATATAAAGACTTATAACAAAACTATATTAGACAGTGTCGTGCCTATCTAATATATAAAACTATATTAGACAGGAATAGATCAATAGAACAATGAAGCAGAACAGGGTCTAGAAACAGATCAAAATACATATAGCCACTGATTTATGGCAAAGGTAGCACTGCTGAGCAGTAGGTTAAGGACAGTCATTTCAACAAACAGTGCTGAGCCAACCGGATATCCACATACGAAAAAGTGAATCTTGACTCCTCCTCACCCAATAAGCAAATCCTTTCCAAGTGGACTGTAGATCTAAACATAAAAGCCACGCCAGGTGCAGTGGCTTGTGCCTGTAATCCCAGCATTATGGGAGGCCACAACAGGAGGATCGCTTGAGGCCTGGGCAACATAGCAGATCCTGTCTCTACAAAAAATAAAGAAATAAGAAAATTGTGTTGCTCTATGATACTTAGAAAGAAAGAGAGAGAAAGAGACAGAGAGAGAGGTGGAAATAGAAAGGAAAGGGAAAGGGGAAGGGGAGGGGAGAAGGGAAGGGAAGGGGGAAGGGAGAAGGGAAGGGAAGGGGGAAGGGAGAAGGGAAGTGAAGGGGGAAAGAGGAAGGGAAGGGGGAAGGGGGAAGGGAGAAGGGGAAGGGGGAAGGGGGAAGGGGGAAGGGGGAAGGGGGAAGAGAGGGGAAGGGGGAGGAGAAGGGAAGGGGGAAGGGAAGGGAAGGGAAAAGAATGGGGTAGGAAAGGGGGAAGGGAAGGGAAAAGGGAAGGGAAGGGGGAAGGGAAGGGAAGGGGGAAGGGAAGGGAGAAAGAAAGGGAAGGGAAGGGGGAAGGAAAGGGAAGGGAAGGGGGAAGGAAAGGGAAGGGAAGGAGAAAGGGAAGGGGGGGGACGGGAAAGGAAAGAAAGGGGGAAGGAAGGGGAAGGGAAGGAGAAGGGAGGGGGAAGGGGAGGGGAAGGAAGGGGAGAAAGGAAGGGAAAAAGAAGGAAGGGGAAGGAAGGGAGAAGGAAGGGAGAGAAAAGGAAAGGGGAAGGGAAGGGAAAGGGAAGGGATGGGGAAGGGAGAAGGGAAGGATAAGAAAAGGAAGGGGAAGGGAAGGAGAAAGGAAGGGAAAGGAGAGAGAGGGAGGGAAGGGAAGGGAGAAGGGAAGGGGGAAGGGAGAAGGGAAGGGAGAAGGGAAGGGGGAAGGGAAGGGAAAGGAAGGGAAGGGAAGGGAAAGGAGAAGGGAAGGAAAAGGAGAAAGGAAGGGAAGGGAAGGAAAGGGAAGGGAGGGGAAGGCAGGGGAGGGGAGGGAAGAAAGATTGATTTGTATTAAAAGTGTGGTCGTATGCACTTGTAGTTCTAGCTACTGGGGAGGCTGAGGCAGGAGGATTGCTTGAGCCCAGGAGTTTAAGGCGGCAGGATTGCACCACTGCACTTCAGCCTGGGCAACAGAATGAGACCTTGTCTCTAAAAAATAATAAATTAAACATAAACATAAAAGGCAGAACAATAAGTTTTTAGAAGATAAGGAAGAAAAGCAAAAGAATGACTTTGGGATAGGCCACGTTTCTTTAACAAGATGCAAGAAACACTGACCACAGAGGAAAATACTGATAAAATCAGACTACTACTATTATTTAATGACTTATGTTCCTCAAACACACAACTAAGGGTACAAAGGCAACCACAAACACACACTACAGTTTACCCTTGAACAACAAGGGTTTGAGCTACATGGCACCACTTATATGTGAGTTTTTTTGTTTGTTTGTTTGTTTGTTTTTGATACTGAGTCTTACTCTGTTGCCCAGGCTGGAGTGCAGTGGTATGATCTCGGCTCACTGCAACCTCTGCCTCCCGGATTCAAGTGATTCTCATGTCTCAGCCTCCTGAGTAGCTGGGATTACAGGCATGCACCACCATGCCCGGCTAATTTTTGTCTTTTTAGTAGAGATGGGGTTTCATCACGTTGGTCAGGCTGGTCTTGAACTCCTGACCTCAAGCTATCCACCTGCCTTGGCCTCCTAAAGTGTTGGGATTACAGGCATGAGCCAAATTTTTTTCAATAAGGATATTGGAAAATTTTGGGGGGACTTACAACAATTTGAGAAAACTCACAGATGAACCGTATAGCCTAAAATATTGGAAAATGTTAGAAAATAATTAAAAATAATTAGAAAAAGTTAAGTGTGTCATGAATGCATAAAATATATGTAGATGGCTAGTCTAAGTTATCATTTACTGTCATAAAATGTACATAAGTCTATTATAAAAAGTTAAAATTTATCCAAACATACACACACCCTTGCTGACTGTACATGATGCCATTTGCAGTTGGGAAAAATCTAAACAAATGTTTTAAAGATGGAGTATTAAATCATAACTGCATAAGATTAACCATAGTACATACTACACTGCCATAATAAGTTCTTAGCCGCCTCCTCTTGCTATTGCGGTGAGCTCAGGTATCTGCTTACAACACAGTGTGATGCCAATCATCTCCATGTGAGCAGGTCATCGCACCAATCAATTGCGCTTCACAGTCAAAAGTGTTCCTTGCAGTTCTCACATATTTTTCATCGTGTTTAGTGCGATATTGTAAACCTCGAGTAACACCATGGGACCATATGAAGTGCCACTCGTGATGCTGGAGGTGCTCCCACACAGAGAAATGTCATGACCTTACAGGAAAAGGCTGAATTGCTTGACATGTACATAGACTGAGGTTTCAGCTGCTGTTGTCGCCGTTTCAGATGAATGATTCGTCGTGTAAACAGATGACCTAAACTTACAGTATCGACAAATACAGTACAGTACTGTAAATATGTTCCCTCTTCCTTATGATTTTCTTAACAACATTTTCTTTTCTTTAGCTTACTTCACTGTAAGAATCCAGTATATAATACGTATACAAAACATGGTTAATCAACTGTTTATGTTATCAATGAGGCTTCCGGTCAAGAGTAGGCTATCAGTAATTAAGTTTTTGGGAAGTCAAAAGTTATACACCGATTTTTATCTGCATAGAGAAGTTGGTTCCCCTAAGCCCTGCATTGTTGAAGAGTCAACTGTATATGATTCCAATTACACAGTAAAAATACAGGCAAAACTAACCCACAGTGTTAGAGGACAGAACAGTTGTTGCCCCTGGGACAGAGGGAGGGTCCGGACCGGAAGGAGGATGGAGGAAGTTGGGGGTAATGGTAATCTATTTCTTGTCTTGGGTGCTGTGGTGACAAGGGGTGTTCATTCTGTGATTAATTACATATTTTTCTGTATAAATGTCACATACTTCAACAAAAAAAGTTTCTTATTTCAGCATATATTATGAAATCTCTGAACTTTTCCAAGGATGGTTTAGGAAATGATTTCCCCATCCTCTCTGGATATGTAAATAAATCCAGGCACATGTATCAAGAGTACCAGGGAGGTTTCCTTGCTAGTCCGGTAGCCTGACTTTCAAGGTTAGGTGTGCTGTGACCTGGGGTACTGTGTTCTGCTGGGGTAGAAGTAGAGACGGGTACTGGCCACTGCCGCTCTCCCTGGATCAACTTCCTGTTACGCACTCTCCCTCACTGACTGCAGGCTAGTCCCACCCGGAGATGATATTCTGGTAATAAAGCAAAACCTGTCAGGCTTGGAAGAAGGTGCCTCTGCCCGTGTGGCTGCTCGACCTCACACTCCTCTGTCTTTCCAAGTTCTGGTGCTTGATTGCCAGAGGTGCTAGAAAAACATGCAATCCAGCAGAAACACGTCCCTCATTTCAGTACCACTGTTGGCCTGGGAATCTGACCTATAATTTAAACCTACTTTCCCTCAACCTTTACACACTGAAGCTCTCCAAGGTGTTCACAGCCAACAGCAAAAATGCTGCTGTCTGGCGGGCGCAGTGGCTCACACCTGTAATCCCAGCACTTTGGGAGGCTGAGGCGGGCGGATCACGAGGTCAGGAGTTTGAGACTAGCCTGGCCAACATGGTGAAACCCCGTCTGTACTAAAAATACAAAAATTAGCTGGGCGTGGTGGCGCATGCCTGTAATCCCAGCTACTCAGGAGGCTGAGGGAGGAGAATCGTTTGAACCCGGGAGGCGGAGGTTGCAGTGAGCCAAGATCGTGCCACCACACTCCAGCCTGGTGACAGAGCGAGACTCCATCTTAAAAAAAAAAAAAGAGGCTGGGCGCAGTGGCTCATGCCTGTAATCCCAGTACTTTGGGAGGCCGAGGCGGGCGGATGACAACGTCAGGAGATCGAGACCATCTTGGCTAACACGGTGAAACCCCGTCTCTACTAAAAATACAAAAAATTAGCCGGGAGCGGTGGCGGGCGCCTGTAGTCCCAGCTACTCCGGAGGCTGAGGCAGGAGAATGGCGTGAACCCGGGAGGCGGAGCTTGCAGTGAGCTGAGATTGTGCCACTGCAGTCCGGCCTGGGCTAAAGAGCGGGACTCCGTCTCAAAAAAAAAAAAGAAAAAGAAAAAACCTGCTGCTGTCATGGCTTTTGAAATCACAAGCTAGAGCCTCAGTATAAAAATGAGGTGCAGTTCACCAATGGGAGCTGTTGTGTTAGGGTCTCGATTGGCCTGTTGTTGAATCATGCTCAAGTCCTGTCAGCCCAGGGCTTCTGACATCCTCAGGCTCTGAGACCAGGGCCTAGCAAACCACACTGGGTTAAGAAATCACTGGTTTGAACACAGCAAGAAAGCTGATGAAATGGGCCCTGCCACTACCACTGAGATCTTCGGTGAGGAGAACACCCAGGCTCACCGCGCCACACGAGTACTGCTTTTATACCGAGTCTGTTTTTTAAATTTCTGTACTCTGACTTAACCTCTCAGCAGTCCTGGAGGAAGCTGGTCCAACTGTCCCCTGTAAAACTCCCTCAGCAGGAATCCTCTGGACATGCAGAGCAGAAGCCAGCCACAGCCATCCTCTGCTGGAGCTCAGGCCGGCCTGGACCCCTCTAAGATCTCTGGAGAAAAACCTCACAGATTCCCAGCACCTGAACTCACTGGTTGCATCGTGCTGGCGACTTGGGCAGTGGAGGAAGCAAGAATCCCGAGCACGGTGACGAGTGGGCACCAACCCGTCTCTCACGAAAGCACCAGGGCGGTCTGATGGAGAAAGCTGTCAATCTTACTTACCGAGATCTACAAAAAGATGCTTCTCTCCCATGTTATTCTTCACAACTAGAAATGAAAGGTCAGGACTGCTTTGCTCAGCTGACCCCAGCCTCTCCAGTTTCTTTGAATTCGATGTCCAGCTTTCCTCTGTAGCCTTTTCTGTGAACATTTTATTGAAAGAAAATCCTTGTCTTGCAGGTGCTTCTGAAAAATGGGGAAATCCATGGCCTGTTGTCTCTGGAGCGCTATCATCATCTTCACTGCCAAGCAAGTCAAGAGCAGGCTGCAAAATTTTTCTCAAAAAATTACCTAAGGAAAAAAGCTATTATCATTCACCTGGATCTTCTCCACACACCGCATCTTAAGGTCTAGCCAGGAATCCACATATGACAATTTTACACAGAAAACCATTTTTTGATTTCTGGTTTCAAAACTGGGTTGCTGCCGGGCACAGTGGCTCACGCCTGTAATCCCAGCACTTTGGGAGGCCGAGGCGGGCGGATCACAAGGTCGGGAGATCGAGACCATCCTGGTTAACACGGTGAAACCCCGTCTCTACTAAAAATACAAAAAATTAGCAGGGCGTGGTGGTGCGCCTGTAATCCCAGCTACTTGGGAGGCTGAGGTGGGCGAATGGCATGAACCCAGGAAGCGGAGCTTGCAGTGAGCCAAGATCGCGCCACTGCACTCCAGCCTGGGTGACAGAGTGAGACTCCATCTTACCAAAAAAAAAAAAAAAAAAACCGAGTCGCTATAAATTGTTATATGCCACTCCTGTGACTTCCTTTTGTGAAATCTTTTACCTTTTCAATTCCATTGACTTGGGAGCCTGGTGTGAGATGTAAACAAATTATCTTAGAAGGGAAAGTTCATTTGAGAAGATGCGTCAATGCTGCTGGTAGGGCCTGAGCCTAAGAGGCTGTCATCAAGAAAACACTACTTATTAATACATACTGGGAGGACTCATCTTCACATTCAATGATTACAGAATGAAGGGCTCTCGTGCCCTTAAGAGATCATAAAAATAATAATAATAATAATGAAGAATGAAGGTTTATATGAAGAAACTGCTGCTCAGCTAACAGACAGAAGCACTGAGGAAATCTCGGGGAGTTAGGGCACTGGCAAATTTCTCAAGAGCTCATTTGCTCTCCTTTACCTGCCACGACACGCCCTGCAAACCCTGGCTCTCACAGCCGTCAGCCCCTAGGCTGCTGCTCCTACCTCTGCCTCAAACTGGGCACACGATGGACTACGGCCTCGGAGCTAACATCCACAACAAAAGCAATTCGATACATTTACTGCACTTCAACATTTATTCTAAGAACTCAGAGTAACAGCAGTACTATCTGTACCATGAAAAGTTGGTAAGAAAATCCAGAACTTCTTCAAACTCAGACATATTATTTACACCATGAAATCAAATAATTTGGCTATTAAGTTGCTTCATGTGTAACAATACTCAAGAAATGCAATACTGTAAGAAAAATTTAATTTTAATCTGTAGAACTGTTATTGTTTAGATTCATTCTTCACTTTATTTACCAGAAAGCTTGGGCCCTTACATTAACAAATGCATACTCTAAATTCACATTTTTATTTCTTCACATTAGATTTAATTACTTGCCTACTCAGCCAGGTGTGGTGGCTCATGCCTGTAATCCCAAGCATTTTGGGAGGCTGAGGTGGGCAGATCACTTGAGGTAAGGAGTTTGAGACCAGCCTGGCCAACATGGTGAAACCGCGTCTCTACTAAAAATACAAAAATTAGCCAGGTGTGGTGCTGGGCACCTGTAATCCCAGCTACCTGGAGGCTGAGGCAAGAGAATTGCTTGAACCTGGGAGGTGGAGGTTGCAGTGAGCCAAGATCATGCCACTGCACTCCAGCCTAGGTGACAGAGTGAGACTCTTGTCTCACAAAAAAAAAAAAAAAAAATTACTTTCCTACTCAAAGAAACAAATCCAATTTCTTATAAAGCACTAAATGTCAAAATCAAAGCAAAAGCATTTGGTGCTTGCAATGATATGCTGGTACAGGATGGATTACTTCTGCAATGAAGGAGAGAAAGTAAACACCAAGTGAAAAGAAATCACAACATATCAAAGGACAACAAAGCCATATAAACCTAAACTGATAAAGCTAATTTTCCTGAAAACTTAACATTGCAGCTACTTGACCCCAGACAATAAGGGAAGAGAATGCATGGTTGCAGAAATGGTGGCAATGGCAGTGCTGGGGAGGCCACAGGTCTTGGAACCCTGGCATGGAGCGACCATGGCCAGGACCATGACTGATGACTGTCACTAGCATCAACGCTAACACACTGGTCCAGCAAACCACACTGCTTTCTACTTCCCTTCCAGGATCTTATTGCCCCCAACCCTCATGAGGACAGGAACTATCTAATTTGCTGGAAATAACTCAAAAGACTAGTCAGTCATAGAAATTTCAGGTATGACAGCAAACTGGCAGAAGAGTATTTTTAGGCAGATCAAGATCTATGATCTCTTACATTTAACTGAATTCTCTTTTCTGAAAGGCTGACAATAGCAACTAGAAATGTCATCAAAAGACACACTAAAGGAAGAAACAAGGAAAAATTCTGAATTACTTCATATTCTCTGCACCTCTGGCTCTGGCAGCTCCTAATTCTAGGGGAAAGGGGCTGAGCTGGCAGCCCAGGAGAAGGCCTGATCGCATCTCTCTAGCCACACTAGACCATTCACTGTCCCCAAATGAGCCACGCACTCTTATCTCTATAGTTTTGCTTATGTTGTTCTGACTGTAAAGGCTTTCTTACCTTTGACTATACAATGAAATCTTACTGAAAGCCCAGATGAATGCCATCTGCTTTCAGAAGATACCTGTAGCAGAAACTGCTGGTACCTCACAAATTTCTATTCTCTCCTTCTTCCTGAGCAAGAGATTCTCAGCTTTCGGCCTGTGGCTAGTAGCCATGGAGCAGACGATGACCAGTACACGGCAAGCAAAGAAACAGCCTGTTTGGCACTCTGCCTCCACACCCTGACGGCAGTCCCTCCTCACTATTCACGCTTCATTTGGAAGGGATTTATTCAGATACCACTGGGCATGAAGGCCACACACTGCAGAAAGGCAGCGAGCACGGGGGCTGGAGTCAGAGACAGCTCAGTGTCTGTTTTGGCTTTGCCATCTGCCAGCTCTGTGACTTTGGTCAAATCTAAACCTTAACATTCCCCAGCTGCTTAACAGGAGTAACAACAGCACCTACCTTTTGGAGTTGCTGTAAGGAGTAAACAAGAAAATGAAACTAAGGACTTAGCACAGTGCCTGGCACATGTAACTGCTTAAAAAGCCTTTGTTGTGCAGCCTTAGGACAAGTCCCTAAAGGTATTTATTAATGCCTTCTGAATGAATGCACGAATGGTAAGGAGGACCAGGTGAACAGACCACATCGTGTCAGACAGCAGCATCAGCAAGTGCAAAGGCCCAAGCGCTACAGAAAATGTGGCCCATGATAGGAGCTGAATGAAAAGGGCAGGGTGGCGGGAGATGAGGCTGCCGACTTGTATTTATAATCGCTTTTAATAATTAATAATATTAGTAATTAATAATATTATTAGTAATATTATTGATAATGATATTTTTATTATGGGCTAAGCTCTGGAAATACCAAAGTAAGAAACAGTCCCTGCCCTAGAGAAACATTAAGTAGAATAGAGGAGATGACAAAGAAAACAGGAAATGACCTCAGGAAGTGGTAAATGCTTTGACACCATAAGCCCTGGACGTTCTCTGCAACCCAGAGGAACACTAATCCAAGTAAGGCTTAGGGTTTGAGATATGACAGAAACAGCTTCTCACATAGCTTGACGTCTACAGAATCCTAACAGGCCAGGTGAATCTGGAGGCACAACGGTTTAGACAGCAGCATCAAAAGGTTCAAAGGCCCATGGACTAGAGGAAATGTGGCCCAGGACAGGAGCTGAATGCAAAGGGCAGGGTGGCAGAAGATGAGGCTGGAGCACAGCGGGCCTCGCTTTGCAAGCTACGGCATCCATGCTTTTGCCTGAAGGCAGCGAATAATCACTGGAGGGTTTGAGGCACACAGGTGGCAGAATCAGCGCACTCTAGCCAGCTGACTGGCTAAGTAGGGCGAGAGGCACAGAGAGGGCAAGGATGATACCAACGTGTCTACTTGGGTAACTGGTGACACCACTCACTGATACACACATCACGGAGAAGATGTGACTCTGGGGAAGGATGAGGAGCTCAGCACAGGACATGCCAAGTTGGAACCATCTGTGTGGGGAGTGTTTAGAGGCAGTTGGCTGGATGGGTCTGACGTCTAGAACAATCTGGGCTGAAGATAAAGATTTCAGAGTCATCAACATAGATGCATATCAAAGCCATGATGGTGGCTGATCATCAAGGGTGAGGATAGAGTGGGAAGAGGGTCAAAGATGGACTCTACCATTACTAATATCTGAAGGATTGTGAGAAAACATTTTAAATGGTTCATTTTCAAGCCATGATAAATCTAAGTACCGGCAGCCAGCCTGCAAATGTAACAAACCACACGGCTCATGCACCTAGAAAGTCTTAATAAGTGAACAGAATGTAGAGGAGGGGTCAGCCCATAAAAAGGAAGAAAGTTTGTTATTGGAAAATCAAAACTCAAGTGGGGAAGGGGATGGGGTATAACCTTATAAGGGGGATAATGAAACTTAGGTGATGTCTGGAAAGATTGTTAACCCCATAGTACTCAGCCAATGAGGAACTGGGGGAGGGACTTGCGTGCTAGGAGATAAATTACCTGCTGTAACTGCCCTGAATGTGCCTGTCTACCAGACACCCAATCTTGTAAGGCCGTTATTAAAAGTCTCACTTTCGGCCAGGCACGGTGGCTCACGCCTGTAATCCCAGCACTTTGGGAGGCCAAGGCGGGCAGATCACAAGGTCAGGGGATCAAGACCATCCTGGCTAACCTGGTGAAACTCCGCCTCTACTAAAAATACAAAAACTTAGCCGGGCATGGTGGCACACGCCTGTAGTCTCAGCTACTCGGGAGGCTGAGGCAGGAGAATCGCTTGAACCCGGGAGGCGGAGGTTGCAGTGAGCCAAGAACGTGCCACTGCACTCCAGCCTGGGCGACAGAGCGAGACTCTGTCTCAAAAAAAAAGTCTCACTTTCACTGTTCTCCATGCCTCTAAGTCCATTCTTTGGGTTTGGATGGGTGACTGTGTTTCTCACAGGATGAGGGAGAGAGACTGAGAAGGAACGTCCAGCTGAGCTACCAGGAAACAGGCAGGTGACGAGAGCCTTGTGAAAACAGCATGCTGGGTCTCTGTGGCCACCTTCCCCTAATCCAGAAATCAGGTTCCTGGCTTTCATGCCAGTGCTTTAGTGACCATGTCCACGCCTTTTACTCTAGGTGGCCGTGAAACTCTAAGACGCTAGCAGCTCTGAACTGAATTACCTGTTACCTGAGCTTCAGTCAATCATCTGCTGTTTGGACTCTTGTCCCACCCCTGCTTTGATAAGCACTCAGGATTTGGCTTTTATTCAGACCTTCATATGGTGTTCCCATTCTAACTATGTGTTTCTCCTTTGGACTGACTTTGTTTTACACCTGGGCCCAGGCCTGAGATAAATAATCTGGTTTCACTTTCAGACTCGTACATCTAGAATTATCCCAACCCTGAAGCTCTGCCTGGAACAATAAACAAGCCATCTTTGATACGACCTGGGACCGAAGCCCCAAAGCAAGGCCGAAGCAAAGGTCAGAAATCCAGAAATGAGATTGCAGATAAGGCTTGAAATGGAAAGGCCTCTCATGCACTTTCCAGGAAACTGAAATAAATCATGTTGGAGCAGAAACCACTATCTGGACATGGATGGCCATCCCAGTATCTAGGATTAGAGATGCAAATGCCAAAGATGTCCTGAATAGGTTGATGTGTCTAGAACAGAAAGACAGGTCCAAAGCTAAGGGAACATCTTGAAAACATGAAGAAACACATTGCCATTATTTTTTTTGAGACAGGGTCTCACTCTGTTGCCTAGGCTGGAGTGCAGTGGTGTGATCCTGGCTTACTGCAACCTCTGCCTCCTGGGTTCAAGCAATCCTTGTGCCTCAGCATCCCGAGTAGCTGGGACTACAGGCATGCACCACCATGCCCGGCTAATTAGTAGAGACAGGGTTTTGCCAGCTTGGCCAGGCTGGTCTCAAACTCCTAGCCTCAAGTGAGCCGCCCACCATGGCCTCCCCAAGTGCTAGAATTGCAGGTGTGAGCCACTGCACTCAGCCTACATCGCATTTTTTAGGATAAGTTAATGACCATAAAACTTGATAAGTACACACAAAATTTTAAGAGGAATAAGAACATATGAGTTTTGAATACAACTCCATGATTTTTAAAAAGCCGTGTACTTACCAACATGAATATTATCTTTAAATGCCACATCATGGAGCTGAAATATTAAATGCCGGCTGAATTTTTCATCAGTGCTAGAATCCAAGTTCAAAACATCTTCAGCTGAGCAATTAACACCGTATAACTCTTGAAGTGCTTTACACACATACTAAAAACACAAGTAAAATGCAAATAATTTATATTTTTTGTTTTAAAATTTTTCTATAAGCAATAAGCATCTCTTTATATATCATCTATGAGTTAAAAAGTCATTAATTTCTGATCAGGCGTGGTGGCTCATGCCTGTAATCCCAGCACTTTGGGAGGCCAAGGCGGGCAGATTACTTGAAGTCAGAAGTTTGAGACCAGCCTAGCCAACATGGTAAAACCCAGTCTCTACTAAAACCATAAAAATTAGCCAGGCGTGGTGGCAGGTGTCTATAAGTCCCAGCTACTCAGGAGGCCGAGGCAGGAAGATCACCTGAACCCAGGAGGCGGAGATTGCAGTCAGCCAAGATGGTGCCACTGCACTCCAGTCTGGGTGACAGTGTGAGACTCCATCTCAAAAAAAAAAAAAAAAAAAGTCATTAATTCATTTTTTTTAATGGTTTTAATTACCAGAAAGTGTCTAGTTCATATTGAGCCTGACTCCAGCTCTAAGAATACAGCCTCTGAGACTACAAGGCACTGGGCATGAAGGCCATGCACAATAGAAAGGCAGCAAGCACGGGGGCTGGAGTCAGAGACAGGTCAGTGTCAGTTTTGGCTTTGCCATCTGCCAGCTCTATGGCTTTGGTCAAATCTAAACCTTAACATTTCCCAGCTGCTAAACAGGAATAATAATAGCAGCTACCTTTTGGAGTTGCTTTAAGGAATAAAAAAGAAAATGGAAATTTTTAGCACATGTAACTGCTTAAAAAAGCCTTGGTTGTGCAGCCTTAGGACAAGTCCCTAAAGCTTCAATTTTCTCATTTGCAAAATGAAGCTACTAAGAACTACCATGCAATATTATCTTGACATGAGCAAAAATGTTTATGAACTGCCGTCAGTTTAGATACCTCAAAGTTACGCAATAAACTGTATTTTTAATGATATTTTGGGATTCTTCTAACACCACACTGTCCTCATGCCCTCTGGCTTTACTCTTCTGTAAATTCTTTCTCAGAGAGGGCTTCCTTGATTTCCCTCTCTACATCAAATTCCCCCTACATACTCTTTTTCTCTTTATAGACTTACAATTTTAGGTTGATTTATGTGATTAGTTTGACATGTTTCCTCTGTATTACAGGGGCTCTTCCTCCATATTTGTTCTCTCCCTCTGTAGAAGCAGAATCCCAATTTTTTAGCTAGATTGGAGGCCATCCAGAACAAAGACTACATTTCCCAGGCTCCTCTACAGCAGGGTGTGGCTGCTAAGTCTGGCCAATGGGACGTGAGAAGGAAAGTATGCCACTTCTAAGTGATCCTCTAACAGGCAAAGGGCGTACCGTCCCCTTCTCCATTTGTACTGACTAGAATGCAGACACAGTGGTATGAGCCATCTTGGACAATGGAAGAAGGCAACATCTTAGGGACAGCAAAGCAACAAGCCTAGTCCCTAACAGTACGGAGCCACATTAGATATTACTTGGGGGAGAAATAGGTTTCTGTCTTGTTTAAGCCAGTTTAATTTTGGGTCTTTATTATGGCAGCTAAATCTATCCTAACGTATTATCCTCCATTAGACTACAAAGTGTATGCCATCAGACATTATGTCTCTTTGACTTACCACTTGGTAATCCTAGTGCCTGGGCACAGTGCCTGACACTTAGTAGGGACTAAAAACTATTTGATGAATGAAGTCGACTTCTGTACTTTCGGAGCTACAGAGAATAAATTTAGTGATGCTTTAGGTAGGACAAGTAATCATATTCTCCTAAATTCTATTTCCCAAGATTAACTTTAATTAAAACTTTAAGTTACTTAAATAATTAAATTATAAAATCCAGAAGTTAAACTTACATGAGTGGACAATGTTGCCCTGAAATGTGGTCCTAATAAAATACATTAGCACCAGAATTCATTCTAACTGTGGAGAAGGGGCTTATTGAAATGTGTCAGTTTAGCCACTGAACCACAGGGTATTTTACATTATCACCAATTATTATTAACCATCTGCTAAATTAGCATAAGAGCTAACCTAATTATGCCTCCTCACAGTAAGACTCAAAGGAAAAAGTACTTACTGGATTATAAACTTATTGCATACAAAGTAACCAATAAATGAAATTAATTTCAATGTAATCATTATAAAAAGCATTATATTAAGTAAAGTAATCCAATGAGAACTGTTCTATCAACATGGTAAACATGTTAAATAAAAATGCTGTATAATTTTGAACTTCGATTTCTACAGTTTCTTCCAACAGTTTTGCTGATGCAGAAGATTAGCTGCTCAAGACTCATTTGGATAAAGTAGTATAAAGAATAAGGAGAAAAAAATTCTAAACACCTACATGGTCTTTGCCATACCAGTGTTTATTAATATGTGTTACAAATGAAATTTGCTCCAGTGTTCATTTCATTAGAAATATTTCTAGTTTCTAATGCAATGTGGTACTTCTTTGCTAATATGCAATGTTAAGTGGCAGTGAAAATCTCTGAATCGAGGTTCCTTGTAGCCCATGGAGAAACTACACAAGAAATCTTACTTTAGACTGTAGAAGAAAGTCAATACTTATGAATTACTAAAAACATAATTAGGCCAGGCACAATGGCTCGCGCCTATAATCCCAGCACTTTGGGAGGCGGAGATGGGTGTATCACTTGAGGCCAGGAGTTCAAGAACAGCCTGGCCAACATGGCAAAACCCTATCTCTACTAAAAATACAAAAATTAGCCAGGTATGGTGGCACACACCTGTAATCCCAGCTACTCGGGAGGCTGAGGCAGGAGAACTGCTTGAACCTGGGAGGCAGAGATTGCAGTGAGCTGAGATCACACCACTGCACTCCAGTCTGGGTGACAGAGCTAGACTCTGTCTCAGAAATAATAATAATAATAATAATAATAATAATAATAATAATAAAGGTTTAAAATTAAACAGAATTTACCAGCTGTAATGAAATAAGCATCTAAATTTATTTTTAAGGGTTCAATGGCTATTTGAAGAAAAATATAATTTGGGGTTTTTTTTGGGGGTGGTGGGGGACTTTATATATATTTCTTCTGCTTCAAAGCCAGGATAAAGCTAACATTCTATATATTTTTTAAATAGCATTCACATACATTTTCACAAAGATTTAAAATCAAGCATGTAGAGGTCCAACAGAGAATACTAGCAGATATTCTTTATCAAAAACATTTTAATCTGGATATATTTTAAAAGTTATAAAATGGGTAATCTATAACATTATTATTCAGTTAACATTTAAAAGAAAAATAGCTAGTCAGTAAGTGTCAGTACCTACACTTAGGCTGAATAATAGTCAATACAATTTTAACACAACTTCCTGTGATACAATCTGAAAATTTTTTTTGAAATAATCCTAATAGAACTTAGCTGCACAAGTCCATGCTATTCCTTTTATTAGTAACTTCCTGGTTGACACAGCTAAATCAAAAATAAAGAACTACAGTATTTTTTCTCTTAGTTAAAAATAGTAACTATATTTTTAGACAAGATTTTACCATTACTAGCTGTAGGACCTTGAATAGGAATTAGTTTCGTCTGGGCCTTAATTTCCTCATTTTGAAAGGGACAAGATAAGATGATTTCCAAAATTCCTGCAAGCTTGAAAATTCTAATACTATTTGTAGTCAGTGTTCTTGAGGTTCATCTCAGTACCCAATTTTTACAGTAAAAATTATTTTGCCTGGTTTTACCAAAGTCAGCTATTCGTAATGGAAGTCAGAGAATTAATATATAATTTTAAAATATAGAAAATTTTCAAACTGACATCTTTTTCAAAGCATTTTTTTTACCAGACAGCAAAATTGCAAACTATATGAACACAAATTGAACTTTCCTTCCTTTTCACAGTTTACTCATACAAGTAATATTAAAAAATCCTAAAGTCAAAAGGAAGAGTAGCAAGAAAAAGAAGAGATACAGAACCTACTATTATGTAGGCTGAATTCACTGAATGAATAAGCCAATGAAGAGATGGATAGAAATAAGAAAAACTTGAGTTGGCCATTTACCTCAATGAGTAATGCAACCATCTTTTTCCCATCAGCTCCTGGGTTGGCAGGTTTGTTAAATTCCAAATCAAAATAAAGCTTGCACACAGCATTTTCAGGAATAACTTCATAGCAGTGTAAGAGATTTTTTCTAAATTGAATAATTCAAGATTGTTAAATTGATATATTATACCTTTATTGATTGATTGATTGACTGACTGAGACTGAGTCAGCTCTGTTGCCCAGGCTGGACTGCAGTGGTGTGATCTCGGTTCACTGCAACCTCCTCCTCCTGGGTTCAAGCGATTCTCCTGCCTCAGCCTCCCGAGTAGCTGGGACTACAGGCACACGCCACCACGCCTGGTTAATTTTTGCATTTTTAGTAGACAGGGTTTACGCCATGTTGGCCAGGCTGATCTTGAACTCCTGGCTTCAAGTGATCCACCTGCCTCAGCCTCCCAAAGTGCTGGGATTACAGACATGAGCCACCACGCCCAGCCTCTATCTTATACCTTTTAAATCATGGCAGTCTATCTTACATTGCAAGTACTGTGTTAACTGTGCTTTCACTACATACAAGTATGAAATAAGAACATGATAAAATGAACTGTTCACCATAGGTTTATGGCTCATCTTATCAAGGGTTTCCATCAAGCAAAATGCAACAATTATATCCTGTAACATTATTTAACTAGAAAATACAGTCAATCTTACAGTGTTATTTATTCACAGATGAGTTTGATATTGTGTAATACCTCTATATTTGTTTTTAGTGTCACCATGAAACAAATTTTCTTTGAAAAAAAATGTTCTTTTCAGGATTCCATATTCTTGGGATTCCATGAATTTTCCATGAGAATTTTTAAATTCTGTATTTTCATTGGAAGATAATATTTTAAAAATTGCTTAAAAAATTCTGAATCACCTGACTTTGATAAGCTCCCAACGCTCATGTTTGCAGTTACATTCTTTCTGGCATTAAGAGGAATGACTTTGACATGGGTTAAATAGGGAGAGATGCTGACTTAATTTGCAAATGATAATTTGGGCTAAGTGATATTCAGATGGCATCCTATACAAATTAAGGACTTCTAGTAATTTGAAGAGGGAAAAGTTATGTGAAAATTGTATCATCAGGTGGTACAGGTAGTGGAGGAACTCAACACACACATACACATACATACATACACACCCTGTAGCAGTCAGTTCCATATTTACATGGGAAGATGAGACTGAGTTTCAGCAAAACATCTGTCACATTGTCTTAATGATTTTCATTCAACTCTAACTGGTGTTGCATGTATATCAACATAAATAAATCCAGTTTCATATTTGAAGCTACTTAGCAACATTTGAATAAAAGTATTCTAAATCAATATAGGGCATGCTAACAATTTACTCTCCTTTTCCACACATTACTCAAGTCTGAGAAATACTTGAATACGGCTGGGTGCGGTGGCTCATGCTGGTAATCCCAGCACTTTGGGAGGCCGAGGCAGGCAGATCATCTGAGGTCAGGAGCTCGAGAGCAGCCTGACCAATATAATGAAATCCCGTCTCTACTAAAAATACAAAAATTAGCCAGGCGTGGTGGCAGGCACCTGTAATCCCAGCTACTTGGGAGACTGAGACAGGAGAATTGCTTGAACTCAGGGAGGTTGCAGTGAGCTGAGATTGTGCCACTGTACTCCAGCCTGGGCAACAAGAGTGAAACTGTCTCAAAAAAAATTTTTTAAATTAAAAAAAAGAAAGAAAAAAAAAAAGAAATACTTGAATAGATCACTCAGTCAAAATAAAGCTAATAAGCCAGGTACAGTGGCTCACACCTGTAATCCCAACACTTTGGGAGGCCGAGGTGGGTGGATTACCTGAGGTCAGGAGTTCAAGATCAGCCTGGTCAACATGGTGAAACCCCGTCTCTACTAAAAACATAAAAATGAGCCAGGCATGGTGGTGGGCACCTGTAATCCCAGCAACTCGGGAGCCTGAGGCAGAACAACGACTTGCACTCGGGAGGCAGAGGCTGCAGTGAGCCGAGACCATGGCACTGCAGACCAGTCTGGGCAACAAGAGTAAAACTCCATCTCAAAAAAATTAAAAAATTAAAACTAAAGCTAATAACAAATAATTTAAAATAGTAATAATAAAGTCAAGATAAAGCAGATATTTCATTACTAGGTAAGTAACATAAATATTCCTTTGTGATTAATAGTATAATTTAATACCTGTTTGCAAAAGAGAAATTTCAAAACTCCCTTTGAGTACACGCATATATTCGTGTATGTGCATGATTATTTTCTCCCAGCACCTGGTGAGATACTCAAGCATTGCTATGACAAGAAAACTCCAGAATTCAATTCTAAGAGCAACTAATAGTGTGGTCACGAACTGTGGAAGCCAATTCAGCCTGAACTAATTTCACCAAAATTCCTAGGCAAAGGAAATGGAACTCTAGCTTAATGTGTGGTTCTGCTGCATGCTACCTACCTGGATTTATAGTAAAACCAAAATTCAGCATAGGTTGTCACAAGGTAAATACGTTGTCCATCTCCTACTTTGCATTCCAAAGCAAATACATGAACGTCCTGCATAAAATCAAAAAAGAATTCAGAAAAATTCACAAAATGCAAACCTAAACTCAACTGTAGCTACTGAATGTTCATAAAGAATTTTTCATTCAAGTTTTCAGAAACTGTAATTTGAACATTTGTATTATTAAAAACAAGACAAATAGTCACTAGGTTTATGCCATTCAAAATCTAATTATACCTATTTTTTAATCATTCATACAAAAGGTGAAAACAATTAGAATATGCAGACCAAAGAGAAAAAAGGAGAGAAACCACTCTTAAAAATATTACTTGTATGACTTCCTATGATAGTTTTATTTCTTAGTTTATGAAATTAAACTTATTTTTCAAAACTACTTATTATTATAAATGATTTGGGCTAAAATTGATTAGTAAATTCCCCAGTACATAAAAAAATGTATGTAGGAGCCTTTTTTTTTTTTTTTTGAAACAGAGTCTTGCTCTGTTGCCCAGGCCGGAGTGCAGTGGCGTGATCTCGACTCACTGCAACCTCTGTCTCCCAGGTTTAAGCGATTCTCCTGCCTCAGCCTCCCAAGTAGCTGGGATTACAGGTGCCCACCACCACGCCCGATTAATTTTTTGTATTTTTAGTAGAGACGAGGTTTCACCATGCTGGGCAGGCTGGTCTCGAACTCCTGACCTCAAAGTGATCTGCCTGCCTCAGCCTCCTAAAGTGCTGGGATTACAGGCATGAGCCACCGCACCCAGCCGGAACCATTTTTTTAAAGGTTAATTACTGCGGTAGTTGTTTAAATATAACTGCTCATGCCTCCTGCCATAAGGGTTCTTCTAATAGAGGAATACATCCACAAGTTCTTTTGTTTCCTCTTAGCTAAAGGTAGCTGGTGAGCATATTTTTCTTTTCATGAGTGAAAAATCACAGGACTCAGTTGCTTAACCCTAACAAAAACCTTTTTGAAATAAATTTTATAGACTGGTGATTAGCAAGTCCAACAAGCATACCCCTATCTATATCTTTTTAAAATTCAAGTTCAAATGAATCTGTCAGTATTTTAATTTCTGCTGCTTGAATTAGGTTTACCCAAAATGCCTAAGAAAGGTATTTCTTAAACCATTCTCATGAGATTTGAGTAAGCCTACCCTTACTAGAGAAAGAGAGGTCCTTCTAAAACTTCCAGCACTTGGAGATTTTATACAGCAACAGTGATCAGACTCACAGCACACTTATGCTATCATATAAGCATCTTATCGTTTCTTTCATATTTCTTTACATTCCCCACAGTGCCCCAAAAAAAAAAAAGAATGTGCAATACACATCTGTTGCTTGATTTAGTGATATTTATTTATTTATTTATTTATTTATTTATTTATTTATTTTTGAGATGGAGTTTCGCTCTTGTTGCCCAGGCTGGAGTGCAATGGCGCGATCTCGGCTCACAGCAAACTCCGCCTTCCGGGTTCAAGCCATTCTCCTGCCTCAGCCTTGGGAGTAGCTGGGATTACAGGCATACGCCACCACACCCGGCTAATTTTGTATTTATAGTAGAGACAGGGTTTCTCCATGTTGGTGAGGCTGGTCTCAAACTCCGGACCTCAGGTGATCCACCCGTCTCGGCCTCCCAAAGTGCTGGGATTACAGGCATGAGCCACCTCGCCCGGCCAGTGATTTTTATTTTTCAGCACCATGTTCTTTGAAAGGCTGACACTTCTTTCTCCTACTTGCTTACTGTGTTGAAATAAATATGGTTCCCCTCCCTCTAAGCATAAAGCTTCATTTAAATATCATCACAATTTTTAAAAACTAATTGGTACTAGATGTGTCATTCTTTTTCATTACTAATATAAATTAAATGGTTAATGATTCACAGGAATATTTTTCCTAAATCACATGCCATTAAGATTGCCATTAAATTTTCTTGGTAGAATACATGGCCTGAAATGAAGACAAATAATAGACTTTTTTTTTTAAAGAACTGAAATTATAATGAAGAAGAAGAAGAAAGAAGAGGAAGTGGAAGAGGAGGAAGAAGAAGAGGAGGAGGAGGAAATTACTTCTTTACAGCTTTTAACAAAATTAAAAGCTTGAGCTTGTCGATGAAATAGTCTCCAGATGGAGGGTGGTTCTTCTGGCTTGGACAATCTTGGTCTATACACTGAGGACAACGGTTTCCTCTCATAATGAGATGCTCGTTCTTCAATTTGCTTCAGTTTTGCTTCCCATTTTCTATTCATTGGTTCAGAAGTGTGGAGAGAATAAATCCTATCCCACGTAATATTTCTATCAATTACTACTAAAACAAACAACAAACAAAAAGGCCATTAATTTCTTTGTTTAGAATATATTTTGTTTGATAAAGTTTCAAAACTCACTTCCTGACACTTATTTTCTTGTTTATTCTTTGCATGAAGTTTTACCACAGAATGAGAGCAAGGCTGGTTATCAGAAATTCTTAGATCCTGGTTCTTCATCTAATGGTATTATGACCTTGGACAGGTTAATGAAGCGCCCTGAATCTTAGTTTAATCAACTGAAAAATGGGAATCAATATCATCTTGAGTACTTTATATACTTAGCTTGAAGATAAATGTGGTAAGACATAAGCAATCTCTAAATTACAAAGCCTCATGTAAATATATGTGCTTTTTGTATCACTGTGGTTTTTACTATAACCATTTTATTGTATCACGTGCTATGACCTTGTCCACCCATTCTTGTGCTATTATTTCTCAGTGTAGAATTCATTTCTAGATACCAATGTACAGCTCTTAGTTCCCTTTTCCTCTGTTTCTGTCCATGTCTCCTCTTCTCTCTCAACACAACTTTTAGTTGGGCTAGTTTTGGATGTCTGTAGTAATGGATGATTTTTCTTTCTATATAATACTTCCATGTCAACCACGCCAGAGTAAGGGGGCCAGGCAATAATTTTCCAATTTGGGATTATAATTCATTTACAAAAGAAAAAGAATAGGTTTTTAGAAGAGTGGGAAAACTTTCACTCTAGATTAAAAACAGCCAAATCAGCCACAAACCCCTTGCCATTTTTCCCATCAAGAGATGGCACCTAAACTCACTCTCGTACTGACTCTCAGCTTGGCCATATGACTTGTTTTGGGCCAACATCACATTGACAAAAGTGAAGCAAGCAGAGGTTTAACGAGTGCCTTTGCAGCAGACTTGGTTATCCCAGAGTCCTGCCCTGAGATTGCCATGCCATAACTCTAGCCTCATAGAGGATGAAAGCCCACATGGAAAAGAACCAAGGAATTGCAGCCAACAGCCAGCATAAGCAGTCTGATATGTGAGCTGGGCCATTCCGGACATCCAGCCGTCATCTGAATTCAACGCATTAGTAAGCCTGAGTCCCAGAGAGACCTATCAAACTGCCCAGCCAACCCACAGAGCTATAAGAAAAAAATAAATTTGGTTGTTTTGTCTTTTTTAAGCCAGTAAGTTTGGGGCTGGCTTTGACATAGAAATAGGTAATTAATAGAGTTCCTCTCTTCATTAATATCATCTCTGCCATAATTTACCTATGTGGAAAACAGATATATTGGGGCTTTTTTGAAGTGAAATAATATGTACTAAATCATTTAACAGTGAAGTCCTATTTCTTTGGTAACACATTTGTGCTTATTGAGTTGATAAACATTGTCTTGAATTTTAGCAGAAAACTTTGCAGCAACACAAACTCATTGGCAAATGAGTATTTCCTGGAAGGAAAACCAGAATCTCCCTAAAAGATTAAGAAAGGGGGCCAGGCGCGGTGGCTCCTGCCTGTATTCCCAGCACTTTGGGACGCTGAGGCGGGTGGATCATGAGGTCATGAGTTCGAGACCAGCCTGACCAAGATGGTGAAACCCCGTCTCTACTAAAAATACAAAAATTAGCTGGGCATGGTGGTGGGCACCTATAATCCCAACTACTCGGGAGGCTGAGGCAAGAGAATAGTTTGAACCAGGAGTGGAGGTGCCAGTGAGCCGAGATCGCACCACTGCACTCCAGCCTGGGTGACAGGGCAAGACTCCATCTCAAAAAAAAAAAAAAAAAGATTACGAGAGGGTAGACCAGGCGCCGTGGTTCATGCCTGTAATCCCAGCACTTTGGGAGGCAGAGGAGGGCGGATTACCTGAGGTCAGGAGTTCGAGACCAGCCTGACCAATATGGTGAAACCCCGTCTCTACTAAAAATACAAAAATTAGCCAGGCGTGGTGGCGGGCACCTGTAATCCCAAATACTTGGGAGGCTGAGACAGGAAAATTGCTTGAACCCAGGAGGCAGAGATTGCAGTGAGCTGAAATTATGACACTGCACTCTAGCCTCCTGAGTAGCTGGGACTACTCCATCTCAAAAGAAAAGAAAAAAAAAAGGGATAGTACATCATGACCTTGTTAGAAAAAAAACAAAGGCATATTATCCGCAGATTTCAAATTTGACATCAATCGTAACAGACCTAAGAAAGATATTCTCTCAGAGTTATACCTAATCCACATATAAAGTATATACTAGGAAACAGAAATATAATTCTAAAGGTACTAACATAAATTTCATAACAGGTATGCTTAGGGAAAATATCAATTCACTGGATGGAGGAGATGAAGCAATTTTTTTAAAAACTGCTTCAGCCGGGCGCGGTGGCTCACGCTTGTAATCCCAGCACTTTCGGAGGCCAAGGCAGGCGGATCACAAGGTCAGGAGATCGAGACCATCCTGGCTAACACAGTGAAACCCTGTCTCTACTAAAAATACAAAACAAATTAGCTGGGCGTGGTGGTGGGTGCCTGTAGTCCCAGCTACTCAGGAGGCTGAGGCAGGAGAATGGCGTGAACCCGGGAGGCAGAGCTTGCAGTGAGCCAAGATCGTGCCACTGCACTCTAGCCTGGGCAACGGAGCGAGACTCTGTCTCAAAAAAAAAAAAAAACTGCTTTAACTTGTCAATACAAAGTGATATGGCTCCTTATTGCTAGATTCTGAGTATTCAGTTACTTTGATCTGCTTCACGTGCAGCTAAAAATCTGCTATACTTAGATAAACCTAATTGAGAAACTGACTTTCTATCATGAAGTTTATTAACTTTTAACAAAGTCCATTGATTATTAGTGAAGAAAATAAATACAGAATGCAATCACATCTGAATCTAGCTAGTATCTACCAATAACTGACTACAAATGACTATGTGGATATTCGTACTTCGTGACACTGAAATTTTATCATGAAAAATTGTTTGATTTTGTAAAAGTCTTGGTAGGACCACGGGAGTATGTCATACAGGAACATCATGGAGTCACAATGAAAAAACAGCTTAAGACTCACTGAACTGGGGAAACCATGAGCATCAACAGAAGAAGAAAGAGAAGTTCAGTATATGTCATGCCCCCTTCATATCTGCACAGCTTGAAAATTTTAACAGCTGGGTTGAGCATCAGAAGACAACTGGGGCTTGGTGTAGTCCAGCAGGAGGGTTGAATTACAAAAAGCAAAGGAAATGGAGAACAGTAAGGCATCTGGCATTCTGGTTTGGGACTATCACATTCCTCATCCCTCCCCTCTGGGGGAATATGTCACCATATTAGAAATGCTTTTCATTCCCGGTGGTGAAAGAGTGTTGTCTTTCTTTTACATAATTGTGTATCAAAGCTCCTTTCCACTCAGGGACTGTAACTATTTTTGGTAAGTTTCCAAGTTCCGAAGGAAAACTTTTATTGTATTTTAAAAGATTGGGCTCCGCCCGGTGCAGTGGCTTGCACCTGTAATCCCAGCACTTTGGGAGGCCCAGGCGGGTGGACCACAAGGTCAGGAGTTCGAGACCAGCCTGGCCAACATGGTGAAACCCCATCTCTACTAAAAAACAAAATAAAAGATTGGGCTCAAAGAGTTTCTATTATTTAATTCTTAACATTGCACAGAATGTTTGTTTAACCATGTTTGATTATTTAAGCATGGTTGATACTGATCTTTCAACCAAAGGGGGTCAAGCTAGAAAAAAGGCTATGTTAGTTCTTTTCGAGTAACTATAGTGGGAGAAGAGGCAGCAGGGATGGAAGGGGAGAGATGACGCAGACCTAAGTAGCCCCAGCTTCCCTGCGTTTATGCCCAGCCTTGCCCAGCTGTGACACTTGATGGTCTGGATTCCAGGAGCAGCTGAAGGAGGGGGCACATGCTTCCTATTTACCAGTTTCTGGGGGGACCTGAAGCCAGCCTGGCCATGGTTCTTCCTAGCCTAGTTCTCTCAGTTTCTTTCTTTCTCACCTACCTACCTTCCTTCCTTCCTTCTTCTTTCCCTCCTTCCTTCCCTTCTTTCCTTCCTTCCTTCCCTTCTTCCTTCCTTCCTTCCTCCCTCCCTCTTCTTTCCCTTCTTTCCTTCCTTCCTTCCCTTCTTCCTTCCTTCCTTCCTCCCTCCCTCTTCTTTCCCTTCTTTCCTTCCTTCCTTCCCTTCTTCCTTCCTTCCTTTCTCCCTTCCCTCCTTCCTCCCTCCCTCCCTTCTTTCCCTTCTTTCCTTCCTTCCTCCCTCCTTTTCTTTTTTCTTTTTTTCTCATCACTGGTCAATTCCTATTCCCCAACTCCAAATTCTCCCTCTACCCTGAGATTAGATTCATCAGTATTTTGCATTTTCTGCCAATACTCTAGTTCTATGATTTGGTAATATCCTGGTATTTGACAATATTTTCTTAATATAATCCCTTTTCTAGCCTCTTGGAATGCATTCGTACTATTTCTCCCACTGCTAAAGTATTTATTATAAAGTATGTGATCAAAAAGCATTTACAAAAATATTATTATATAAGTTCACTTTCTGGATGAATAACACCTTAAGAAATTAAGTATAAGTGACTGGATTTTCCTTTTTTCTCCCACTTCAGTCACTTTGCCTTTCTATGCTTGAGCAGAAGTAACTCATATTTAAATTTCCCCAAATCCTCTTTAAGGAGTAAGAAAACACACAGCGATATATTGTGCTTTTTTTTTTTCCAGTTCCTCCTTTCTATCCTCCCCACAGGATCTCCCATCCAAACAGCATAACTCTGCCAGCCCAATCACCCTTAAAACCATTTTCATCACTTTTCACAGGGATAATGATTCATAGCAACATTCAACTCACACAGGTAAACTAACGTCACGAAGTCTAAACTCCCCTCCAGAATCTGGCCCTAAATCATTTACCTATTTCATTTCTTACTCTTCCACCATCTCACCAAATGAATTGATAATGACCTCTGCTTTCTCCTGAGCCACTCCAGAAACCTCCCCCCGCACCCAGCACACATTTCTCTTACCTGGAATGCCCCACGTTGCTTTTCCCGAATTCTTCCCCTTCCAGGCCCAGATCAAGTTCTGTCACCTCTGGGATACCTCTGTAAAGAGAAATTACTGGCTTCAGCCAGAAGACACTGCCTCCAGCCTACTGTTTGGCTATAATTAAAATGTTTGGCTGGGCACGGTGGCTCACGCCTGTAATCCCAGCACTTGGGAGGCCGAGGTGGGTGGATCACCTGAAGTCAGGAGTTCGAGACCAGCCTGGCCAACATGGTGAAACCCCATCTCTACTAAAAATACAAAAATTAGCTGGGCCTAGTGGTAGGCACCTGTAATCCCAGCCACTTGGGAGGCTGAGGCAGGAGAATCATGTGAACCCGGGAGGCGGAGGTTGCAGTGAGCCGAGATTGCACCACTGCACTCCAGCCTGGGCAACAAGGGTGAAACTCCGTCTCAAAAAAAAAAGTTCACAGACTAAGTAAATTAGTATGATTTACAGGAAACCAGAAAACTGCTGCTAATGCTTGCTAATTTGGCAAGAAAGTTTAGCACAGGAAGGGGTTTGGGCATCACAATAGGATAAGGACTAGTTCAACCACACTAGTCCCCTCTTTGCAAATTACTGCTCTGCAGAGCCACTGTTAAGGTTGGGAGTGGGTCCTATTTCTCAGTTTTATTGAGGCAGAAAAAGGACTGTCAAACATTGGTGTTCACTCAATTCAGGAGGGATAAAGAAAGGCCTAAGTCTTATTTGTGGGATCTGAGTTTAACTCCTGTGACTGTCTTTTTAGCAACAGCAAACTACTTAACCCCTTTTTTTTCTTTTTTTTGAGACAGAGTCTTGCTCTGTTGCCCAGGCTAGAGTGCAGTGGCGCAATCTCAGCTCACTGCAACCTCTGCCTCCCGGGTTCAAGCGATTCTCCTGCCTCAGCCTCTCAAGTAGCTGGGATTACAGGTGCCCACCACTGCACCCGGCTAATTTTTTTTGTATTTTTAGTAAAGACAGGGTTTCACCATCTTGACCAGGCTGGTCTCGAACTCCTGACCTCGTGATCCACCTGCCTCGGCCTCCCAAAGTCCTGGGATTACAGGCATGAGCCACCGCGCCGGGACTTAACCTCTTTAAACTCGGCCTTAACCTCTTTAAACCTTATCCTCTTTAAATTGGAATTCCTATCCCGAGGGATTGTTGAAAGGCTGAAACAAACAAATGTATTATGAAAATGTAAAAGCATGCAATAAACTCAGCAAGGGGTAACCATATATAAAACTAAGTATATTTCTGTGCAGAATATAGTCCCTATAGTCGAATAGGCGCAAGTGTTAGAAACAGGCTCTGCCATGGGGTCCCTGAATCTGACTTCTGAATGTCAAGAACTTTTTGAAATCTGATGCAGAATGTCGTGCTCACATGTGTTGGTGAATTCTTCTGCGAAAATGATTCACAGTTTGCTTCAGGGTCTGAAATGAGTTCACGACCCAAAATAGGAAGGGGATCGGTAGGGCAGTGTATATAGCACACCATTGACGTAACCATTAATAACTCCATCTTAGGAGAAGACCCCATTTTTACATTTCATAAGGCATTTGCCAACAAGCATACTATACTTTAATAAACAAATAAAAAAATAGTCCGCATCCAGCCAGGTAAGGACACAAACAAGCACTCTCTTCCATTACCAGTTCTCACCACAGGACTCTGTGACTATAAAAGATGGGGCCTTCGGCAGCTCCCAACAGCCGGCTTAATTGACGCCGTCTTTGCAGAAGGACCTCTCGGCCCAAACCAGGCTTCTTTTCCTCTTCTTCACTCCCTCTGGATTGGTTCGTTAATCTCTTTGCCCCATCTCTTTTTCCTCATGATGTTAAATGCTACTTTGTTGTGGGATGCTTAACTTGTAACATTTATATGTGGATTAAGTACACTACTATGATGCGTGAGCGGCTTGAGCCTGTGTGTCAGGCTCTGACTACCCAGTGACCAGCAAGTGCTGAGAACTGCCTCCTTGGGAACTCCACGCAGCTCGTGGCTTTTGTGATCGAAAGAGCGTCCACAGCAGCCTGACATGGTGGAAAACACAGCATGCGTGGACCTGGTTATTTCTAGCCTGGCACCCTGATGACAGGAGGTTAAGGCTTTTGATTTAGGGAGAGAGACCTGAGGGTAACCCAAAGAAAGGCCTCAGGTCATCGCAGAGGAGACAGAAATTACCGGTGGGCGTCCCGGCCTGCTCCTCTTCTTCCCAGAGCTCAAACTGGGCAGCAGGCCTGGCTTTGTCTCCCTTCTAGGTACCCGTTGGGCCTGGCGCGGTTTCCAAGTCTCCCTCAATTTCCCTCCAGAATCCCGCGCTGGGAGCGGAAGCCCGCGGACTCTCAGGAAGACCTAGATTTCAAATCCGGGGCGGGGGAGCCGGGCCGAGCCTCAGGGCGGGACCAAAGCGGGAGGACTGGCGCGGGACGCGAGGGCGGGACCAGGGCGTGAGGACGCGGGGCGCGGGGGCGGGGCGCGCTGCGGTGGGCGGGCGCCTCCTGGGGCCCAGCCTGGGGCTGGGTTCTCGGGCGGGCGGGAGCTAGGGGACGGGCCGCAGCGGAGGCGGCGCGAGGGGCCGACAGGGGCGGGCGGGAGGCGGGGCTGGCGCTGGAGCACATCTCCCGGCGGCGGGCCGCGGAAGCAGTGCAGACGCGGCTCCTAGCGGATGGGTGCTATTGTGAGGCGGTTGTAGAAGGTATGAGGAGGCTGTGCGGTGACTGCCGCCCTCGCTCCGGGCCGTCAGCCCTGCCCCCGCTCCCTGCGTTCTCCCAGGCCCTGCGCCCGCCCGGGTACCTGCCCGGTCTGGAAGGCGGAGTGTTTGTTTTGCCACCTCGCCCGGGCGGGGGCGAGCAGTGAAGCCCGCGGAGCGAGAGACTTGGCCCGGAGGCGGGAGCCTGGGCCGGGGCCGGGGAAGCCAGGCAGCGGGTTAAGGCTTTTGATTTAGGGAGAGGGACCTGGGGGTAACCTAAGGAAAGGCCTCAGGTCATCGGAGGGGAGACCTGGCCCGGGGGCGGGAGGCTGGGCTGGGACCGGGGAGGCCGGGCAGCGCGAGGCCGGGCCGGGGAGGCCAGGCAGCGGGAGGCCTGGCCAGGGGAACCGAGCCCGGGGCCGGGAGGTCGGGCACGGGGCACCGAGCTCCGAGGGCGGGAGACCTGGCGGCCGGCCGAGTGCCGGAAGGCCGGGTCAGGCGGCGGAAGGCAGCGGCAAGCTGGGAAACGGACGGCGCTACCGCCGGCGGAGGAGTGGCCCCGGGAAGCGGTGCTGCGAGGGCTGGGGCGGCCGGGTGCTGACTGTGAGATACTCGCCCTGGGGGCTGATCCTTCCAATTTTGGACGAGGCTTCCGTCTCTGCTGCCTTCCATGCCTGGGGCCTGGATTATCCCGGGTTGACAATGTGGTTTAGCTCTTCCAGAGAGATAGTTGCAGGGTTTAAACTCCAATTCCTTTTCGGCCCTGCAGAGTTTCGTGAGTGCTCGCAGCTCATACCTGTGGCTGTGTATCCGTGGCCACAGCTGGTTGGCGTCGCCTTGAAATCCCAGGCCGTGAGGAGTTAGCGAGCCCTGCTCACACTCGGCGCTCTGGTTTTCGGTGGGTGTGCCCTGCACCTGCCTCTTCCCCCATTCTCAGTAAGTGGCACCCAAGCAGGAAACCGGAAAACATCGTTCGCAGCCCCCTCTCGCCCACCCACTTCTTTTCCTGCTTAGTCGCCAAGCCTTGTCGACCTTGTAAATGTCTGCCAGATCTGTCCGCGTCTCTCTATCTCTGATTTCAGCCGTCTGACCACAGCAGCCTCTTCCCTGGTCTCTCCACTTCCAGACCCGCCTGCTCCTTTGCAGTCCACTTTTTACAGCACAGGCAGAGGGATCTTTATGAAATGAAAGTCTAGAAAGCTCGTCCTTTGCCCTTAGGTTAAACCCAGCACTTAATATGGCTAACAAACCCCTGCGTGTGTTGGGTCCTGAGTGCCCCCACCCCTCCTTATCTTTAGCACCGGTTCGATTTCTGCACGGCAATGCTGACCTTCATACCTAGTGTCTGCCTGCAACACCTCTGCACTCCCTTTCTCCCGCCATCACATTTGATTAGAAGAGCTGCTACTTAAATTTCTGTTTTCATTAAACAGTTTAAGGTTAAATCTTCCTATGCTGTGTTCTTTCTGCAGCCAGCATTCCCTAAGAGAGATGTGTCATATCCTTTGCAGTTGCTTGTTTACTATCTTCCCTGCTAGATTTGCAAGCAAACTCCAGGAGGGACGGACTTGGTTTATCTTGGTATCCTTAGTGTCTTGCCCCAAATGCGGGGCCTGGCATAACACAGTGAATGCCCATCCATTGTATTTTTACTTTTATGCCCTATCTAGAAAAAGTAGACCTGGTTTAGGATTATTCAGCAAATAATAATTAGAAAAGAAATGGTAGAGGTGACATACGGAGTCACTGAAACGATGTAAACCTGCAAGATAGCTGAAAGAGGGCCAGGCAAGGTGGTTAGACCAGACTGTATCAAAATGGGCTCAGCCACTGTGAATGTGCGTGCTGTGGTTACATAATCTCTAAAAATGAAATATAAAGCTTAAATCATCTCTATCACAGCCCGATGCTTGGACTTTGGTTTTGCTTTGCCTTTTTGCAAAAGAAGGTTTTTGAAAGTGAAAATTATTTTAGTGAATGGATGAACAGTTTATTGGAGTATGGCAATAAAACCTGTTCAAAGTAAGAGACATTAGACATTGTACCTAGTTAAATCAGATTTGCTTTTGCTATCCTGAATAAAGGCCTTGCCTCTTGCCATTTGAAGAGACTGGCATCTGATATAGGCAATTATAATGCTTCTTTACTGTTTTGTTTTCAAACCTCGTTTAACACAATCTCCTACTGCTTCATCCCCCTACAAAGCAGTCTTTATTTTGATGAATGATATATTACATTGCTTCTGGTGCCTACTATTAGATCTTTAAGCTCTGCCCCAAAGATAAGAAGCACTGGTGTTTGGGCCTAAACAAAGATGGGAGAATTCTTAGATTTATATAATATTCTTTCTCTGCATGTTTTGTTCTTACCTTCACATGTTGCCTGTAGAGCTTCTTTGCATTACAATAATGAAATCAAGCTACCTGATATGTATTGGACACGGTCTGGCATCTGCCTTGTTGAGCCACTTTTGAATACCAGTGAGCATCGGTATAAGCCCTGAATAGAGATAGGGTTTGTCTCTTCCACTGCTTGATACACTCAGGGTCTAGTATAGTACTCTGCACACAGTTGGTGTTCAGTAAATTGTTATGGTGCAAATATCAAATGAATAAATGCTACTGAATCTGAGTTTTGGCAGTTTCAGTCTTCCTGACAGCAGGATTTCTTCAAGCGGTTTTAAACTTGAATCTGATTCTGCAAAGTAGTCATCCTTGGTGGGAGTGCTGAGGCTTTAAAGTCATCTGTAATTTTTATAAAAAGGCATCCGAGATCCTCCATTTTACACTTATATCATACAAATCATTTAGATCTGTGAAGGCTTTCCCATTTTCTCCTTTTGTCCTTCCAAAAACACCATCTTAGGACTTCACCTGGCACAGGGAAGACAGATCGTTTGCACATACTAAGTGCCCTTCTTTCTAACTTGTGTCATAAACTCAGAGGCTTTGAATAGTGGAGAGTGCTCTGTACTGTCTTCCTGGTCACGTGGCCCTTGCCAGAGGAAAGGAAAGGATGGTTTGTTTGTATAGTACAATGGAACTTATTTCAATGTATTCTGTATTTGATTTTACATTCCTGTTCTCATATTTTTACCTTAATTACATAACAAATATTAAAAGATTGACTTCACCAGGCCCAGTTACAATCGCCAGTTTGATAATTCTTATACGTACTCAAATGAATTCAGAGACCAGATGGGAAAAGATTTTGATAAAACCTCTGGTACATCACAACTGAAGTCTTTTCTTGTCCAAACTATTGTGAAACAGATGTTCTTTCTGTTTCATTTGCTAAATCTGGAAACGTGACTGCTTTTGAGACTTTGTCCTCTCTGACAGGTAATAAATATAATCCTGATATTTTTCAAGTTGTTTGACAGAAGTGTAATCTCCCCAGAAGTCCTGCTGGACAGGCTTCACTTTTCCTTTGGAGGAACACAGAGATACAGGGAATATGTTTTAATGACATATACCTAACGCTGAACATGAAACCAGTTATTTTACTTTTATTATTATTATTTTTAGAAACAGCCTTGCTGTGTCACCCAAGCTCAAGTGCAGTGGTGCGATCATAGCTCACTGCAGCCTCCAATTCCTATGCTCAAGTAATCCTCTTGCCTCAGCCTCCTGAGTAGCTGGGACTACAGGTGTGTGCCACCATGCCAGGCTACTTGTTTTTACTTTGTTATAGAGATGGGGTCTCTCTGTGTTGCCCAGACTGGTCTTGAACACATGATCTCAACCATTCCTCCCACCTTGGCCTCCCAAAGTGCTGGGATTACAGGCGCGAGCCACTGTGTCTGGCCTATTTCACTTTAGAAGTAAATTGAATGCCACATGCGAAGTTTGTTAAATTTTTTTAAAAAAGGAAAGAAAACACAAAAGTAAACTACCTAGTCGCATCAGAAATGCCATAGTCATTTTTGCCATTTTTTCATTCATTAGAATTCAGTGCATTATGTTATTTTGTTATCTCTGCAGTAACTTTCTATCATGTTATTTATTTTCTTTGTCTTATTTAAAGCTTCTGAGATTATGGATTTTTGTTTCCTTCCCTGAAGTTAAGTGTTATCATTCCTATATAGTACTAAGCTGTCTACAGAATAGTGGGAGTCTGCCCTCTTGAGTTGGGAAGATCCTAGTTTGAATCTTGGCTGTGCGACTTTAAAGTTCATTAACTTCTCTTAGCCTCAGTCACCTGAACTCTGCAGTGGGGATCCTTATGCCTCAGAGTGTCATTGGGAGGACTCACGAAAATACGCTTGTACTTTGAGTTCAGTACCTAGCCTGTATGAGCCAGCATTAAGAGGGACAGTCATCACGCAGCGCTTTGCACACAGCTCTCACGCCACATCCTTTGGCTACTGTTTTGGTAAATCTTTACTAGTAAATGTTTCTTAAAAGCATTTACATTCATGGACATGATTCAGAAACTAACAGTTGTTTTTTAGGTCTCACTTTGAGATTTAAAAACCCTTAGGGCAGAGACCAGATTTTATTTCTTACCTCAGAGTTTCCCTGTAGGACAGGAACCAGCAACAGCCTAATGAGCTGATTAAGAATTTTAGAGATTTAAAATTTAAATTAGGATTGCCAGTTTTAGAGACTGGCACATAAATGTTTTCATTTAAGGCAGTGACTGTTTCCTTTAGGATATGATTTTTTATCTTTCTAAGATGAGATCACCATCCTCAGAATAATTTGTACCCCGCTGGGCACTAGCTAATGGAGGTGATGTCATGCTAAGCAGCACTTCAGTGAGTTTTGCGGGAACCAAAGCTCTGCTCCCAGGAGTGTGGATTTGGTGCTTTCATGTGGAAAAAGCGGATGATGACAAGTAGAGAGCAAATGTGCGCATGTCTGATGCTGTAAGGATTTCCTTTACCATCATATAAATTTTTAAAGTATATCAAAATAAACTGATAACTGAGAAAATATATGTTGTTCAGATACTAATAATGAAGTTAATGAAGTCCACTATAGTATTTGTCCCTGAGAAATCTTTATCAAATATTTTAAATCCTATTGTAAAATAATGTATTTTTTCTTTCAGTTTTAGAGACTGGCAATCCTAATTTAACATCTCCTTTTGAATTCCCCACCACAGGCACACTTTCACACATTCACTCTTTAATAACAGGTTGTTTCAAATTGTTAATACTTTATAGCTTAATATAGAAATTTCACTTTAGAAATTAATTTTTATTTCTCTGCCTTAATGCTATAGATGTTGTAGTCTGCTTTACTTCAGTATTGTAATGAGTAGTTGGCTAACCACCATGTAAATAGGGAGAACATTCTAGTTTTTTACTTGTGTAGGAAAACACAGCTTGAAATGTCTAAGTATCTATTTTAGAGTGAAGTAAATTTATACTGACAATATTTTTTTGTGTTTGAAGACCTGACTGTTACAGCGTTGGTGGCAAGTGTTAAGGGATCCAGGAACTAGACAAGTGATTCTGAGACCTGAGTTCCAGGTTTCTAAGTAATATCAGTTGGTCTACTGAGAACTTTGCCATAAACATATGTGTTCAGAAATTTCCTTTCTTAGCAGCAGCATCCTGAATTGAACAGAATTACACACACATCAGCCCAGTAAGAAACAATTCATGTTAAGTCCATTGCTATGCCAGGATAAATCTTTTAAATCACAATTATTTTTCCTATTTATATTTTGTCAAATAAGAATGTTCTAAAAACCAAAATTTCTGTTTTCTTTTTTTTTTTTTTTTTTTTTTGAGACGGAGTCTCACTCTGTCGCCCAGGCTGGAGTGCAGTGGCGCGATCTCGGCTCACGGCAAGCTCCACCTCCCGGGTTCACGCCATTCTCCTGCCTCAGCCTCCTGAGTAGCTGGGACTACAGGCACCCACCACCACGCCTGGCTAATTTTTTATATTTTTAGTAGAGACGGGGTTTCACCGTGTTAGCCAGGATGGTCTTGATCTCCCGAACTTGTGATCCGCCCGCCTCGGCCTCCCAAAGTGCTGGGATTACAGGCAAAATTTCTGTTTTCATTTAAGGCAGTGACTATTTCCCTTAGGATGTGATTTTTTTATCCTTCTAAGATGAGATCACCATCCTCAGAATAATTTGTACCCTGCTGGGCACTAGCTAATGGAGGTGATGTCATGCTAAGCAGCACTTCAGTGAGTTTTGCGGGAACCAAAGCTCTGCTCCCAGGAGTGTGGATTTGGTGCTTTCATGTGGAAAAAGCGGATGATGACAAGTAGAGAGCAAATGTGCGCATGTCTGATGCTGTAAGGATTTCATCTACCATCATATAAATTTTTAGAAGTATATCAAAATAAACTGATAACTGAGGCAATGTATGTTGTTCAGATACTAATAATGAAGTTAATGAAGTCCACTATAGTATTTGTATAGTATTTGTATATTACAGTACTCTGAAAAGCTGGTCACTATTTAAAGTTTCCATTACCAGTCACAAGGAGAGAATAATTTTATCCCACAATTTTATTGCTGGCAAAAGACACAAGTTTATTAAAAGTCAGTATTTCAGTGTAAGAGTTACTAGACTGTTTGCAGAAGTGTTCAAAAGAGATCTTTAGGTCCTTGGTTGTCTGTGGAAGCTGATCAGCATTTAGGGGTTCCTGAGCACAGACTGTGAACCCTGCATTTGGCACATGCATTCAGAGAGCCAATTTGAGGCAGACTGGGGGCTAGAAAGGATACTGCCAGGAGCTCCAGGTTCAGCTTCCGAAGTTATTAAGTCTTATTTCCCAGTTTTTAAATTAGACTTCATTTTTTAGAGCAGTTTTAGGTTCAAACCAAAATTGAGAAGAACGTACAGAGACATCCTGTATCCCACCTGCCCCCCAACACGTGCGTAGTCTCCCCCATTATCAACATCCTGCACCAGAGTAGTACATTCTTACAAAGGAACCTACACTGACACGTCATCATCACCCAAACGCCATCGTTCACAATCAAGTTCACTCTTGGTGCTGTTTATCCTATGGTTTTGGACAAATTTACAAGGACTTGTATCCACCATTATATTGTCACACTGAGTAGTTTCACTGCCTTAAAAAGTCTCCGTGCGGGCCGGGCACGGTGGCTCACGCCTGTAATCCCAGCACTTTGGGAGGCCAAGGCGGGCAGATCACGAGGTTAGGAGTTCGAGACCAGCCTGGCCAACATGGTGAAACCCCGTCTCTACTAAAAATACAAAAATTAGCCTGGCATGGTGGCATGCGCCTGTAATCCCAGCTACTCAGGAGGCTGAGGCAGGAGAATCGCTTGAAACCTAAAGGCGGAGGTTGCAGTGAGCCGAGACCACGCCACTGCACTCCAGCCTGAGCAAGGAGCGAAATTCCATCTCAAAACAAAAAAAAAAAAAAAAAAAAATTCTCTGTGCTGTCTCCCTCCCTCCTAGCCACTGGCAACCACTGATCTTTTTACTGTCTCCATAGTTTTGCCTTTTCCAGATTGTCAGATAGTTGGAATCATGCGGTATATATGGCCTTTTCAAACTGGCTTCTTTCACTTAGTAATAATGCATTTAAAGTGTTCATGGCTTGCTAGCTCATTTCTTTTTAGTGCTCAGTAATATTCTGTTCTCTGGATATACCACGGTTTATTTATTCATTCACCGACTGAAGGACATCTTAGTTGCTTCTAGTTTTGACAGTTATGAATAAAACTGCTATAAACATCTGTGTGCAGGCTTTTGTGTGAACATAAGTTTTCAACTCCTTTGGGTAAATACCAAAGAGTGCGTATTTACCATATGGCTGGATCATATGGTAAGAGTATGTTTAGTTTTGTAGGAAACTGCCAAACTGTCTTTCGAGTTGGCTGTACCATTTTGCATTTCCACGAGCAGTGATTGAGAATCCCTGTTGCTCCACATCCTCACCAGCATTTGGTGTTGATGGTGTTCTGGTTTTGGCCATTCTGCTAGGTATGTAATGATACCTCATTGTTGCTTTAATTAGCATTTCCCATTATTTGCAGTCTGTGTATCTTTGATGAGGCCCACTGGATTTTCACTTTAGATTTTCTATAGATTGGCCATAAAGTCTTGAAACAAAGATATTTTCTCATGGATTATAATGCAATATCAGTAAACTATTATGTGTTCACCTACGTTTCCAGACTTGTTAGCTACCCTGTACTGTTCTCTCAGTTAATCAAGTTAACCACAATTTGTTTCTCAACCACAGGTGGCTAATGATTTTGTATGTGGTCTGTCCGCTTTGAATTGATGTGCATGGGGCAAGTTGGTCTCTATGATATTCATGGTTCAAGGAAGTTCGAGATTTCCTGGTACCTAATACATGTTTATTGTACATATGAAAGAAAAAAGGGCAGATAGAGGGGAACATGGTACTGAGCATGATAGAGGCAAGGAAGGGTGGCTACTTTGATAGGAGAATACCCCTATTTTTGTCACTCTTGAAACAGGGCCAAGAGTTGAAATTGGCTAGAACAATCCTGACCTTTGTTGATATTATTTTATAGAATAATATTTGTTACTGTTTTCTCACTTTTAAAAAATGCAGATGTTATAGAAAAATTAGAAGATATAGAGGAATGTTAAGGAGTAAATAAGGTGTCAGTAATGCCATCACCCAGACAGCCACTGTTAATAAATATGTTAATATGTGAAGACATACTAATATGTAATATGTACTGAGTGACTAATGGCAGGTCACTTAGTAGCTGTCTCGATTATCAGATCAACTGTCATGGTATGGCAGTGTTTATGTTCAGGTACCCGTATTAGTTATTGTTGTTAATCCCTTTCTGCGCCCAAGTTATAAACTAAACTTTTTCATAGGTATGTACGTATAGGAAAAAATATGCTGCATATAGGCTCAGTACTGTATTTGGTTTCAAGCATCTACTGGGGGACTTGGGAGGTACCCCCTGCCCCTGCCCCACAGGTATACTACTGTATAATTATTCTTCTATCTAAAGTAAGATCTAATGGAAGATAGGAACTTTGTCTTGTCTTCCACTCTGTCCTATTTCCCAGGATGATACCTGGCACAAAGTATTTGTTTACTGACAAACTAAAAGATGATTTATCCCAATTATACTCACATCTTCCCTTGATTTTCCAGAAAGCCTACAGGAAGTAAGATGGTAGAAAAGCAAAGTCTTCGTAGAAATGCAGAGCATAGACTGGCTCTTGGAGAAGGTCAAACATCACCCTCTCCTGTGGTTAAATTGAGATGGTGGCACTGGCTGTCTTCTATATTATTGCTGCACCTTTCCTCACCAGGGGTGCACACAAAACTGGGAGAGAGGGGAGGAAGGAGCTTAGCTTTGTCTTAATAGAAGGGAAGAAATGATGTTTTCCAAGAGACCTTGAAATTGGGGACCTTGGTAAAGGTTTCAGTTTGGGAAGATAAAAAAGTCCTGGGATGGATTCCAACAGTGTAACTGTACTCAATGCCACTGAGCTGTACGCTTAAGAGTGGTAAATTTTATGTCTATTTCACCACAGTTTTAAAGATTAAAATTTTTAAAAGTGGGGGAAGTTACCTAGGACTTTCTAGAAGGACTTTTGAGGGTGAGCAAGTTCTGTTATAGGCTTGTGTATTATTTTGGTATTTCTGATTTTATCATAGGAGTGAGGTTAAAGTTGTATTTTGACTGGAATTTTTGACATTGTCAGGGTTTCTAGAGTGTGGAGAAGGTCACTCAGTATTTTTTGTTTTTGTTTTTTGTTTTGCCTTTGTTCTTGTTTTCCTCTATTTAGGGAGGTGGATTGCCATGGGAAGTACCTTTGCTTCGAAAAGCCAGAAAATGCCTGGTAGAACTCCAGAAAAGTAGTAAGGAGCTGGCTTCTTCAGAGGCAGCATAGCAGAGTGGGAAGAGGGCCCTGTCACTTAGATTGTGACTGTCGACAAAGTCACTTAACCACCAGAAGTTGGGTTTTCTGACGTTTAGAATTTTGAAAAGATTAAAACTGAGTGCCTTGCAAAGTACCTGGTATATATTAAGTGCTCAATAAGTGATAGTTGCTTTGATTCTAAGAACTGGTTCACCTTGTGAGATATAATTGTGTAATGGAAGAATGAAAGCAGAAACTTTAGTTTCTACTTTTACATTTCCTGGGCCATTTTACTACCCTAAATGAGAAGCTGGGCTTCCAAAACCCACTTTAAAAGTAAAGACTAGGCCGGGTGCGGTGGCTCTTGCCTGTAATCCCAGCACTTTAGGAGGCCTAGGTGGGCAGATCACTTGAACTCAGGAGTTTGAGACCAGCCTGGGCAATACAGCGAGACCGTATGTCTACAAAAAATACAAAAATTAGCCAGACATGGTGGTGCATGCCTGTAATCCCAGCTACTCGGGAGGCTGAGGCGGGAGAATTTGAGTCCAGGAGATCGAAGCTGCAGTGAGCCGTGATTGCGCCGCTGCCCTCCAGCCTGGGTGACAGAGTGAGACCCTGCCTCAAAAGAAAAAAAAAAAAAGAATAAAGATTAATGGAGATTTGGAACATCTTGATACTGTATCTTGGGAATCTAAGCATTGTAGAATTGTGTTATGTGAGTTATACCATTGTGGTGGGAAGTTTTTGATTTTTGTTTTAACTGTGTTGAGTTGCAGTTCTTAGAAATGACCCGAGGTGTTGTCTTACAAAAGAAATAAACTGTAATCTGTATCTTGATCTGATGAGGGTATGTAAATATAAAAAATCGAGCTGTATACTTTCTATATGCTTTATGTAGTTCACTATATATAATTCATAGCTCAATTAAAAAGAGAGAGAGAGGCTAAATTGTATGTACCATTGCAAAGAAATCATTATCCCCAGAACTGACTCACATACACCTTTAACAGTAGAGGGAGAACTGAGGTATTAATTTGGAAAAATAATCACTGGGATAATTAATATAATGCAGTGGTTTTATGACTGATTTTTTATTAACTTCTATTTTCTTTGTATTCTAGTTAATAAAGGTATCCATGGAGAACACTGAAAACTCAGTGGATTCAAAATCCATTAAAAATTTGGAACCGTGAGTATTTAAATTGAATTCTTTATAATCAGAGAAAGATGGGGATGTGTAATAAGCAAACCTCGAGCAGTGGGGCAAGAGGAAAGAGAGTGGTCTCTCTCTCAGGCCAGAGAGACCAAGTGACTTCCTACCTCAGACAGCTGTGTGGCTTTGCATAAACTGACTTTTCTTCTCTGAACCTCGTCTTTAACATGGGGCTAAAACTTTCACAGAACTGAAGGGAAGATGAAAGGAAAGGCCTAGTAGGGTGTGTGACCCATAGTTGGAAACCTAGTCCTGGAACCAAAAGGACACCACAGGAGAGGCAGGACTCCCAAGCGCCGGTGCTTTCTACCCTCCCGAATCGCTCTATAGGATTAGAGGGTTTAGGTTTGGGAGGAGTTTCTTGACCTCTTGTTTATGAGTTTTTACGACTAAAATGCAATGCCAGTTTTCAGTCCGGGGACAAACTGCCTAGTTATGGATGAATTTTACCCTTTTTTTCCCCGTGTCTTTTTGGAATATTCTGCTTATTAATGCTTCCAATAACTAGCAGATGGAAAAAGGAAAAAGATAAAACTCAAATTCACTTTTTAATTCTTGTCTGTTATTATTTATTTGGGATCTCTCGTAATACTTTAAATTCTGAAAGTTTATTTCTGAAACCCAGTATTGTTATTCTCGGCTGCCCTGAATATTACAAACTAATTTTATTACTAAACAATATGATTACAGAAATACTATTAACAAGTTACCACTAAAGATTTCACAATTTTGTTTAGCAAAGGGATTTTTCTAGAAAGTAAACTTTTAAAATGCAGTCCCATTTTAGAGAGTTGTTGCTGTCATTTAAATCATTTTAGCCAGTGCAGTGGCTTGCTCCTGTAATCCCAGCTACGTGGGAGCTGTGGCAGGAGGATCACTTGAGGTGGAGAGTTTGAAACCAGCCTGGGCAACATAACGAGACCCTGTCTCTACAAAAAAACAAAAAACAATTAGTCCACCATAGTGTGTGTGCTTGTAGTCAGTCCTAGCTACACGCCAGAGGTTACAGTGAAGTAAGACCCCATCTCTTCAAAAAAATCCTTTGAAAGTGATTTACACATTTTCCTACTATTTTTTTTTTCTTTCTTTTTTGAGACAGGCTGGAGTGCAGTGATCTGATTATGGCTCACTGCACTCCTGGGCTCCAGTAATCCTCCTGAGTAGCTAGGACTACAGACATGTGCCACCATGCCTGGTTATTTTTGTTTTTTATTTTTGTAGAGATGGGGGTCTTGCTGTGTTGCCCAGGCTGGTCTCCAATGCCTGGCCTCAAGGGATCCTCCTGCCTCGGCCTCCCAAAGTGCTGGGAGTACAGGTGTGAACCACCCTGCCTGGCCCTACCTTTTCATGTCATGCAGAACACCACTTCAATAACAAGTTGCACGGAAGCCCCAGACAGGTTTAGGGTTGTTTCGATCCTTTGGTAAGTTGCCCTCACAGTCCCGGCTTTCACAGCCTCTGCCTTTTATTAGGAGTATCCCCTCGTGGACTAGCTATCATATGCTTGTAAAGTACCTACCTCCTTAGGAGGCACCCAGAGCACGTGGGGAAGGGGTGTCGGGAGCTGGGAGTCATAAGTCCCATGATCCATCATCTGTAGGACTCAAAGGTCAAGTCACGCTTTCAGGATTTAACTTCAGTCTGTAAATGTGAGGCTGTTCACCTCTGGTTAAAAATCATAACTGTTTTCTCACGTTGACTCCTTTAATTTACTACATTTAATCTTTTTCCAACAGTATTTTTGGAATTGTGTATAATGTGAGATGCTCTTAAGGTTAAGTGCATGAGTATATGGACTGTAGGTGTTAGTGTTTGGTAGTTCCTAGACCTGTTTTTGCCTGACTCTTGGTCTAGATCAGGGATCAAGCTTAAGGCCTGTTTTTATCAACTTTCGTTGGAATATAGGCACATCCATTCGCTTACATATTGTCCTAAGCCCGTTTCACCAGTATAATTGAGCAGCTATGGCTGGGCACAGTGGCTCACAACTGTAATCCCAGCACTTTTGGAGGCCAAGGCAGGAGGATCACTTGAGGCCAGGAGTTCAAGACTAGCCTGGGCAACATAGCGAGATCCTGTCTCTAAAAAAGAAAATACAGAAATTAGCTGGGCATGGTGGGGCATGCCTGTCTGTAGTCCTAGCTACTCAGAAGGCTGAGGAAGGAGTATCACTGGAGCCCAAGAGTTCAAAGTTGCAGTGAGCTATGATGGCACCACTGCACTCCAGCTTGGGTGACAGAGCCAGACCATGTCTCAAAAAAAAAAAAAAAAGAATAGAATTGAGTAGCTGTAACAGAAACCAGATGGCCCACAAGCCTAAAACACTTAATATTTAGCCCATTAAAAAAAAAGTTTACTGACCCCAATCTAGATAGCAGAGGTTTTTTTAGATAAGTGACTTCCAGACAGATATTTTCAATTATTTACAATAATGCTTTTATATATTAATAAATTACTAATTTGTTTAGCTCATGGGGTTTAAGGAATAATTTATGAATTGTGATAAATATTGTGCTTTGAGTTATATTTGCATTTTGTTGATTTCCCATCATTTCAGGGTAATTTTTAAGATTTTTACTCTTACCTCAAAGGATAAAATATTTCACAAAGTTAATAAGTAATTTTTAAATTATAAAGGTATTTGATGAAATTTTGAAGAATTTAGAGGAAAATGTAAAACATGGAAGTTAAAAGCCTGAACTCTGAAGTCCAACAGATGCTTTCCTTCCTTCTTGGCTGTGACACAATATTTGCATAACCTTTAGCACATTACTTAGCCTCACGTCAGGTCATTTTCTCATCTGTATAACTGTTGATGTGAAATTGAAATGAAGACAGCCTGGTTTATAACATTCAACAAGTGTTAACTGTTACTGTGAGTTATAAAAATTGCACTAATATAAACAGAAGGCGTGGTCATTTCTACCTTTGTAAAGCTATTATTTGATTTCTAAACAGAAAGATCATACATGGAAGCGAATCAATGGACTCTGGAATATCCCTGGACAACAGTTATAAAATGGATTATCCTGAGATGGGTTTATGTATAATAATTAATAATAAGAATTTTCATAAAAGCACTGGTATGTGTCTTACATAATTTTTAATCCTTTTCAAATGTTTGTGCCATTTACATTTGATATAATATTAAAAGCAGTATTATTGAGGTATTAGACAGTAAACCGTGACACAGACTAGCTGTGAAGTAGAGATTGGGCAGGACCTACAGGTCCTCTGATACACTGTGAACGCGTCACTCTTCTGCCCAACTTCATAGCCTCCTCTTGCTGGCCTCCTATCTGTATGCTTGGTTGCCTCTGCCCTGACTTCTCTGTAGCCCTTGCTTCTTTTTCTTCTTTCTGCTTCCTCTTTGATCCCAATGGAAGGTTCTCAAAAAAACAGTTAAGTGGTAGTATTTATTTTTTCCCCAGAAACTGCAAGAGATATCACAAGCATTGCCTTATTTAATTTATGACAACCTGGAAAGTAACGATGAGATTCTGAAAGGTTAAAGACCTCGCGCAGTCACACAGTATGGCGGCAGAGCTAGGTCTGTGTGGCTCCAAAGCCCAAGCTCTGAATCCATCTTCTGTTCTGCTTCACTTCCTTGTATCCTCATGTGCTCTGTTGCCTGTCTTCCCTTACCCTACGAAGCTCCCCATCTTAGAGAGACCTTTCTTTTACTCTGTTCCTTTTGATTCCTTTGATATTTTGTCTCCTTCCCTTCTTCCTTAAATTTTGAATACATGTAGTTTAAGCTTGTACTCTTCATTTGTTTCCATTCCTTCTTGAGTCTTTTTCCATTTTCTGTCTCTACTACTAAAACTGCTTGCTTTAAATTTACCATGGCCTTGCCACCAGATCCCCCTCTCGATTTCTGTACTATGTACAACTTGAATGTAGTACTACATTTGAGAATGTTTTTTTAGAAATATAGATAATAAAATCCTTCACAGTGCCAAAAAAGCTAATTAATATTTGGTGTATTGTTATTTTTTCTTGGCAGTTCTTTTTAAAGCTTGATTTTATTCATAACGTATAAGCAATGTTGTCTTCTGCTTGTTTCACTTAAAGGAATAGCATTTTTCATATTGCTGCATAATTTTCATATCTGTTATAATGATTATATAATACTGCATCCCCAAAACTACCATTCACTTAATTTGAATAATTTACTGTATGAATGAACATTATGGCTGTTTCCCTTTTAAATTGATGCTATGATAATTCTTTGAATTGGCCTATTAATCATATTAGAGTTAATTTTTAATTAGAGAAGCTGTAGTAGATCTAAGGTGGGCCAGTACCTATCAGAGTGGTGGTGGAAATGGAAGGAAGCCAGATTACACTGGGAAGATAGCAGGGTTTGTGTCAGATTAATTATAAGGAGTGAGAAGAGAATAGTTGAAAATGGAGCTCTAAATGGCATCAGTTTTATTGCTTTTGGCTATAAGTTGAGATGCCACCTTCAACCATTAACTTAAAAACACAACACCTTGTTTACTTTTGCTTTACGCATATTTGAAAATTTACTTCTAGATATTCTGCCTCACATTTCTAGTTAGGATACCTCCTTCCTATAGAATTTTGCACTGTTGGCTCTATTGTTTCAAAAACCAAAAACAAGCATATTATTCCACTACCACCAGCACCTCCCCCCACATATTTAGACCAGCAGTCTGGGTTTTGCCCAGTGAGCTCCTTTCCTACTTTGCAATGTAAAGGTCAGGTTCTCATGAGATCTCTGGCAGGCTGGTGTTGGGCCAGGCGCCATGGCTCACACATGTAATCCCAACACTTTGGGAGGCCAAGGCAGGAGGATCCTTGAGCACCAAAGTTCAAGATCAGTCTGGGCAACACAGGGAAATCCCATCTCTACAAAACAGAAAAAAGGTAGCAGGGTGTGGTGGTGCGCACCTGTAGTCCCAGCTACTCGGGAGGCTGAGGTGGGAAGATAGCTTGAATCTGGGAGGTTGAGGCTGCAGTGAGCTGTGGTTGCTGTACTCTAGCCTGGGCCACAGAGCAAGATCCTGTCTAAAAAATAAAAATAAATAAAAATTAAAAGGCAGCCAACACATCAGCACCAGAAGCCAGTGACCTTGTCACACAGCTGAGATAATCAACAACATTTTGGAGATACATGTAGACTTTCTGTATTTAATCTTCATACCCATCAAATTTACTCAATTCTGAGGGATGTTTCCCACCAAGATTTAGCATTTTGAAATCTGAGTGCATCATGCAGTCAATCTGTACGTTAATGTGGAAGGTTCTCTAAAGGAGTGGTAGAAAGCCCAGGAGCCCTGGATACAGGCCCAGCATAGCTTTGTCACTTTGGACTGGTTTGTTAACTCTGCTACATGTCCCACATCTGCACAAGTGAAACTAGTAATAATATGACTCTCATGGTGATTGGAAGGATTAGAGATTAGCCATAGCAGAATACCTGATGAACAGTAATAATGTTTGGGGGTTTTCCTTGAAGGCACTATAAATGTTGTAATGCTATCTTAAAATTGTTGGGAAGTTAGAGTCAGAGAAACGCATTTCCTCTGAGTGTGACAGATGTGTGTATGTATTATAGGATCGTATTGTTTTCTAGTCTTATTTTTTTAAACTGATGATTTTCCCATGGCAACATTTTATCTGTGAAAATGACAACATAGTATATCCCATTATATAAGTTAGTATAGCTTGTCTAACCAAACCCTTATTGTTAGACATTTGTGTTTTTCACTACCTAAACCGCTGTGAAAGACATCATTTTGGCTATAACACTGATGAGCTTATATTATGAAGTATCTTATAAGCTACAAAATTGAAGAAATTTTGTTCACCATGTTCAAAATAGTTAGAATTCTCTTACCATTTAAAAGGAAGAATTTATTGTGGACTTCTGAATTGCTGAGTAGTTAATTTCATTTCAAAGTAGTTATTCTTTGTTTTCCATACAATTAAAAGTAATTCTTTCTGTTCCAAGGAATGACATCTCGGTCTGGTACAGATGTCGATGCAGCAAACCTCAGGGAAACATTCAGAAACTTGAAATATGAAGTCAGGAATAAAAATGATCTTACACGTGAAGAAATTGTGGAATTGATGCGTGATGGTAAGAAGAAACAATTAGAATGAACTTCATTGTACAATTAATTTTATACTATGGTCTAGCAATAATTATATGTATAATAAAATATGAGAATTGTGGAATTATACTGTACATAACCCTAATCTTACATACTTTAGTAAGAAGTTTAAAAAAAGTTATTTATGCCAACTTCCTAAAATGGTTTGAGATGTGTTGCCGTGCCCCAGGTTAGGTTAAGATGACCTCTTAGTTTTAGTCTCAGTTTCTTCATCATGTTCCCATACAGTATATCTGAAGTTGTTGAATAAAGTCATGGATTTTTTTTCCTTTTATTTGCAAATGTCTTTACAGTTTCTAAAGAAGATCACAGCAAAAGGAGCAGTTTTGTTTGTGTGCTTCTGAGCCATGGTGAAGAAGGAATAATTTTTGGAACAAATGGACCTGTTGACCTGAAAAAAATAACAAACTTTTTCAGAGGGGATCGTTGTAGAAGTCTAACTGGAAAACCCAAACTTTTCATTATTCAGGTAATGTCTAACTGAGTGATTTGGTTATTGACGATTAAGCAGGGGTTACTATTCTCAACTGTAAATTATCCAAAGGATAATTTTTTTCCTGAAGCTAATGAACTATTGTTACTTTTCATTTATTTACCACTTAAAAGATATAGAGTAAATTTTAATTTTATACTTATATCAAAAAGACTCAGCATAATTAACATCCTTTTTTTTTTTTTTTTTTTTTTTTTTAGACAGAGTCTTGCTCTGTCGCCCAGGCTGGAGTACAGTGGCGCGATCTCCGCTCACTGCAAGCTCTGCCTCCTGGGTTCACGCCATTCTCCTGCCTCAGCCTCCTGAGTAGCTGGGACTACAGGCGCCTGCCACCAGGCCCAGCTAATTTTTAAATTTTTTTTTAATAGAGACAGGGTTTCACCATGTTAGCCAGGATGGTCTCGATCTCCTGACCTCAAGTCATCCGCCCGCCTTGGCCTCCCAAATTGCTGGGATTAAAGGCGTGAGCCACCGCGCCCGGCCAATTAACATCCATTTTTACATAGCATTTCAATTTTTTAGAACTAAGTTATGTGTTCACACACAAATTTTTATAAATAAATATTTATTTTCTAACACCCAGGCCTGCCGTGGTACAGAACTGGACTGTGGCATTGAGACAGACAGTGGTGTTGATGATGACATGGCGTGTCATAAAATACCAGTGGAGGCCGACTTCTTGTATGCATACTCCACAGCACCTGGTGAGAACGTTACACATAATGAATGTTACATGTGGATTTTAAATGAATTAACTGTGACTGATCATAGAATTATACAATGAAAAGTGTGTTTCAGAGACTGTCAAGATTTTGATATCCCTAAAGATATCAAAACTTGTCTATATTTTAGGGAACCTTCATCAAAGAGAAGTCTCAAAAAGTTGTCTTTAGCCAAAAGTTTGGCTAGAAAATATGCATATATAGCCAGGCACAGTGACTCACGCCTGTAATCCTAGCGCTTTGGGAGGCCGAGGCAGGTGGATCACTTGAGGTCAGGAGTTCAAAACCAGCCTGGCCAACCTCATCTCTACTAAAAATACAGAAAAATTAGCTGGGCATGGTGGCACACGCCTGTAATCCCAGCTACTGGGGAGGCTGAGGCAGGAGAATCGCTTGAACCTGGGAAGCAAAGGTTGCAGTGAGCCAAGATCGCACCACTGCACTTCAGCCTGGGCGACAGAGTGAGACTCCGTCTCAAAGGAAAAAAAGAAAAGAAAATATGCATATGTAGAGTAGACTAGCACGATGTCATTCATTGGACTTTATCAGGTAGATCTCCGCTACTAATATCAGGTAGAATATTACGTGGCAACAGAGGCCAAGTCAGAGCTTCCCCTGCATCTTAGAGAAGAAGAGAGGTACGTTTCTCAGGAGTTATTTGAAAGGTAGTAAATAAAAAAGATAAACATGACTAGTATACAAGAGGATAGATGTGGAGTGGGAGAAAAGAAGGTAAAAAACGATACATGAATGTGCCGTTAACCTCCACGTTTTTACTGTTCTGCTGCACACGTCATCATCTAAATAAACATTTGTGGATTATACCACCATTTACTCACACAGCTAAGGGTGTCGGAGAGTTTGGAAACTTTAGGTAAATGTATTCTTAAGCAGTGTTGCATTTTAAAATATGCTCAATATGGTTTATCTTATCCTCTAGGCATCTTTCCAAGCAAAGTACCTCTAAGTTAAAAGCAATGGGTCTAATAGTTAACCTAGAAAAAAAAGTATGATAAATATACTATTTTCCCTTTTTGGACCAATACTTGGTAGTGTGTTTATTATACTTTATTCAGATGCTCTGTAGACAAGTAGGACACTCAAAGCAATTTGTTTCTTGGCTAAGTCAGTATTAAAATAAGGTGAAATCTGATTGGAACACTGTGCTACTTACAATGATCCTTTTTATACATCTTTACTTTTGCATCTTACCTTCTGCGTGTTTGCTCTTCTTGCCTATTGAAAGGGGAGTCCAGAAAGTAAAACTTTCAATAATTCAGTGTTCGTGAAGCTGGTCCCCGGCCAGCTTTGCTGAAAGCAGGGGGTGTACGCATAGCACACATTCGTCCTTCAGCATCATTTCTTCTGAAACCAAAGGTGTCTTTTTTTTTTTATTTGTATGACTAATAAGACTTATGTAAGTTTATGCTTATTTTTGCCTTTATGACTACATAATAATTTATAGAATCAACTAAAATCAGCTATCCATGGTATTTTGCTTGTATTTTGCCTTTTAGGTTATTATTCTTGGCGAAATTCAAAGGATGGCTCCTGGTTCATCCAGTCGCTTTGTGCCATGCTGAAACAGTATGCCGACAAGCTTGAATTTATGCACATTCTTACCCGGGTTAACCGAAAGGTGGCAACAGAATTTGAGTCCTTTTCCTTTGACGCTACTTTTCATGCAAAGAAACAGATTCCATGTATTGTTTCCATGCTCACAAAAGAACTCTATTTTTATCACTAAAGAAATGGTTGGTTGGTGGTTTTTTTTAGTTTGTATGCCAAGTGAGAAGATGGTATATTTGGTACTGTATTTCCCTCTCATTTTGACCTACTCTCATGCTGCAGAGGGTACTTTAAGACATACTCCTTCCATCAAATAGAACCACTATGAAGCTACCTCAAACTTCCAGTCAGGTAGTTGCAATTGAATTAAATTAGGAATAAATAAAAATGGATACTGGTGCAGTCATTATGAGAGGCAATGATTGTTAATTTACAGCTTTCATGATTAGCAAGTTACAGTGATGCTGTGCTATGAATTTTCAAGTAATTGTGAAAAAGTTAAACATTGAAGTAATGAATTTTTATGATATTCCCCCCACTTAAGACTGTGTATTCTAGTTTTGTCAAACTGTAGAAATGATGATGTGGAAGAACTTAGGCATCTGTGGGCATGGTCAAAGGCTCAAACCTTTATTTTAGAATTGATATACACGGATGACTTAACTGCATTTTTAGACCATTTATCTGGGATTATGGTTTTGTGATGTTTGTCCTGAACACTTTTGTTGTAAAAAAATAATAATAATGTTTAATATTGAGAAAGAAACTAATATTTTATGTGAGAGAAAGTGTGAGCAAACTAACTTGACTTTTAAGGCTAAAACTTAACATTCATAGAGGGGTGGAGTTTTAACTGTAAGGTGCTACAATGCCCCTGGATCTACCAGCATAAATATCTTCTGATTTGTCCCTATGCATATCAGTTGAGCTTCATATACCAGCAATATATCTGAAGAGCTATTATATAAAAACCCCAAACTGTTGATTATTAGCCAGGTAATGTGAATAAATTCTATAGGAACATATGAAAATACAACTTAAATAATAAACAGTGGAATATAAGGAAAGCAATAAATGAATGGGCTGAGCTGCCTGTAACTTGAGAGTAGATGGTTTGAGCCTGAGCAGAGACATGACTCAGCCTGTTCCATGAAGGCAGAGCCATGGACCACGCAGGAAGGGCCTACAGCCCATTTCTCCATACGCACTGGTATGTGTGGATGATGCTGCCAGGGCGCCATCGCCAAGTAAGAAAGTGAAGCAAATCAGAAACTTGTGAAGTGGAAATGTTCTAAAGGTGGTGAGGCAATAAAAATCATAGTACTCTTTGTAGCAAAATTCTTAAGTATGTTATTTTCTGTTGAAGTTTACAATCAAAGGAAAATAGTAATGTTTTATACTGTTTACTGAAAGAAAAAGACCTATGAGCACATAGGACTCTAGACGGCATCCAGCCGGAGGCCAGAGCTGAGCCCTCAGCCCGGGAGGCAGGCTCCAGGCCTCAGCAGGTGCGGAGCCGTCACTGCACCAAGTCTCACTGGCTGTCAGTATGACATTTCACGGGAGATTTCTTGTTGCTCAAAAAATGAGCTCGCATTTGTCAATGACAGTTTCTTTTTTCTTACTAGACCTGTAACTTTTGTAAATACACATAGCATGTAATGGTATCTTAAAGTGTGTTTCTATGTGACAATTTTGTACAAATTTGTTATTTTCCATTTTTATTTCAAAATATACATTCAAACTTAAAATTACCAATGTCTTTGAGTTTTTTGTTGCTGTTGTTTTTGATGTTGTGCCACTAATTGGAAGTTAAAATGTTTTTAATCAGAAGCTTGATTTGGAAGAGTCAAAGAGGAAGCACCAGAACCCTAGCCTAGTTTTTTGAGGTGGTGGCAGTTAGATCAGGGCAGACAGATCGCTTATGCTTCCCAAGTCCTCGCAGAAGTTCCTGACCCTGAAATGACCACAATGCCAGGAAGATACTTTGTTTGCATAGATCTCAGGCCTTAAATATGACCATATGTGTGAATTTGAAACTTTTTCCACAAGATAAGTGTCTAATGGGAAGAACAACCTAAGAGGATATACAACAAGCCGTTGATGTTTACTGATGGCCTCCTCTGGGCGCTGGGATTTTGACAGAGGAATTTGCTGTCTTTTTACTTCATATGCTTAGAAAAGGAATATAGGAAAGTGGGGTTGTGGGTGGTTTTAAATTTCTTCCAATATTTCTGTAATGAAAATATATTACTTTTAAATCAGAAACAAAATAAATTGTCCTAACTAGGAAAAGGAGACTTCTGTTTCTGAGGAGTAGAGAGTAGCATAAATGAGTTCTTTAAGGCCATATGAAAGCGGTGGTTCTATAGTGTTGAGGAAAATCTGGCTTATTCTAGTCTCCCTGTTAAGTAAAGAGGTTTCAGATACAAAGGAAAAGACCAGCAACCCAATAGGAAAATGAGCCAAGGACATGAACAAACAGTTCACAGAAAAAAGAAAACCCAAATGTCCCTTAAATTCAATAAACAGCTTGATCTGCATCATAATAAGAGAAATGCACATTAAAGTATCTGTCGTCTATCAGACCGGCAAAAACCCCAGTTTGGTGACATATTCTGTTGGCAAGATGTGGGAAATGTATACTCTCCCGTTGGTGGGAGTATGATACGGTAAAATACTCTGTGGAGGGGAATCTGACAATACCTATCAAATTATTCTTTGAAGTAGCAGTCCCATTTCTTGGAATCCAGCCTACCCATACACCTGTGTGTGTACAAAATTATATATGAGCTTTTCATCACAACGTTGTTTTGGTGTTAAAAAATGGCAGCAACTCAGCTGTGAAGTGTTCCGGGAAGTCAGGGACCCCGAACGGAGGGACCTGCTGAGGCTCTGACAGAGGAACATAAATTGTGAAGATTTCATGAACCTTTATCACTTCCCCAGTCAATACTCTTGTGGTTTCCTATGCCTGTTTTTGCTTTGATCTCTTGGTCCCGTCATCTTCGTAAGCTGAGGATGTCTGTCGCCTCAGGACCCTGTGATGATTGTGTTACCTGCACAAATTGTTCATAGGGCATGTGTGTTTGAACAGTGTGAAATCTGGGCACCTTAAGAATAGGATAATAGCGATTTTTCAGGGAACAAAGGAAATAGCCTTAAAGTCTGGCTGCCTGTGGGCCGGGCAGAACAGAGCCATATTTCTCTTATTACCAAAAATGGGTAAGAGAAATATCACTGAATTCTTTCTCCAGTAAGGAATATTAATAATTAACAGCCCTGGGAAAAGAATGCATTCTGGGGAGGGGAGGGGGCCTCTGAAATGGCCGCTCTGGGGGTGTCTGCCTTATGCAGTTGCAGATAAGGGATGAAACACACCCTGGCCTCCTGCAACGCCCCCAGGCTTGCTAGGATTAGGAAATTCCAGCCTGGCAAATTCTAGTCAGACCAGTTCTCTGCTCTTGAACCCTGTTAAGATGTTTATCAATGACAATGTGAGCACAGTGGGACATAGAAGTTCATTAGTGATTCCAGTTTTGCCCTGACCTTGTGATCTCACCCTGACCTTCTGCCTTGTGATCTTTCGTCACCCTTGAAGCATGTGATCTCTGTGACCCACACCTTATTTGTACACTCCCTCCCCTTTGAAAATTGCTAATAAAAACTTGCTGGTTTTACGGCTCAGGGGGCATCACGGAACCTGCCGACATGTGATGTCTCCCCCGGACACCCAGCTTTAAAATTTCTCTCTTGTACTCTTTCCCTTTATTTCTAGACCGGCCAACACTTAGAGAAATAGAAAAGAACCTATGTGAAATATCGGGGGCTGGTTTCCCCTGATAGTGAAGGAGACAGGTTAGATACACTGGAGCTTCCACACAGGAGAGAGGGAAGGAGCTGGAGAAGAAGGTGAGTTGGAAGATTTGGGGGTTTTGTTTTTAAGTGAGAGAGCTTTGAATAGGTTTAATGCTGATGGTGGGGATCCAGTTAAGAGAAACACTGAAAATTAACTAGAGGGAAAGGTAACTGACAGTATAGAGTTCCTAAGAACCCAAGCAGTAAATTCTAGCCTAGCTGGGGGTGGAGTGTGAAGAAGTGAAGAACCTTTTTTATTTTTTTTTTAATGGGCTGGGTGTGAAGCTACATTTGTAGTTTTGTGGCAGGAAGTTCCCTTACTGTAACTTCTATATTTTCTGTGAAGCAGAAGACAAGAACTCTGTTCAAAGTTAGGGAGATGATAGATTGAGGGCTAGAAGAGTAAGGCAGGCTTGAAACAATCATTGTCACGAATGGGAGTTGACCAGAGATTAGTAACGTTGCTGGGCCATGTGTAGGGGCCCATTTGAAACCAGCGATTACAAATGTGCAGTGGTTCCAGGCCGTGCGGCTGTGTGAATCTACCTGATGACCCTCGGCTGCTTGGGTACTGCCATGGATAGCGCATGTGTTGGCTTTGTCCAGCTTTGGGCTTTTTCCCACATTGATTTTAAAAAGACAGGAGCCACAGATTTTGGAGTACTGCAAAATGACTTTCCAAATTGATGAACCATGGACTCCAAGCTGGATAGACACAGAAATGAAAAGAAGGGACTAATAGGGAATAAGACGTGTGATCCATGGCCCGATGGCCCTGATGGACGTGAAGATCCACTGTTGTGGGAGGAGTGGAACACTAACACTGAATGATGGAGGCTGTGGTCAGAAACAGGTAAGTGATGGAGGCTGTGGTCAGAAACAGGTCAATGATGGAGGCTGTGGTCAGAAACAGGTCAATGATGGAGGCTGTGGTCAGAAACAGGTCAGTGATGGAGGCTGTGGTCAGAAACAGGTCAGTGATGGAGGCTGTGGTCAGAAACAGGTCAGTGATGGAGGCTGTGGACAGAAACAGGTCAGTGATGGAGGCTGTGGTCAGAAACAGGTCAGTGATGGAGGCTGTGGTCAGAAACAGGTCAGTGATGGAGGCCGTGGTCAGAAACAGGTTGAATTGGAGGGGCACACATTTGGTCATGAAAATGGTGGGACTAAGAAGAATGAAGTGGCATGCAAGAGACCATTATAGAAATGATGTGGAACTCAGGGTGAGGATGTTGGGTGTGTGCTCTTCTGTATGGACATTGACTTTATGCTAAAATGAGATTCACTATGTGGGAACAGTAATAAAATAATGTGGCTGGGCGTGGTGGCTCACACCTGTAATCCCAACACTTTGGGAGGCTGAGGCGGGCGGATAGCAAGGTCAGAGTTTGAGACCAGCCTGGCCAACATGGTGAAACACATCTGTACTAAAAATACAAAAATTAGCCGGGCATGGTGGTGGGCACCTGTAATCACAGCTACTGGAGAGGCTGAGGCAGGAGAATTGCTTGAATCCGGGAAGTAGAGGTTGCAGTGAGCCAAGACCATGCCTTTGCACTCCAGCCTGGGCGACAGAGCGAGACTCTGTCTCAAAAAAAAAGATAAGGTGACATAACTTAGTTGTGTTTACAAACTTTTGATTTTATGGATTTGAAAAAAATCCATCATTCATTTTTGCCAGATTTTTTAAAGCTATCACCCATTATTCATAACAAGAAAGACATTTTAACTCCCACCTCCTCATTTCCCTCTCAACCCCAAAATAAGTAGGGACATAATCCCAGATTAAAGGATAATACTTCCAAGGAAAGGCTTGTCACACATGCACACACACACATTCCTCAGGATCTAACATTTTGCAAGTTGAAACCGCATTCGGGAAGCAATACTCTAATCCACTAAAATAAAATTTCACTTAACACTTGAAATAAACTTGAACTCAAAAAATTTCTCTCCTTGGTGAGACTCAGGCAGTGAGAAGCAGCTGTGACTAGAAATGGCACTGATCTGTCCGTTAGAAACTTTTTAATAAAACATGCTTGTTGTGCCCTTTATTATGTCATCATTATCAGTAAGATGTCAGAACTTTCCATAGATTAAATAAATACTCCAATTTAAGTCATTTCTTTTCAGATTTGTCTGAATTTCAGTTGATCCAGAGCAAGAAAAAGTAAGTGTTCACATGTGAAAGTCTGTGGGTCCATTGCATAGACAATTAAGAAATAATAGATAACAGATTCAAGTCAAATGCAGTACGCATGTGGGTGTGTGGCCTAGGATATTTGGATTCCAGCCTGTTAAGCCACTGATAAAGTGATCTTGGCCAAATTACAACTTCTGTTGTCTACATTTGAAGACTCAGGCCCTTTCAGCTCTAATATTGTATATAAAAGTAAAAGGCGGCCAGGCGCGGTGGCTCACGCCTGTAATCCCAGCACTTTGGGAGGCGGAGGCAGGCAGATCATGAGGTCAGGAGTTTGAGACCAGCCTGGCCAACATGGTGAAACCCCACCTCTACTAAAATACAAAAATTAGCCGGGCATGGTGGCGGGTGCCTGTTGTCCCAGCTACTCAGGAGGCTGAGGCAGGAGAATCACTTGAACCCGGGAGGCAGAGGTTGCAGTGAGCCAAGATTGTGCCATTGCATTCCAGCCTGGGCAATAGAGTGAGACTCCATCTCAAAAAAAAAAAAAAAAAAAAAGTATAAGGCACTTTGAGTGTGTAGAGACTATTCACAACTCTACTTTTTTTTTGAGACAAAGTCTTGCTGTTGCCCAGGCTAGAATGCAGGAGCACAATCACAGCTCACTGTAGCCTCAACCTCCCAAACTCAAGTTATCCTCCCACCTTAGCCTCCCAAGTAGCTGGCATCACAGGTCTGTGCTACCACACCCTGCCAATTTTTTTAAATTTTTTGTAGAGACAGGATCTGGCTATGTTGTCCAAGCTAGTTTCAAACTCCTAGGCTCACAGTATCCTCCTGCCTCCCAAAGTGCTGGGATTACAGGTGTGAGCCACCACAAATGGCAGCAACTCTTCATTTTGACAGGCCATAGTTCTCAAACTTTAACATATATCATAGTCATCATATTAAAAATGACAATGCCAGGTCTTCATACTCTAGGATTCTGGTTCTTCATGTTGTTAAAGAGATGCACAGACTCAAGAATCTTCATGTTGTTAAAGAAAAAGATTGTTCATGACACTCGATAAAGAAGGATAAGGCAGACATTGTTCAGGGGGACTATTGCAATAGCTGTAGAGAATGCCACGATGGGGTTTTGCAGTCAGTTGGGGCAAGAAATTAGGCTCTACTCCAAATACAAGGAAAAGTGGGAATTTATAGTTGAGTTGGCGGGGGTGGCGGGAGGATCAGAGGAGACATCAGGGATATAGTCGGATTCCAGCTAAATCGACTCTAACAGGATTCTTGCTGAAGGCAGGCCAGAGTGATCAGACGTCACCTGGGGGTTGGTGGAGGGTGAGGAACCCAATCAGATATCAGGGTTGGGGCGTTCTAGGTAAACTGACTTAGCAGGCTTCTGGCTAAAATCGGACAATGCAAAGATGAACAAAGAGGTCCAGAAGTCAGAGCCTGGTGGAGAAGAGAGTTCAGAGGTGCCTGCTTAGAGAATGGCGAGGGAGAGAATCTTCGTCAGGGTCTAACAAGCACTTCAGGTGATCCCCATGCCATTGTTCCTAGGATCACGCCTGAAGAAATGCTGCTGATGTCTATGTCACAGTCCTTTCTGTCTTACCCATGAACCAAGTGAGAAGACAGCATTGGCCAGCAGTTTTTACTATTTCTCTTTAACTCACGTTTGGACTTTAAACTTCCATCTGCCTCTCTCTCCTACTTTCACGGTGTCTGGAATGTTTTCTCAATGCCAACAATCAATTCTCTGATTCTCCAGACACCAGCTGGATGTCCTACATTCAATTCTAACACTATCTACCTGGAGTTAGCACAGACCTCACAGGTTAAGGGTTCATTCCCACAAGACCCCCACAACTTCAGATGTTGGTTGCAAGGCCTGGCTGCCTGCACTTCTGACCCACTGGCTATAATTCAGGGGTTCCTGCTGGAACTGTAATAGGTCCATCACCATCACCCAATGCAGGCATTAAGTCAGTACACCGAGACACCCGGTTGCGCAGAGAAAGAGGTATTATCGTGGAGCCACCAAACAACAAGACAGGAGGAAACCTTCAAATCCATCTCCCCAAGGAGTTTGGGGCTCGGGCTTTTTTTTTTTTTTTTTGAGACGGAGTCTCGCTCTGTCGCCAGGCTGGAGTCCAGTGGTGTGATCTCAGCTCACTGCAACCTCCGCCACCCAGGTTCAAGCGATTCTCCTGCCTCAGCCTCCTGAGTAGCTGGGATTACAGGCGCCCACCACCACACCTGGCTAATATTTGTATTTTTAGTAGAGACAGGATTTCCACCATGTTGGCCAGGATGGTCTTGATCTCCTCACCTTGTAATCCACCCCGCCCGCCTTGGCCTCCCAAAGTGCTGGGATTATAGGCCTGAGTCGCCACGTCCAGCCTGGGCTTGGGCTTTTAAGGGTTTTGGAGTGGGCGGAAGTGTGGAGATGGTGGATTGGCTGAATAGTGCGGTGTGAAGTCATGGGACAGGAAGATGAAGAAGCTGTATTCTCACACTGATTTGGTTCCTCTGTGGGGGTCTTCAAAGCGGTTGGTTGCAGCTGCTTCACTGGAATTCAGGGTCTCAGAAAAACATCTTAAGCATCCTCAAACAAAAGTCTTATGATTCTAATGTCAGAGATGCTGTCTATAGGAATAATGGGAATGCAAATGGTCGGTGTCAGGTGCTACGAGACTTTAAGCAATGAGGAAGGGGCCAGAGAGCAGCCTGATAGATGCTGAATTATAACCGTGTTTCATTCTTGTCAATGCTGTGGGGATGCCTTCCTCACAACTTCCTCCTCAGGTTTCATAACATGTTAGAATCAGTCACAGAACTCAGGAACACACTTTACTTACATGTGCAAACTTAAATAATACAACTAAGGAACAGCCAGATGGAAGAGAGGCATAGGACCAGGCGTCGGGGAGGGGCACGAGCAGCCCTGCCACATTCCGGGCACCAGCCTTCCAACACCGATGTATTCACCAGCCTGGAGTTTCTATACAGCTCAATCTCCAGCTTCCCCTTTCCCTTGCATGAGGCAAAGGTCAGGGACAGAGTGAAAGTTCCAACCTTTTAAACATTAGTCTTTCTGATGACCAGCCGCATCCTGAGTATCTAGGGGCCACACGCTAGATCACCTAATTAGCATAAACACAGGTGTGATCAAAAGGAATTCATTATGAATAACAAGACTCCCATCAGGCCTGGCGTGGTGGCTCACACCTGTAATTCCAGCACTTTGGGAGGCTGAGGCGGGTGAATCACTTGAGGTCACGAGTTCCAAGACCAGCCTGGCCAACACAGTGAAACCTCATCTCTACTAAAGATACAAAAATAAATTAGCCAGGCATTGTGGCAGGCACCTGTAATCCCAGCTACTCAGGAGGCTGAGGCAGGAGAATCGCTTGAACCTGGGAGGCAGAGGTTGCAGTGAGCCGAGGTCACGCCATTGCACTCCAGCCTGGGTGACAGAGCAAGACTCTGTCTCAAAAAAAAAAAAGACTCCCATCACTCAGGCAATGCCAAGGGTTTAGGGAACTCTGTGCCAGGAACAGGGACAAAAACCAGATACATATATATATATATACTTTTTAAAAATATAATTTCAACTTTTATTTTAGATTTGGGGGCATATGTGCAGGTTTGTCTCATGGGTATATGGCATAATGCTGAGGTTTGGTGTATGACTGATTCTGTCACCCAGATAGTGAGCATAGTTCCCAACAGTTAGTTTTTCAACCCTCGCCCACTCCCTCTCTCCTCCCGCTAGGAGTCCCCCAGTGGTGTTTTTGCCATCTTTATGTCCACGAGTACCCAATGTTTAGCTCACACTTATCAGTGAGAACACGCCATATTTGATTTTTCTCTTCCTGCATTAATTTGCTTAAGATAATGACCAAATCTATTTCTTATTATACCACAGATATATATATAAATCCTGTAGCTAAGGACTCATCTTTGTACCGGTAGGCAGTATTTACAATGCACGCATCAAGTCAGTACACCAAGACAACTGGTTGCAGCAGAGAAAGAGGTTTAATCATAGGGCCACCAAACAAGAAGACAGGAGGAAACCTCAAATCCATCTCCCCAGAAAGTTTGAGATTAGGGATTTTTTTTCAGTAGCTGAATATAACTGGCCAGTGCAGAAGAGCCTATGAAGGTGGAAAATGGAGGAAGGAGGACCCCATGCTGGAGAAGTGATGGAGATTTGAAGCCTTGGAAGATGGCGGCAAGGGAGATGCCAGAGATGAGACAATGTTAAACATCTGTAATCTAACAGTCTTCTATGGGAGTTTATTACATTTCCATATCCTATGTTCACTTCTAGTGAAAAATAAAAATAAAATCTTAAGCCCCCCACAGCTGACTAAATGGATCCCATTGTGAAAGGAAAATATCTTGAGCCTCCAAAATCACTAAGGAAAATTCAAGCTGGAAACTTCTTAGGACAAACCTGCCTCCCATTCTCTTCAAAGTTATTCCTCTGCTCGAGGAGCTAGATGCATATCTGATTGCCGCCTTTGGAAAGGCTAACCAGAAACTCAAAAGAATGATACAGTTTGTTATCACCTACCTGTGACCTGGAAGCTCCCTCCCTCCCCACTTGAGTCTTCCTGCTTTTGTTTCAAGCTGTCCTGCCTTTCCAGACCAAACCAATGTACTTCTTACGTATATTGATTGATGTCTCACTCATGTCTCCCTAAATCGTATAAAACCAAGCTGTGCCCCAACTACCCTGGGCATGTGTCATCAGGATTTCATGAAGCTGTGTCACGGGCGCATTCCCCAACCTTGAAAAAATAAACTTTCTAAATTAACTGAGACCTGTCTCAGATTTTCTGGGTTCACATTGTTTTCGTCAAGGGGACTCCCCAAGTAACTTTGAAAACTGAGTTCTAGGCTGTGAGGGGATGGGAGGTCAGAGGTCAGACGCACCTTGCTGCACACCTCCACCTCGCTAACCCCCTTAGGCTTTCTTCCCTAGGGGCTAAACAGAAACCAGCTCTTTCCTTTTTTTTTTTTCTTTTTTTTTAGAGACGAGTCTTGCTCTGTCACCCAGGCTGGAGTGCAGTGGTTCGATTTTGGCTCACTGCAACCACCACCTCCCAGGTTCAAGCAATTCTCCTGCCTCAGCTTCCCAAGTAACTGCAACTACAAGCACATGCCACCATGCCCGGCTAATTTCTTTTGTATTTTTAGTAGAGATGGGGTTTCACCATGTTGCCCGGGCTGGTCTTGAACTCCTGAGCTCAGGCAATCTGTCCGCCTCAGCCTCCCAAAGTGCTAGGATTACAGGCATGAGCCACTGCACCCAGCCAAAACCAGCTCTTTCAAAAGACTCCAGTGCTGATATCAACAACTGCCTGAGGCTTCCCCACCCTTTTGCAGTTTCCACATAACAATTAACCAGCATTCCCTCCTGATAAGAGACAACACCCCGCCCGCCGACGCAGAGCGGTTCTGGCCAGTCTTCAGAGGCTGCACACAGAGAGCCTGCGTGTCCCTGCTTTGTCTTTCGATGTAAAAGGCCTAACTGTCATGCATTGAAATGTGAAGTCTCCAGCCCAAAGTGAACATGGGACACATGCTGCATGCATGTTAGCCTGCTACACATGCATGATCCTCTTCATGAATATTCATAGCTCCTCCTGTAATCTGTTGAATATGTATACTTAGCCAACCTGCTCAACATAAATTCCTGTTCCCTTTACCCCTCCTTTGAAATATGTGTTTCCAGCTTCTGGCCCAAGGCTACGCTTTCCAGCCTGTCAGAATGGCTGCCTGCAAGCAGCAACCCTTTAGGAGAAAGAAAGCTCTCCTTTCCAAATTTATAAATGTCATCATACTTCAGTTTACAATAGTATTTAATTTTTTGACCTTTAAGTTCTCCAAGGTCCTTCTCCATTTTTAAGGCTTTCGAAATTAACTGATGATTCTACTAAAAAGCTAAAAATAGGTTTTTTGTTTCCAAATAATCAGAACATAATACAGTCAAAAGCACCATATAGAAATAGTTCCCTGTTTCCAGCCAATACGGCTGTGTCTCTGTTTTGAACATTTGCCTCCAGAGTGTTGCTGATGCAGTTCAAACAGAAAGCACTGAGAAATAAAATTTGCAAGTGGTTTCTGTTGAGAGTTTCTACTGTTTATAAGTCTGCGAGAATTAGTTACGTTACAGCAGGGAGTGAGAGAGAGAAGCAGCGGGTACCAAAACCTCGCTGAGCTCCTACCTGCCCTCCCCATTTCTTGCCCGCCCCCCATGGCTACCTGCCCCCTGCGATGAACTCGAGACCTTGGAATGAGAAACAGTTCAGAGTTGTCTGGTGTGTGCATATCACCTGTGGTCTAACTCATCACCCTGAAAGAAACCAAAATATTTCACCCCAAAATACCCTTCTTTGACATATTTTGAGAGGGCTGTTCAGAGGGCCTGCGAGCATGGGCAGCCCTGCAAAGGTGTCTGGTGGGGGAGATTTGCATCTGAGGGAAAATCAGCAGTGATACAGTCAGGCTTAGAGTTCCTCCCTTGTCTGGATCTAGAAAAGATTAACTGAGAGTGACATCTTTAAAGAGCTGAAAGAAACATTTCCCATCTATTCTCTGTGACGGTTGCCACCTGCAAGGTTTCATCTACATAACAAGACCACCTTTGCAGACCAGGTCTCCTCTTCTCTCCCTCCCATAACCTGTCTTGCCATTAGAAACTGATTTACCACCATAACCTGTTTTTAGCCATGCTCTGAGGCCCCATTCTTTCTGTAACCTTGAGACGGCATAAAGAGGTCAACCATCTGGCCATTTCTTTGAGTTCTTATATTTTGTAGGACTCCCATATATATTAATAAATTTGGATGCCTTTTCTCCTATTAATATGCCTTTTGTCAGTTGATTTTTCAGTGAACCTTCAGCGGGTGAAGGAGAAGTTTTCCCTTGGTCCCTACAATCTGTTTACCCTAAACCAGGCTGATACAAAAATTAAATGATGTAAATATTTTAAAATCTGCTTTTGTTGGGCACAGTGGCTCACACCTGTAATCCCAGCACTTTGGGAGCCCAAGGCAGGAGGATTGCTTGAGCCCAGGAATTTGAGACCAGCCTGGCCAACATAGCAAGACCCTATCTCTACAAAAAAAATTTTAAAAATCAGCCAAGTGCTGCCTGCAGTCCCAGCTACTTGGGAGGCTGAGGTGGGAGGATCCCTTGAGCCCAGTAATCGAAGGCTGCAGTGAGCTATGACTGCACAACTGACTGCAATCCAGCCTGAGCTCAGAGCAAGACTCTGTCTCAAACAAAAAAGTAAGTAAATAAATAAATAAAAAGTATCCGCTTTTAATGGACAGATTTGTTCTTTCTAATTTACTTCCTGCCACTTTGTTAATCAATTTGGTAGTCTGAAAAAAATTTTTTTAATCTTGTCTTTATCAATGAGAAGAGAAAATAGCTTTTATCCAAGGAAGGTGAGTCCTTTAAAATTATCAGACCCAGAGAGACTTTTTTTGAGACACTCTTGCTCTGTCACCCAGGCTGGAGTACAGTGGTGTGATCTTGGCTCACTGCAACCTCTGCCTCCTGGATGTAAGCGATTCTCCTGTCTCAGCCTCCCGAGTAGCTGGGATTACAGGGATGCCACCATGCCTGGATAATTTTTGTATTTTTAGTAGAGATGGGGTTTTGCCATGTTGGCCAGGCTGGTCTCACACTCCTGACCTCAGGTGATCCGCCCACCTCAGCCTCCCAAAGTGCTGGGATTATAGACGTGAGCCACTGCGTGTGGCCCAGAAAGACATTAAGATGAGCCAACAATCACATTGTACTTCCCCCTTGAGTGATATATTCATCTTCTGAAACTTCTTGCTGTTGCCATAATAGCTATAAATTAACCTAATAATAATGTACTTGACACTATAACCCACACACTATAGCTTAACAATGTATAGCCAATCATTAATGTTATTTCTGTAAACCAATGAGACTTCCTGTCATACAACTTTGTATCAGCCCACTGCTTGTCCCCTTTGCCTTTAAAAAACCTGCTGGTAGCTTTCAGTGCCTGCAGATCCTAGGAGCTCCCAGCCGAGGATGTCAGATCTCATCATCCTTGCTGCTTTGCCACCCCATTCCCCTCAATAAAGTGGTTTGGTCCCCCCCCAACCAAAAACAACAAACAAACAAACAAACAAAATCGGCTTTGTAACAAAGGCTGAACAAAGTATTTTTAATACAGACAGGGTTTCACCGTGTTAGCCAGGATGGTCTCAATCTCCTGACCTTGTGATCCGCCCACCTCGGCCTCCAAAAGTGCTGGGATTACAGGCATGAGCCACTGCACCTGGCCCCTTTACTTTCTTAATAAACTTGCTTTGACTTAACTTAACAGAGTCGCCTTGAATTCTTTCTTGCGTGAGATCCAAGAACCCGCTCTTGGGGGTCTGGATTGGGACCCCTTTCTGATAATATTTTGGTTTATTCAATGAGCTCATGAAAAAGAAAGATGGGCTAGACTCAGGACCATTCTAGTACATTTGCGTCCCTAAAGTTATCCTACTAAAATATTAACATGATTTCTATGGATGCTTGCCAGGTCCAACCCACAGACGCTGGCCGAACGATGGATGAAAGAATGCACTCAAGACACCAGTATCCAGTGAAAGAGCAGGCTAGGGGACTGGGCCATGCACAGACCCTGAGGAGGGTGCTGTAAGGAGTCAGCAGCCATGGCCCTGACAAGTTGGTGCTGCAGGCATTTATTTAGTACAGATTTAATGACAAAGGCTTTGAGTCAACCCTCTTGTGGGTAATTAACATGGTTGCCCTCCCTGGAGAGAGTAGTCCCACATGGATGATTAAAGGCCAGGTTCTGAGCCTAAGTAAACTAACTTATCTAGATCAGTTTCTTTACAACCCCTTGTTATCTAACCTAAGCTCTTAAGAGAATTCAGCTGCCTTCAGCCAAACTCTCTTCTGAAGCTATGCAAACTCCCAGCCTTCCGAGAAGGTTTGCATCCTTTTCCTATAATTTTTCCTACCACCCTGACTGCTCTCCTACAATTCTCTTCATAAATTTCTCCTAAATCCCCACCACCGCCGACCAAGTCACTGATGGAAGCTTGTTGTGAATGTTTATCTATGAGCCATAGGCCCATCTACTTTATGTTCAAGCCCTGATGTAAATGTCCCTCATGTCGCGGCACTGATACCAACTATGAAACCTCCATGGAGAAAGGCATAATTGAAAATTGCATCAAGTAAATTCCAGAAAATTCAAAGTTGACATCTGAACTTTCTTTGGAGTTTGTTGAGCACCTCGTTTTTCAGCATGAGAAATTCACAGGCAAACTATGACTACGAAATATTTTTCACAGGCCGAGCATGGTGGCTCACGCTTGTAATCCCAGAATTTTGGGAGGCCGAGGCGGGTGGATCACCTGAGGTCAGGAGTTTGAGACCAGTCTGGCCAACATGGTGAAACCCCATCTCTACTAAAAAAAAACCACACACACACACAAAAATTAGCTGGGCATGGTGGCAGGCACCTATAATCCCAGCTACTCGGGAGGCTGAGGCAGGAGAATCCCTTGAACCCAGGAGGCAGAGGTTGCAGTAAGCAGAGATCGTGGAGATCACACCATTGCACTCCAGCCTGGGTGACAAGAGTGAAACTCCATCTCAAAAATAAAAAAATAAAAAAAGAAAAAATATTTTTCACAAACTGCAATCACAGTTCATTTCAACTCAGAATCCTCCCCTCCCTGCCCCAGCTCCCATATCCACCTTTTCTCCATTGTGTTTTGTGTAGTTTGGCTAGTGACAGCTCTGGGATCCTCTAGCTAGCTGCCACTTCCCCAATCTGAACTCCAGTTTCTGCTTCCCTAAAATAGAAACGATAACATTGTCAAAAGACGAAATTACAACAAATTTAGTTTAAAGATCTAATTGGCTTAATTAGCAATTCATGAATTAGACAACATCTCTGTAAAAATAGACAGGTGCTCTGATGGGCTGAGCAGAAGAGATTGGCTTTGTAAACCAAAAATAAAATTCTGAGCCTCCCACTATCTGAACAGGTCCCTCCTCTTGGCAAGGGCGTTACAAGTTAACCTGAAAAACTAATCCAGGCCATGATGGGAAGAGGGAAACAGATATGCTTCATTATACCTTCCCCCCTTTTGGAATTACAGATAGAACAGACTCTTTAAGTCTGATAAGAAACATTTACAATCTATTCTCTCTGAAGCATGTCCTCTGGAGGCTTCATCTGTCTGATAAAACCTTGGTCTCCACAACCCCTTATTGTATCCCAGACATCCTTTCTATTTAATAACTCTTTCAACCAATCCCCAATCAGAAAATCTTTAAATCTCCCTGTGACCTGAAAACCCCCACTTTGAGTTGTCACAGCTTTCTAGACCAAACCAATGTACATCTTACATGTATTGATTGATGTCTCATGTCTTCCCAAAGTATAAAACCAAGCTGTGCCCCACCCACCTTAGCACGTGTTGTCAGGACCTCCTGAGGTTGTGCCACAGACACATCCTAAACCTTGGCAAAATAAACTTTCTAAATTGATTGCGACCTGCCTCAGATACCTTTCATTTACAGCTTTATAGGCAAAAAGGGGCTGAGACAGGTAACAAAGAGTTGATCGGTCATTTCAAAGTTACTTTCCTTACAGAGTTAAAACAGAGGGAACTTTTTGTCATGCTGGCTCAGGTAAACTAGGCCCCTTGTGACTGGTTCCTGTGTCTCCTGTTTTTTGAAAACTGGCCCATTCAAAGTTCAGTTTGATTATGTGGCACCTAGCATGAGGAACTCCATTCTGGTTTGGTTTGGTCTGGTCTGGTGGGCCTAGTGCAGGAGCTCAGTCCAAAGCAGTGGCCTCCCATAAATTCATTTAATGATCTTCCTTCAAAGTAGAAGTGATATGAGAATTTTTAAAGAGATAACAGCAGGAAAGATGTCTAACAAGTTAAAGTACTATAGAACCATGTAAATTATTCTAAATATCCCCCATAGTTTGATACCATTAAAGATGTCAGTAAGGCTAAGAAAACTGTTCTATTTACTTATCAACACTTGATATAGCTCTCAGCTTCGTGCCAGCCTCTATGCTAAGCGGGTTTCTAAACATTAACTCATGTAATCCTCTCATCAACCTTAGGAGATATCCTCAGTTCACTGAGGGAAAACAAGTAATCTGACCAGGGTCACAGTATATTATGAAATGGCAGGGTTGGGATTTGAACTCAAGAGTCTTACTGTAGACTCTGTGCTCTGAGCCACCATGCTAAGCTATCTAGAGGGAGATGTCCTGTGTTACTGTGGCAGCCGTGTTAGCAGGTTTAGCCCTAAATGTACAGACAATCCCTGGGGTATCTACAGTTTCCATTCAACATTTATAGAGTGCTTACAATTTGTCTGTCAGGCATTGTGCTAGGTACTGGGACTACAGAGTGAAAAGACTCATCTGAGGCCCTGGAGGAACCTGTCAGATGGTTGGTGAGACAAACAAGGAACACCTACATGATCATGTGAAATATATATTTGGTCTTCCGTGGCCTCTTGGCATACAGCTAAAACCCTTAGAACCTCCGAAGTGCTGTCTTTTTGTATGCTAATAAGTTGACTGAAGGCTGGCAGCACGCAGGTAGCTTCAGTATAGGGGCTGGTCACAAGAAAGACCAAGGCAGGATTAGAGAGTTGGGACTTTCAGCCCCACCCCCAGCCTCCCGGGAAGAGAGAGAGGCTGAGGTTAAGTTGATTACCAATGGCTAACAGTGAATTAATTGTATCTATGTAATGAAGCTTCCATAAAAACCCAAAAGGGTTTGAGGAACTTCTGGAGAGCTGAACACATGGAGGTTCCTGTAGGGTGGTACCCAGGGAGGGCGTGGAAGCTGCCCTCCAATTTCCTCATACCTCACCCTGTGCATGTCTTCACCTGTATCCTTTGTAATATTCCTTATAATGAATCTGTTAATGTAGGTATTTCCTTGAGTCCTGTGAGCCACTCTAGCAAATTAACTGAGCCCAGCAAGGGGGTGTGCAAACCCCAGTTGGTAGGAGGTCAGTCAGAAGCATGGGCGAAACAACCTGTGGCTTCCGATTATCATCAGATTTTGCAGCGGGGGAGTCTTGGGGACTGAGTCCTTGACCTGTGGGATCTGACACTGTTTCCAGGTGGATGGCGTCAGAATTGAATTACAGGACACTCAGCTGCTATTGCCTGCTGTAGAATTGCTTGGTGCGTGGAGAAACCTCATACATCTGGGCACAGAAGTATTCTGTGTTATGGGAAAGCTGAGGAAAAATATTTTTGGGTTTTTCCATACTCAACCTGGTAAGAAGCTTTCTCTTCATTCCAAGTCAATAGGAGTAAACTGAGTCCAAGAAAATTCCAGAGCATGAGAAGTCTAGCCTCTACCTTATCCTAGATAACGAATTGGCCAGCCTCCTAAACTCTACCTACTTATCTGTCAAAAAGGAAAGCAAAAGAGAGCTGGGTAACTCACTGGGAGCTGTGGCTCACGCCTGTAATCCCAGCACTTTGGGAGTCCCAGGCGGACAGATCATGAGGTCAGGAGTTCAAGACCAGCCTGGCCAACATGGTGAAACCCCATCTGTACTATAAATACAAAAATTAGCTGGGTGTGGTGGCACATGCCTGTAATCCCAGCAACTCTGGAAGCTAAGGCAGGAGAATCGCTTGAACCTGGGAGGCAGAGGCTGCAGTGAGCCGAGATCACGCCACTGCCCTCCAGTGTGGGTGACAGAGCGAGACTTTGATTCAAAAAATAATAATAATAATACATAAATCTTGGTGACTCAAGAGCTTAAAAAAATACACATAATTCTGGTCAATCCCAAGGCAGGTCAGTGTAAGGGCTACATTCAATTCAATTAAATTGGACCCAAGCACCCTGGGGAATGGAGGTCTTAAGGAGATGGCATATCCTGCTTTGCCCAGACTACAGAGGGACAAGGCCAAGCTAAGCCAGCATAGCTCAGCTTTTTAGGGACTGATCTTAACACCCATGTAAGATGCTGGATTAGACCTTGCCCTGGGAAGGAACACTGATTTCCCCATTGGGTTTTTACAAAGTGGTAGGGTATGGAGAGGAAGAACTATCACAATGGTGGAGTAAGTGGTAGAAAGAAACAGATCTGGGGTGAAAGGTTTATGCTTGGAATTCATTCCTTAGTGTTAATGGAGTTTATTCTGAGCCATTATGAGTGACCATGGCCCAGGGAGATCTCATGAGGACCTAAGAAAGTGTGCCGGGGTGGTCAGGTTACAGTTTGGTTTTATACATTTTAGGGAGACAGGAGTTACAGGCGAAGATGTAAATCAATACATATAAAGTATACATTGGTTTTGAGACAGGCAGGCAGGTTGGTTCCCTACTTTAAGATGGTCTGGAGGAAAAGCATACGGAGGCCCCCACTCAAGCTCTAGCTTCTCTAACTCTCAGCCAGTCAGCAACAAAAGACCCAAGGAGCAGTTAACTGCAAGCTCTTATTTCAGGGGAGCTGGAGACTTCCCCAGAGCCCTACATGTAAAGTTAAACTCCAGCCTACAATTACTCCTTCCTTATTTTAATACTAAAAATCATACTCAGGGTTGGAGATTTAAAATGTGAAGGCTACATATGACATATCAAAAAGCATGTTGAACCACCGGCAAGCACAAGAAAAGCCCCTCCTATGTGTGCCCTGATGTAACCCTTTCCTTTACAAAGACCCTAAAACTAACCCACACACTGTTCTCGGGGAGCAGCCCATTCTTTGCGCTTTCTCCATGCTGGCTCCCTTGAGCACAAGCTAAAATAAACTTTGTCATTACTGCTATGTCTGGTGATCTCTCTTGACTTCTAGCCTGGGAGATTACACGAACCTGCAACTGCCCCAATGGGGTCCCCTTGCCTGCTGTCTAGACAGAGCTGATTTATCAAGGAAGGGGAATTGCAATAGAGTTTAATTCACACAGAGCCAGTTGTGGGGGAGACTGGAGTTTTATTTTTACTCAAATCAGTCTCCTTGAAAACTCATGGATCAGGGATTTTAGGGATAATTTGGTGGGTGGGGGGTCAGAAAGCGAGAGAGTGCTGCTTGGTCAGGTGAGAGATGAAATCATAGGGAGTTGAAGCTTGTCGTCTTGAGCTAAGTCAGTCCCTGAATGAGGGTCACGGTGAGCCCGTTTATTGATCTGGGTGGTGCCAGCTGATCCACTGAGTGCAGGGGCTGCAAAATATTTCAAGCACTGATCTTATGTTTTACAATAGTGATGTTATCGGCCGGGCTCGGTGGCTCACGCCTGTAATCCCAGCAGTTTGGGAGGCCGATGTGGGCGGATCACCTAAGGTCAAGAGCCTGAGACCAGCCCGACCAACACAGAGAAACCCAGTCTCTATTAAAAATACAAAATTAGCTGGGCATGGTGGCGCATGCCTGTAATCCCAGCTACTTGGGAGGCTGAGGCAGGAGAATCACTTGAACCCAGGAGGCGGAGGTTGCAGTGAGCCAAGATCGCCCAGCTAATGCTACATACAATGTATAAAGAAGCAGGTTGAACCACTGTGCAAGCGTTAGAAAAACCCCTCCTGTAGATCTCCTGATGGAACCCTGCCTTTTACAAAGGCCCTGTAAAACTAACCCACACAGTCCTCTCAGGGAACAGTCCATTCTTTGTTCTTTCCTGAGCACAAGCTAAAATAAACTTTCTTTGGGAGGCCAAGGCCAGTAGATCACCTGAGGTCAGAAGCTGGAGACCAGTCTGGACAATATGGCAAAACCCTGTCTCTACTAGAAATACAAAAAGCTAGCCAGGGGTGGTGGCAGGCGCCTGTAATCCCAGCTACTTGGGAGGGTGAGGCAGGAGAATCGCTTGAACCCAGGAGGCGGAGGTTGCAGTGAGCTGAGATCGCGCCACTGAACTCCAGCTTGGGCAACAGAGTGAGACTCCATCTCAAAATAAATAAATAAATAAATAAATAAATAAATAAATAAATAAAAAAAATAAAAAAGTTTCTCTTTGCTGCTGTATCTGGTGATCTCTCTTGATTTCTAACATGGGACATTACAGGAACCCAGGGCATTGGTAACAGTTGACCTGGAAAGGCAGGAAGGACATCTGGAAACATGGGCTTACAGGTCATAGGTCATATATATATACATATATATATTTTTGTGTGTGTGTGAGTCGGAGTCTCACTCTGTCACCTAGGCTGGAGTGCAGTGGTGTGATCTCGGCTCACTGCAACCTCCGCCTCCCAGGTTCAAGCAATCCTCCTGCCTCAGCTTCCCAAGTAGCTGGGAGTACAGGCATGTGCCACAACGCCTGGCTAATTTTTTTGGATTTTTAGTAGAGGCGGGGTTTCACCATATTGGCCAGGCTGGTCTCGAACTCTTGACCTTGTGATCCATCCACCTTAGCCTCCCAAAGTGCTGGGATTACAGGCATGAGCCACCGTGCCCAGCCTGTATTTTTTTTTCTTTATTCTGGGGTACATGTGCAGAACGTGCAGGTTTGTTACATAGGTATACACGTGCCATGGTGGTTTGCTGCACCCATCAACCTGTCATCTACATTAGGTATTTCTCCTAATGCTATCCCTTCCCTAGACTCCCCACCCGCAACAGGCCCCAGTGTGTGATATTCCCCTTCCTGTGTCCATGTGTTCTCATTGTTCAACTTCCACTTATGAGTGAGAACATGTGGTGTTTGGTTTTCTGTGCTTGTGTTAGTTTGCTGAGAATGGTGGCTTCCAGCTTCATCCATGTCCCTGCAAAGGACATGAACTCACCCTTTTTTATGGCTGCGTAGTATTCCATGGTGTATATATGCCACATTTTCTTTATCCAGTCTATCACTGATGGGCATTTGGGTTGGTTCCAAGTCTTTGCTATTGTGAACAGTGCTGCAATAGACATATGTGTGCATGTGTCTTTATAGTAGAATGATTTCTAATCCTTTGGGTATATACCTAGTAATGGGATTGCTGGGTCAAATGGTATTTCTGGTTCTAGATCCTTCAGAAATTGCCACACCGTCTTCCACAATGGTTGAACTAATTTATACCACCATCAACAGTGTAAAAGCGTTCCTATTTCTCTACATCCTCTCCAGCATCTGTCGTTTCCTGACTTTTTAATGATCGCCATTCTAACTGGTGTGAGATGGTATCTCATTGTGGTTTTGATTTGCATTTCTCTAATGACCAGCAATGATGAGCTTTTTTTCATATGATTGTTGGCTGCATAAATGTCTTCTTTTGAGAAGTGTCTGTTCATATCCTTCACCCACTTTTTGATGGGGTTGTTTTTTTCTTGTAAATTTGTTTGAGTTCATTGTAGATTCTGGATATTAGCCCTTTGTCAGATGAATAGATTGCAAAAATTTTCTCCCATTCTGTAGGTTGCCTGTTCACTCTGATGATAACTTCTTTTGCTGTGTAGAAGTTCTTTAGTTTAATTAGATCCCATTTGTCAATTTTGGCTTTTGTTGCCATTCCTTTTGATGTTTTAGTCATGAAGTCTTTGTCCATGCCTACGTCCTGAATTGCCTAGGTTTTCCTTCTAGGGTTTTTATGGTTTTAGGTCTTACATTTAAGTTTTTAATCCATCTTGAGTTAATTTTTGTATAAGGTGCAAGGAAGGAGCCCAGTTTCATTTTTCTGCATATGGCTAGCCAGTTTTCCCAACACCATTTAATAAATACAGAATCCTTTCCCCATTGCTTGTTTTTGTCAGATTTGTCAAAGATCAGATGGCTGTAGATGTGTGGCGTTATTTCTGAGATCTCTGTTCTGTTCCATTGGTCTATATATCTGTTTTGATACCAGTACCATGCTGTTTTGGTTACTGTAGCCTTGTAGTATAGTTTGAAGTCAGGTATCATGATGCATCCAGTTTTGTTCTTTTGGCTCATGATTGTCTTGGCTGTGCAGGCTCTTTTTTGGTTCCACAAGAAATTTAAAGTAGTTTTTTCCAATTATGTGAAGAAAGTCAATGGTAGCTTGATGGGGATAGCATTGAATCTATAAATTACCTTGGGTAGTATGGCCATTTTCACGATATTAATCTTTCCTATCCATGAACATGGAATGTTTTTCCCATTGTTTGTGTCCTTTTCCCATTTCCTTGAGCAGTGGTTTGAAGTTCTCCTTGAAGAGGTCCTTCACATCCCTTGTAAGTTGTATTCTTAGATATTGTATTCTCTTTGTAGTAATTGTGAATGGGAGTTCATTCATGATTTGGCTCTACTTGTCTATTATTGCTGTATAGGAATGCTTGTGATTTTTGCTTATTGATTTTGTATCCTGAGACTTTGCTGAAGTTGCTTATCAGCTTAAGGAGATTTTGGGCTGAGACAAAGGGGTTTTCTAAATACACAATCATGTCATCTGAAAACAGAGACAATTTGACTTTCTCTCTTCCTATTTGAATACCCTTTATTTCTTTCTCTTGCTGATAGTCCTGGCCAGAACTTCCAATACTATGTTTAATAGGAGTTGTGAGAGAAGGCATCCTTGTCTTGTGCCAGTTTTCAAAGGGAATGCTTCCAGTTTTTGCCCATTCAGTATGATATTGGCTGTGGGTTTGTCATAAATAGCTCTTATAATTTGAGATACATTCCATCAATACCTAGTTTATTCGGAGTTTTTAGCATGAAGGCATGTTGAATTTTGTCAAAAGCCTTTTCTGCATCTATTAAGATAGTCATATTGTTTTTGTCCTTGGTTCTGTTTATGTGATGGATTACATTTATTGATTTGCGTATGTTAAACCAGCCTTGCATCCCAGGGATGAAGCTGACTTGATCATGGTGGATAAGCTTTTTGATGTGCTGCTGGATTCAGTTTGCCAGTATTTTATTGAGAATTTTTGCATCAATATTCATCAGGGATATTGGCCTGAAATTTTCTTTTTTTGTTGTGTCTCTGCCAGGCTTTGGTATCAGGATGATGCTGGCCTCATAAAGTGAGTTAGGGAGAAGTCCCTATTTTTCTAGTGTTTGGAATAGTTTCAGAAGGAATGGTACCAGCTCCTCTTTGTACCTCTGGTAGAATTTGGCTGTGAATCTGTCTGGTCCTGGACTTTTTTTGGTTGGTAGGCTATTAATTATTGCCTCAATTTCAGAACTTGTTATTGGTCTATTCAGGGATTCAACTTCTTCCTGATTTAGACTTGGGAGGGTGTATGTGTCTGGGAATGTATCCATTTCTTCTAGATTTTCTAGTTTATTTGTATAGAGGTGTTTATAGTATTCTCTGATAGTAGTTTGTATTTCTGTGGGATCACTGGTGATATCCCCTTTATCATTTTTTATTGTGTCTATTTGATTCTTCTCTCTTTTCTTTATTAGTCTGGCTAGCGATCTAACTACTTTGTTGATCTTTTCGAAAAACCAGCTCCTGAATTCATTGACTTTTTGAAGGGTTTTTTGTGTCTCTATCTGCCGAGACTAGCTCGATCGGGGAGACCCTAACCCAGTGGCGCTAGAGGAATTAAAGACACACACACAGAAATATAGAGGTGTGAAGTGGGAAATCAGGGGTCTCACAGCCTTCGGAGCTGAGAGCCCTGAACAGAGATTTACCCATGTATTTATTAACAGCAAGCCAGTCATTAGCATTGTTTCTATAGATATTCAATTAACTAAAAGTATCCCTTATGGGAAACAAAGGGATGGGCCTAAATAAAGGAATAGGTTGGGCTAGTTAACTGCAGCAGGAGCAGGTCCTTAAGGCACAGATCGCTCATGCTATTGTTTGTGGCTTAAAAATGCCTTTAAGCAGTTTTCCGCCCTGGACGGGCCAGGTGTTCCTTGCCCTCATTCCGGTAAACCCACAACCTTCCAGCACGGGTGTTACGGCCATCATGAACATGTCACAGTGCTGCAGAGATTTTGTTTATGGCCAGTTTGGGGACCAGCTTGTGGCCAGATTTTGGGGGGGCCTGTTCCCAACATCTATCTTCTTCAGTTCAGCTCTGATCTTAGTTATTTCTTGTCTTCTGCTAGCTCTTGAATTTATTTGCTCTTGTTTCTCTAGTTCTTTTTTTTTTCTTTTTGAGATGCAGTTTTGCTCTTGTTGCCCAGGCTGGAGTGCAATGGCTCAATCTCGGCTCACTGCAACCTCTGCCTCCTGGGTTCAAGCAATTCTCCCACCTCAACCTCCCAAGTAGCTGGGATTACAGGCATGTGGCACCACACCTGGCTAATTTTTTGTATTTAGTAGAGACAGGGTTTCACCATGTTGGTGAGGTTGGTCTGGAACTCCTGACCTCAGGTGATGCACCTGCCTCAGCCTCCTGAAGTGCTGGGATTACAGGTGTGAGTCACCACGCCCAGCCGTTTCTCTAGTTCTTTTAATTGTGATGTTAGGGTGTCGATTTCAGATCTTTTCTGCTTTCTCTTGTGGGCATTTAGTGCTATATATTTCCCTCTAAACACTGCTTTAGCTGTGTCCCAGAGATTCTGGTATGTTGTGTCTTTGTTCTCATTGGTTTCAAAGAACTTATTTATTTCTGCCTTAATTTTGTTATTTACCCAGTAGTCATTCAGGAGCAGGTTGTTCAGTTTCTATGTAGTGTGGTTTTGAGTGAGTTTCTTAATCCTGAGTTCTAATTTGATTGCACTGTGGTGTGAGAGACTGTTTGTTATAATTTCCGTTCTTTTTTTTGTTTGTTTGTTTTTTTGAGACAGAGTCTCGCTCTGTTGCCCAGGCTGGAGTGCAGTGGCACAATCTTGGCTCACTGCAAGCTCCGCCTCCTGGGTTCATGCCATTCTCTTGCCTCAGCCTCCCGAGTAGCTGGGACTACAGGCGCCCACCACCTTGCCTGGCTAATTTTTTATATTTTTAGTAGAGATGAGGTTTCACCGTTATTAGCCAGGATGGTCTCGATCTCCTGACCTCGTGATCCACCCGCCTCAGCCTCCCAAAGAGCTGGGATTACAGGCGTGAGTCACCACACCCAGCCATAATTTCTGTTCTTTTGCATTTGCTGGGGAGTGTTTTACTTCCAATTATGTGGTCAATTTTAGAATAAGTGTGATGTGGCGGTGAGAAAAATGTATATTCTGTTGATTTGAGGTGGAGAGTTCTGCAGATGTCTATTAGGTCTGCTTGGTCCAGAGCTGAGTTCAAGTCCTGGATAGCCTTGTTAATTTTCTGACTCATTGATCTGTCTAATATTGACAGTGGGGTCTTAAAGTCTCCCACTATTATTGTGTGGGAGTCTAAGTCTCTTTATAGGTCTCTAAGAATTTGCTTTATGAATCTGGGTGCTCCTGTATTGGGTGCATATATATTTAGGATAGTTAGCTCTTCTTGTTGCATTGATCCCTTTACCATTATGAAATGCCCTTCTTTGTCTCTTTTGATCTTTGTTGATTTAAAGTCTGTTTTATCAGAGACTAGGATTGCAACCCCTGCTCTTTTTTGCTTTCCATTTGCTTGGTAAATATTCCTCCATCCCTTTATTTTGAGCCTATGTGTGTCTTTGCACATGAGATGGGTCTCCTGAATACAGCACACTGACGGATCTTGACTCTTTATCCAATATGCCAGTCTGTGTCCTTTAATTGGGGCATTTAGCCCACTTATATTCAAGGTTAATATTGTTACGTGTGAAGCTGATCCTGTCATTATGATGCTAGCTGGCTATTTTGCCTGTTAGTTGATGCAGTTTCTTCATAGTGTCAATGGTCTTTAAAATTTGGTATGTTTTTGCAGTCACTGGTACCAATTTTTCCTTTCTATGTTTAGTGCTTCCTTCAGGAGCTCTTGTAAGGCAGGCCTGGTGGTGACAAAATCTCTCAGCATTTGCTTGTCTGTAAAGGATTTTATTTCTCCTTCACTTATGAAGCTTAGCTTGGCTGGATATGAAACTCTGGGTTGAAAATTCTTTTCTTTAAAAATGTTAAACTTTCTGGCTTGTAGGGTTTCTGCAAGGAAATCCGCTGTTAGTCTGAGGGGCTTCCCTTTGTGGGTAACCCAACCTTTCTCTTTGGCTGCCCTCAACTTTTTTTTCTTCATTTCATCCACAGTGAATCTGACGATTGTATGTCTTGGGGTTGCCTTTCTCAAGGAGAATCTTTGTGGTGTTCTCTGTATTTCCTGAATTCCAATGTTGGCGTATCTTGCTAGGTTGGGGAAGTTCTCCTGGGTAATATCCTGAAGAATGTTTTCCAGCTTGGTTCCATTCTCTCTGTCACTTTCAGGTACACAATCAAATGTAGGTTTGGTCTTTTCACATAGTCCCGTATTTCTTGGAGGCTTTGTTCATTCCTTTTCGTTCTTTTCCTTTAATCTTGTCTTCACTCTTTATGTCATTAAGTTGATCTTCAATCTCTGATATCCTTTCTTCTGCTTGACCGATTAGGCTATTGATACTTGTGTATGCTTCATGAAGTTCTCATGCTGTGTTTTTCAGCTCCATCAGGTCATTTATGTTCTTCTCTAAACTGGTTATTCTAGTTAGCAATTCCTCTAACCTTTTTTCAAAGTTCTTAGCTTCCTTGCATTGGGTTAGAACATGCTCCTTTAGCTCAGAGGAGTTTGTTATTACCCACTTTCTGAAGCCTACTTCTATCAATTTGTCAAACTCCTTCCCTGTCCAGTTTTTTCCCTTGCTTGTGAGGAGTTGTGATCCTTTGGAGGAAAAGCGACGTTCTGGTTTTTGGAATTTTCAGCTTTTTTGTGCTGGTTTCTCCCCATCTTCGTAGATTTATCTACCTTTGGTCTTTTATATTGGTGACCTTCAGGTGGGGTTTCTGAATGGATGTCCTTTTTGTTGATGTTGATGCTTTTCCTTTTTGTTTGTTAGTTTTTCCTTCTAACAGTCAGGCCCCTCTGCTGCAGGTCTGCTGGAGTTTGCTGGAGGTCCACTCCATACCCTATTTGCCTGGCTATCACTAGTGGAGGCTGCAGAACAGCAAAGATTGCTGCCTGTTCCTTCCTCTGGAAGCTTTGTCCCAGAGGGGTGCCCGCCAGATGCCAGCCGGAGCTCTCTTGTATGAGGTGGTTGTTGACCCCTTCTGGGGGATGCCTCCCAGTCAGGAGACACAGGGATCAGGGACCTACTTGAGAAGGCAGTCTGTTCCTTAGTGGAGCTTGAACGCTGTGCTGGGAGATCCGCTGCTCTCTTCAGGGCTGTCAGGCAGGGACGTTCAAGTCTCCTGAAGCTGCGCCCACAACCACCACTTCCCCCAGGTGCTCTGTTCCGGGGAGATGGGGTTTTATCTATAAGCCCCTGACTGGGGCTGCTGCCTTTTTTTCAGAGATGCCCTGCCCAGAGAGGAAGAATCTAGAGAGGCAGTCTGGCTATAGCGGCTTTGCCAAGCTGCGGTGTGCTCCTCCCAGTTTGAACTTTCCGAGCTCTGTTTACACTGTGAGGGGAAAACCACCTACTCAAGCCTCAGTAATGGTGGATGCCCCTCTCCCCACCAAGCTCAAACGTCCCAAGTCAACTTCAGACTGCTGTGCTGGCAGCGAGAATTTCAAGCCAGTGGATCTTAGCTTGCTGGGCTCCATGGGGGTGGAACCCACTGAGCTAGACCACTTGGCTCCCTGGCTTCAGCCCCCTTTCCAGGGGAGGGAACGGCTCTGTCTCGCTGGCACTCCAGGCACCCCTGGGGTAAGAAAAAAAACTCGGTGTCTGCCCAAACGGCTGCCCAGTTTTGTGCTTGAAACGCAGGGCCCTGGTGGCATAGGCACCAGAGGGATTCTCCTGGTCCACAGGTTGTAAAGACCATGGGAAAAGCGTAGTATCTGGGACAGAGTGCACTGTCCCTCACGGCACAGTCCCTCACAGCTTCCCTTGGCTACAGGAGGGAGTTCCCCGACCCTTTGCGCTTCTGGGGTGAGGCAACGCCCCACCCTGTTTTGGCTCACCCTCCGTGGGCTGTACCCACTGTCTAACCAGTCCCAATGAGATGAGCCGGGTACCTCAGTTGGACATGCAGAAATCACCCACCTTCTGCGTTGATCTCGCTGGGAGCTGCAGACTGGTGCTGTTCCTATTCGGCCATCTTGAGAGAACTCCCAGCCTGTTTTTTAAGGAAAAATATCATATTTGTAAAAGAAATGAAGATCATATGGGAAACACTTATTTTGGAAAACACTTCTATTGTAGGAAGTATCTGTGGAAAAAATCAACAGATGAGTAAATGTGTGTCTAGGATACAGAATTGTAACCACCCAACTAGTTCTTTTTGTCCACTGCCTAGACAGAGCTGATTTATCAAGACAGGGGAATTGCAATTGAGAAAGAGTTTAATTCACCCAGTGCTAGCTCTAGGGGAGACCAGAGTTTTATTATTACTCAAATCAGTCTCCCCAAAAATTTGGAGATCAGAGTTTTTAAGGATAATTTGGTGGGTAGGGAATCAGAAATTGGGGAGTGCTGATCGGTTGGCTTGCAAATGAAATAACAGGGAGTCCAAGCTGTCCTCTTGAGTTGAGTCAGTTCCTGGAAGGTGGCCACAAGACCTGATGAGCCCATACCAGCTGGTGCACTGGAATGCAGAGTCTGCAAAATATCTTAAGCACTGACCTCGGGTTTTTCAACAATGACTCCTAAACCATCATTTCTAATCTCGTGGCTAATGTATTAGTCCTGTAAAGACAGTTTAGTCCCCAAGAGGGGGGTTTATTTTGGGAAAGGGCTGTTACCATGTTATCATCAAACCATAAACTAAACTCCTCTCAAAGTCAGTTCGGCCTATGCCCAGGGATGAACAAGGGCAGCCTGGAGGTCAGAGGCAAGATGGAGTCGGTTAGGTCAGATCTCTTTCACTGTCATAATTTTCTCAGTTATAATTTTTGCAAAGATGGTTTCAGAATGATAGTAAGACACTGTGGATCCCTTTGTACGGTGTCATAAGTCTGTTTCCACATCCAGTTACGTCTTGGGTTCTACAAACCAAGAGAGTCAAGCTGAGGAGTAAGGCATCTGGCCAAAAGGCCAGGAAGCCAAAATCTTATATGTGATCTTTCAGGCCCAACCCTAGGCAATTCCAAAGGCATTTCCTGGTAGGCCTGGGCGGGGAGAGCTGCCCTCCTCACCCCAGACTTGGCCCACAGTCTGGGTGCCCCTGGCCAGCCGTGACGCTGCACATATCTGCATTCCTAGCTCAGACACACCACCCAGAGACGTCCTTATCTGCAGACCGTGAGCTGAGGTCTCTCTTGGGGTCTCTCCTGAGACCACGCTGCTGGGGGCCATGAAGACATTTTTCATCACCCTGACTCAGCATTCAGTATTTTAACACCTCCAGCCCTCACCCTTCTCTTCCTCCCCAACAAACCTGCAAGAGCCTTTTGCTGGGGTTCCCTCAGTGGTGAGATGACCCCTATTGATCCATCTGACCTGCTCCTGGTGCTCTTCTGGGGGGAAAAATAAAATGTGGAGGAGGCAACACTCTTGCCACTTGCCTCTTGCTTATGTCACTGCAGGAGGTGATGAAAGCCTCACTTTCGTCTTGGTGTGCTGTTTTAATCCACCGCTTGGACACCGAGCCGCTCAGCTCTCTCCAGCTCAGCTGTTGACGGAGAGGAGGTTAATGCAATGTTATTTTCTAGTTGTAACTAAAAGGTCAGTATTAGAACTATTCCAGGAAAAGTAACCAAAGATACAACCTGCAAGGAAAAGCCTGAGGCAGCCGCCACTGTCCTCTGCAGTGTTCCAGTGCCACTGCCTCCCTGATAAATGTGTCAGTCACATCACCTTCAGCTCAAGCACATCCTTGTTTGTCAACAAGCAGCATTTGTCTAAAGTTTCAGCAAGGACACAGCTTTAGTTTCCAAATAGTCAATATGAATAATTTTTTCAAAAAATCACACCTGAAGTCTTCAAAATGAGCTTTTTCTCTAGCTAAAGTTAGCAATTTATCAGTGCTAACTTATGCTAGATAATTTCTTGGGCAATGATACGTTCCAGAAAGAGGCAAATATCACAGATGAGAGAGAAAGCAATGCTTTCTATTTCTTAGATTGCTTTGAAATAGGATTGTGTATATAAAGAGACTAAGCTGCCATTTGACCATGAGTTTGCTGTAGACCTCCTTGAACCCAAGTGTAAGAACCATGTCCTGTGAGGAAGGAGAGGGCTGATGGGGCTGCACAGAGGGGTGTGCCGGCAAAGGCTGGCAGGGCCAGGAGGGGCAGTGGGCTGACTCGGCGTGTGTATGCTTATGTATGTGCACGTGTGCATGCGTTTGCACATGCCTGGGTGTACACTCACTCAAAGGTTCCGTTCAGCCCACCTATTTTCAGGATTCTAGTCCATCAGGGGTAAAAAAGTAAGGCAATCAGAGGTTTTTATCCCCTTAAATTTATGTCATTAGTGGAAGAAAGAATGGATATTTGTTTACTCATTAAAAAGTGTAGACAGGGCCAGGTGCGGTGGCTCACGCCTGTAATCCCAGCACTTTGGGAGGCCGAGGCAGGTGGATTACCTGAGGTCAGGAGTTCGAGACCAGCCTGGCCAACATGGTGAAACCCCGTCTCTACTAAAAAGATACAAAAATGAGCCAGCCACGGTGGTGGGCTCCTGTAATCTCAGCTACTCAGGAGGCTGAGGCAGGAAAATTGCTTGAACCTGGGAGGCAGAGCTTGCAGTGAGCCAAGATCACACCATTGCACTCTAGCCTGGGCAACAAGAGTGAAACTCCGTCTCAAGAAAAAAAAAAAAGTGTAGACAGTGGCTGGGCGCAGTGGCTCATGCCTGTAATCCCAGCATTTTGGGAAGCCAAGGCGGGCAGATTGCCTGAGGTCAGGAGTTTGAGACTAGCCTGGCCAACATGGTAAAACCCTGTCCCTAATAAAAATACAAAAAAATAGCAAGGCATGGTGGCGGGCACCTGTAATCCCAGCTACTTGGGAGGCTAAGGCAGAAGAATCGCTTGAACCCAGTAGGCGGAAGTTGCAGTGAGCCAAGATCGCATCACTATACTCCAGCCTGGGCAACAAGAGCGAAACTCTGTCTCAAAAAAAAAAAAAAAAAAAGTGTAGACTTATAAGTGCTTAATAAATGAAAGCTATTATTATTATTATTGCTACTATTCTCCAAAGTATAATGGGATATTTACCCCTATCTTACACAGATCAAATGAGAGGAGCATCTTGCCTTGGACTTGGCAACTCATATTTTCTTCCTTCACCTATCAAGGTAGACTCAGTCTCATAATATGATGGGATAGTTTTGAAAAGATTATCAAAGGCAAGGAGCTCCCAGCCAGTCCCCAGCATTATTCCTGAAGGGAAGCAGCACGGTTTCCTGCATTACCAAACTTGTCCATTCTTGGCAGCAAATGGCCCAAAAAGCAGCGTCTAAGATCTTTATAGGTTATCTCTGCTCTTCAGGGGGTGATACATTCCTTGCATGGTAAGCATACATTTCTCAATCCACCAACTCCAGCATCCCAGAAATTTAATTTTCTCTGTTTAAGTCAAGTTACCTGAGCCTTATTAGCGGAAAACTTGTCAGTCAGGTCAAGCTCAGTCCATTCAGAGTGGACTCAGCTCTGAGGCCCACACCAGTGACTCACTCCAGTGCTCCTGTCACCAGGTCCTCTCCCTCTCCTGCTTGGAGCATATTTACCGAGGCAGGCTGGGCAGGGGTGGGTAGAATTGGGTCTGTGTTATCTTTCTGTGTCACACCTGGTTGTTAAACATGAAACCCAATAACTGAATGCCCTTGTCCTCTAGTTCTGCTGAGATAGTTCTCCTGGGGGCCAAGAAGGTCTCGTGCCTAAAAGCCAAATTGGCAGTGTGGGAGTAGGAAGTAGAGTAGAAGGAAGAGGGCATGCAGATGATGAGGGCATGTCAGCTAACATCTCCTAATATCGTTTTGCTACACATGCTTATCATAGTACTTACTCTTCTCCATGCAAAGCACTTTATAAACATCATCTCCCTTAATTCTCACATGATTCTTATGAACTATTATTAGCCCAATTTTATAACTGAGGAAATGAATGCTCAGAGGTTAAAGAGCATGCCTAAGGTCACCCAGCAGGAAGAGGTGGAGCTGGAACATGAATCCAGATGTTTCTGGTTCCCATTGCTTTCCTCTTTTCACTAGTCCCCCACTACACGATTCCCCAAAAGGACACTAAATTAAAAACAAGCCAAAGCGTGTGCTAGGGTCTAGCAGACAGCAGACGCCTGTAAAACAGCCTGAGAGTACAACTCACACCCAGTCCTTAGAGTTCCCGCCTTGTGAGCAGCCCGTGTAGGGAGCATCAGCCAAGCAGATAGAAGGTCAGAAAGGATTGGGCCCCAGAATGGCCCTTCCTTTAGAGTAGCTGGACAAAAGAGCAGAAGAGCAGATGATCTCTGGTCCTTACGAAGCATCTGAATCAATGTCAGGGACCTCGTCTTTTCCCTTCCCTCCCCTCCCCTTTTCTTTTGAGACAGGGTCTCGCTCTTTTGCCCAGGCTGGAGTGCAGTGGTGCTATCTCGGCTCACTGCAACCTCCGCCTCCCGGGTTCAAGCAGTTCTCCCACCTCAGCCTCCCAAGGAGCTGGGGTTATAGGTGCACGCCACCACACCCCACTAATTTTTTGTATTTTTAGTAGAGACAGGGTCTCACCATGTTGGCCAGACTGGTCTCAAACTCCTGACCTCAAGTGATCCGCCCACCTTGGCCTCCCAAAGTGCTGGGATTACAGGAGTGAGCCACCATGCCCAGCCGAGACCCTGTTTTCCAATGGCTGCCTTCAAGATGGCCAGAGAACTACATGTCAATACACCTTTTAAATAAACCAACTTGAAGGAGAGCCAAAGAGGAGTAAGTTCAAGAGATTTATTGTGCAATATCGTAACTATAGTTAATAATAATGTATTGTGTTCTTAAAAATTGCTATGACAGTATATTTTAAGTGTTCCTACCACAAAAAATTTTACATATGTGAAGTAATACATATGTTAATTAGCTCAATCGAACCATTCCATGACGTATATATATTTCAAAACCATATGTTTGAAAACATATTGTGTGCATGATAAATAGGTAAAGTTTTTATTACTAAATTTTACTAGAACTTAAAAATAAATGAATTAAAAGGAAGTTAACCTAGTCCCAGGACAGAGTGGGAAAGCTATTGTCTTAATTTGCTTTGTGTTGCTGTAACAGAATACTTAACACTGGGTAATTTAAAAAGAAAAGAAATTGGCCGGATATGGTGGCTCATGCCTGTAATCCCAGCACTTTGGGAGGCTGAGGCAGGTGGATCATCTGAGGTCAGGAGTTCAAGACCAGCCTGGCCAACATGGTGAAACCCCATCTCTACTAAAAATACAAAAATTAGCCAGGCATGGTGGTGGGCACCTGTAATCTCAGCTACTCGGGAGGCTGACACAGGAGAATTGCTGGAACCCAGGAAGCAGAGGTTGCAGTGAGCTGAGATTGCGCCATTGCACTCCAGCTTGGGCAACAACAGCGAGACTCCATCTCAAAAAAAAGAAAAGAATTTGGCTCACAATTCTGGAGGCTAGGAAGTCCAAGGCTGAGCAGCACATCTAGTGAGGGCCTCATGCCGTTCAACTCATGGAGTGGGAAAAGAGACAGGCATGAGAGGTGGAGCTCACTTTATAACAATCTGCCTCTCAGAAACAAATTCAGTCCCGCAAGAGTGAAAACTCACTTATTCCCAAGAGAGGGCGTTATCTATTCATGAGGGATCTACCCCCTAACCCAAACACCTCCCCACTTCCCAACACCACCACCTTGGGAATCAACTTTCAATATGAGCTTCAGCTGGGACATACTCGAACCATGGCACTAAATAACAACCTTAAACCACATGGGTTTGAACTGCACGGGTCCACTTATACATGGATTTTCTTCTCCCTCTGCCACCCCCGAGACAGCAAGACCATTCCCTCATCTTCCTTCTCCTCCTCACCCTACTCAATATGAAGATGACAAGGATGAAGACATTTCAGATGATCGACTTCCACTTAATGAAGAGTAAACATATTTTCTCTTTCTTATGATTTTCTTAATAGTTTCTTTTCTCTAGCTTACATTATTGTAAGAATATAGCATATAATATGTATAACAAAAAATATGGGTTAATCAATGGTTTATGTTCTCAGTAAGGCTTCTAGTCAACAGTAGGCTATTAAAGTTTGGGGAGTCAAAAAGTTATATGTGGATTTTGGCTGGGCACGATGGCTCACACCTGTAATCCATGCACTTTGGGAGGCCGAGGCAGGCGGATCACCGAAGGTTGGGAGTTCGAGACCAGCCTGACCAACCTGGAGAAACCCTGTCTCTACTAAAAATACCAAATTACCCGGGTGTGGTGGCGCATGCCTGTAATCCCAGCTACTTGGGAGGCTGAGGCAGGAGAATCACTTGAAACTGGGAGACAGAGGTTGCAGTGAGCCGAGATCGTGGCATTGCACTCCAGCCTAGGCAACAAGAGCAAAACTCCGTCTAAAAAAAAAAAAAAGTTATATGTGGATTTTTGACTGTGTGGGAGTCAGTGCCCCTAATCTCTGTGTTGTTCAAGGGTCAACTATAGGTTGGAGAGTCAACTATAGGTTGAAAATTGGCAGGTCCCTATTCTTTGATGCATATGCTGATTTGTTAATTAAATCTCCGAATTTCTTGGCAATAAATTTAAAACATCGTATTTTTGTACTTTTCTTCTTGATTTTCTATTCAATTCCATTCTTTACTTACTTATCTGTCACCTCAGGATTCAGAAAGTAAGGAAGCAACAGCTGCTGCAGCTGAGGGAGCTGAGCTGGGATCACCACATGGTGCTGGGCGTGGGTATCAGCAAAGGAACAGGAGCCAGAGTTCTAGCAAGGATAGTTTTGGCCACAAACATAGCTCTAGGCAAGGAGAAACTACACAGACACACAGCAGAGTTGGGTACGGGGATGCCGGGGTAGAGTATGGTGTGGCCTGGGACTCCGAAACAAAGTGGAGAGAAATAGGAAGCAGCATTGAAACCTGGAAAATTCATGGGCTTTGGAGTCAGCAAGGTCAGGCTGTGAATCCTGACTTCCTCCACTCATTCGCTACATGACCTTGGGCCTTTTAGTTAACCTCAGTTTTCTTCTAAAATGATTATCATGACTAACCTCATTTCCATCCTTGCAGAACAGTTGTGAAGATTAAATATGTGTATGAAGCACACAGTTTAGCACTTAACAGGCAATCAGTTCTGTCCTGCTTTAAGGCTCATTTACTTCTCGCGGGATCCTCCACGGTTTCCATCAGATCCTTAGAGCTCATGAGGGTTGGATTCCCTGCCCTCCTATGTGCTAGTGCTGTGAGATTAAGGTGCAAACAGGTGCTGCAGAGAGCTGGGGGAACGCCCGCACTGAAAAATCCTTGCTGTGTTTCATTTGCTAGTGATGGGTGATGATTTACCCCACACACTTAAAACAAATTTAGCCTCTGACAGCTTTTGGGGCCTGAAGCCCAGGCCTGGTTTAGCTGGATCCTCTGTTCAGAGTCTCACTGTGTCCAGAATTGGTGGGTTCTTGGTCTCACTGACTTCAAGAATGAAGCCGCAGACCCTCGCGGTGAGTGTTACAGCTCTCAGGGTGGCGCGTCTGGAGTTGTTCATTCCTTCTGATGTTCGGATGTGTTCGTGGTCTCACTGGCTCAGGAGTGAAGCTGCAGACCTTCGCGGTGAGTGTTACAGCTCATAAAAGCAGTGTGGAGCCAAAGAGTGCGCAGTAGCAAGATTTATTGCAAAAAGCGAAAGAACAAAGCTTCCACAGTGGGGAAGGAGACCCCAGCGAGTTGCCACTGCTGGCTCGGGCAGCCTGCGTTTATTCTCTTACCTGGCCCCACCCACATCCTGCTGATTGGTAGAGCCCAGTGGTCTGTTTTGATAGGGCGCTGATTGGTGCGTTTACAATCCCTGAGCTAGACACAAAGGTTCTCCACGTCCTCATCAGATTAGTTAGATACAGAGTGTGGACACAAAGGTTCTCCAAGGCCCCACCAGAGCAGCTAGATACAGAGTGTCGATTGGTGCATTCACAAACCCTGAGCTAGACACAGGGTGCTGATTGGTGTATTTACAATCCCTGAGCTAGACATAAAGGTTCTCCACGTCCCCACCAGACTCAGGAGCCCAGCTGGCTTCACCCAGTGGATCCCGCACCAGGGCCGCAGGTGGAGCTGCCTGCCAGTCCCGGTGCCCTGCTCCCGCACTCCTCAGCCCTTGGGTGGTCGATGGGACTGGGCGCTGTGGAGCAGGGGGCGGCTCTCGTCGGGGAGGCTCGGGCAGCACAGGAGCCCACGGAGTCGGGGGGAGGCTCAGGCATGGCGGGCTGCGGGTCCCGAGCCCTGCCCGGCGGGAAGGCAGCTAAGGCCCGGCGAGAAATTGAGCACGGCAGCTGCTGGCCCAGGTGCTAAGCCCCTCACTGCCCGGGGCCGGTGGGGCCGGCCGGCCGCTCCGAGTGTGGGGTCGGCCGAGTTCACGCCCACCTGGAACTCCAGCTGGCCCGCAAGCACTGCGCACAGCCCGGGTTCCCGCCCGCGCCTCTCCCTCCACACCTCCCCGCAAGCTGAGGGAGCCGGCTCCAGCCTTGGCCAGCCCAGAAACGGGCTCCCACAGTGCAGCGGTGGGCTGAAGGGCTCCTCAAGTGCCATCCAAGTGGGATCCCAGGCAGAGGAGGTGCCGAGAGCGAGAGAGGGCTGTGAGGACTGCCAGCACGCTGTCACCTCTCATCACCACCTAAAATCAAGGTACTGGCTGGGCTCTGTGTGTGTGTGTGTTGTAGAGAAGGAGTCTCACTATGTTGTCCAGGCTGGTCTTGAACTCCTGGCCTCAAGCAATCCTCTCACCTCTGCCTCCCAAACGCCTGTGAAATCAGCTCTTGATTCACTTGGAAATTCACCAGATGAATTTTCTTCTTGCCAGACTTAAATATTCTACAGGGGTGAGCCACTGTGCCTGGCCCTACAGGGGTGAGCCAATGTACCTGTGCCCTACAGGGGTGAGCCACTGTGCCTGGCCTTGGGACTGTGTTCTCATCTGGAGGTTTGACTCCAAAATAAACTGTTTCCAAGTTCATAAAGGTTATTGGCAGGATTCATTTCCTTGTAGCGTGGGACTGAAGTCCCTCTGTTCTTTTCTGGCTGTTGGACAGGACCCATCGTAGCATCTGCAGGTCACCCTCACCCTTGCCACCTGGCCCCACACAGGCAGTTCAAAATGAGGCAATTTGCTTCTCAAAGCTCAGCAGGAGGATCTTGCTCACGTCAAACACCTGCTTCCTTCCAGGAAGGCCTGGACTCTTTTAAAAAGCTCACCTGATCAGGTCAAGCTCACTTAGGATCGTTTCCTTTTTAAAAAATTAACTCAAAGTAAATTGATTAGAGACCTTAGTTACATCTGCAAAACCTCTTCATTTCTGCCATACAGCCTCTGCCCCAATCCTGGGAGTGAGATCCCATCATACTGACACGTCCTGCCCACTTGCAGGGGGATGCAAGCACACCAGGAATGCCCACCAGGGTGCAGGGATTTGGGGGCTACCTCCAAATTCCACCTCCCAGACCTGCTTAGCCATGCCCAGGTCCAAGAAGACTGGGGGCCACGCCTTAACAACGCGTGAGGAACGCTGGGAAGATGCCTGGGAATCGGCTCCTGATTCACTTGGAAATTCACCAGGTGAATTTTCTTCTTGCCAGATTTACATTTTCTACAAAATCCCGGCAGAAATAATAGATGTCACACGCTGTAAGAATATCGTCTTTCTGGGAAACATTATGCCCCGAGAAAGCATCTCACCCTCCCAGACCCCTGCCCTTCCGTTTTCCCGACAGAACATCTTAAGTGGTCGTGTGCAGCCAGAGGAACACGGGGCACAGGGCCTGAGATCTAATTTTGGAAATCCCCTCCATCTAAATATGGGGAAACTGAGGCCCAGAACGGACCAAGCTCATGCAGCCCCTGCTCTGGGTCTCTTGTAGTGCTGCCTTGACTGAGATTTCCGTGGGCTGGTTGGGCCTGGCTGTCAGAGGAGAGAAGTATCAACTCATTAGGATTCCTAGCAACTGGGCAGCAGCTAGAAAATGGGAAACAGACTAGCCAGTGTGGATGGCTGGGACATTTTCCATGTAACATTAAAATTCCTGAATGACTACAGCTGTGAAGAGACATTGGTGAGAATTGTTTTCAAATTACTTGAAGTTGAATTAATTGAGAATTTCTTTAGTATAAAATCTTTATTTTTTTTTTTTGAGACAGGGTGTCCCTCTGTCACCCAGGCTGGGGTCCAGTGATGCAATCACAGCTTACTGCAGCCTCAACCTCCCAGACTCAGGCGATCTTCCTGCCTCAGCCTCCTGAATAGCTGGAACTACAGGTGCATGCCACCACCCTTGGCTATTTTTTTTTTTTGAAACGGAATCTTGCTCTGTTGCCCAGGCTAGAGGGTAGTGGCATGATCTCAGTTCACTGCAACTTCTGCCTCCTGGGTTCAAGCAATTCTCCTGCCTCAGCTTCCTGAGTAGCTGGGGTTACAGGCACGCACCACCACGCCCAGCTAATTTTTGTATTTTTAGTAGAGACGGGGTTTCACCATGTTGGCCAGGCTGGTCTTGAACTCCTGACTTCAGGTGATCTGCCCACCTTGGCCTCCCAGAGTGCTGGGACCACAGGCATGAGCCACTGCACCCAGCCGCCTAGCTATTTTTTAAAAAGATTACTTGTAGAGATGGGGTCTCACTATGTTGCCCCGGCTGGTCTTGATCTCCCATGCTCAAGCGATCCTTCTGCCTCAGCCTTCCAAAATGCTAGGATTACAGGTATGAGCCACTGCACCTAGCTCCCTTTTTTCTCATTTGTAATAGAAAAATAAATTTTGTATTTGTATTAATAATGTCCATGAGGCGTGCCACATTTTGAAGGTAAGTAGCTTACAAAGCCTCTCAAGGTCTATTTGAATTAAAACGGCTACAAAATTATCTTGCTTGTTATTCTCTGTGCAGATGGCTGACATCAGATAGCTCTGCTTGTCTTCACTGCCCTCACCCCTCCAAATGATGTCTACATCTCTTTTAGGCTAAGCTTTTTAGTGAAACTTGATAGCATGAGTTTTCTCTTAGGGAAGACGCCCCCGTGATGACTGAGTAGGGTTAGACTTGAGAAAGAATTGTGGGATTCGAAACTGAGATTTTAAAAGTCAGATGGGAAGAGCGGCTCTTGGCGTGTGCAGGGTAGATCCCATAACCCGTCCTAGCCCAGGTCTCCAGTGCGTGGGAATAGAAAGAGTGAAACGGTGTTACTGTGCACTCATTTTAGTAAGTGGTGCCTTTGGCTGAGCTGAGCACTGGAACCATGCTGGCTTCAGAGGGATTCTCAGTGGTGCTGGGACCAGAGCCAGACCCCAAGGATATGAAGGCATCAGAATTCTCATGCGCTGTTGTTGGGAATGCAAAATTGGGCAGCCACTTGGGAATTCAGTTTGGTGGTTAAGTTAAACATGCACTTACTGAATGAGCCAGCCATTCTACTCCTAGCTATTCAAGAGAAATAAAAGTATATATCTACGAGACTTGAACATGAATGTTTAAAGCACCATATTCATAATAGCACAAAAAGAAAACAACACAAATGTCCACTCAGGGGAAAATGGACAAACGAATTGAGGTATAGTCATACAATGGAATAGCATTCACCAATCAAAAAGGACGAACTACTAATACACAGAATGTGGATGGATATCCGAACTATGCTGCTGAATGAAAGAGACCCAAGAGTACATACTCTATTATTTCATTTATTTAGAAGTTCATTTATATGAAGGCAAAAACCAAGCCAAAGCAAGAGAAATCAGATGAATGCTTGCCTGGGGCAGGGATTAGGAGTGTCTCAGCTATAACGAGGCACAGGGAGATTGGAGGGGTCAGGAAAGTGTCCTATATCTTGGTGGTGGTAATAGCTACACAGGTGTATACATTTGTTAAGACTCATGAAACTAATCTTAAATGAGTGCATTTTATTATATGTAAAGTATCCATTATTGTATGAATATCAAACCCCAATAACGTTGATTTTTAAAAATGAACCAGATACGGAGTTTCCACTGGAGAAAACCCTGACGTAGATCACTCTGTGTGTCTCTAGAGACAACTGAAACTGATGCCGTGTTTCTCACCTCCAGTGAAATTCCTATTTAATTGATACAAAAATACTACAAGGACCAAAATGGAGCATGTGCTTTTCTATTCTTCCTGCTGAGTGTAGCTAGAAAGCCTAGACATTGTTTATAAGACAAATATCAGAAGACTCTGAAAGTGGATGCAGCAAGGAAGGCTATGTAGGGACCTGGGAACCCAGGGCATGACACGGCAGTGAGTGAGCCACTGAGTTTTCTTTTTGTCTCACGTATCTTGGGTTGGACACTGGAGAAGCTGGCAACCCAGAAACACCAATGGGCATGGATTAAAAAAAGAAAAAAGCCAAAGAAAGCCTGCTATGTCTAGCTAAGGACCAGGAAACAGGCAGCCTGGCAAGATGGAAAACTTTTAGACAATAACCACGCTACTCCAGCCAAACACCACAAAAAAAACAAAAAACAAAAACAAAAAAACCCTTGGCTCCACTTCTGCCCTGTCAGCAAAGACACCCCCAAGCAACAGAGCTTGTTCTCCCTGAAGTGGGTACTGTTTTTTCTAAGAAAAATTAACATTTTTCAATTACACTGGCTATGCTTTGAGGTAATTCATGGCTAATGACAATAATAAAATAGTAACGGTGCCTTCTTCTGGGGGAGCTAATATATCCAAATTGTCCTTATAAGACTCCTTCTGTAACGACTATATTGCTAGCTCTCCAATCCAAGTCTTTGCTATTCCACATTCTCAGATTGGACCCTAGATTTAAAGAAAAAAATAACCAGTCTTCTCTGACAACCCCAAGTTCGGGGGGGGGATGGGAAATACTTAGTAAACTGTCAGGCTAACTTAGTATCCAAATTCTGTTTGGCACTACTTAGATGGTCATTTGGCAATGCCAAAGGGTTTACTTGCCCTTCTCACTAATTTAAGTTGTGGCCTGGCACACATGAACGAAGATGGGATTCTGAGAATAATTACGTGTGATTAAGAAGCTCCATCGTTTTTCTGGTGTGGCCCAACAGGACTGGGCCAGCTGCCCTATTTTTCAGATCCACAGAGCGAGAAAAATTTAAAGACAAAGAAGGCAGCTCATCCTTCTCCTTAAAGGAAATTTCTAGTTATTCAGATTTAACCTACTCAAATAAAAATGTTATTCTTACAAATGTATGCTTTAGTAATTGTATCTTTTCAGGATGAATAGAAGCAACTCATACACAAATATCTGTCAGTTAATGCTGTCAAAGACTATTCTGGGTTGGAAATACCTTGTCATTAAAAGTGAATAGGCCAGGAAAAAGAAAAGAAGGTAGAAAAAAAAAAAAAAAAGTGAATAGGCTGGGCGTGGTGGTGTAGGCCTGGAGGATCGCTGGAGACTCCAGAGACCCTGTGTCAGGAAGAAAAAAAAAAAAAAAAAAAAATGGTGTGGGGGAGTGCTCCTTGTAGGACAGTGTGAACAGGGTTATTTATTTATTTATTTATTTATTTATTTATTTATTTATTTTTGAGTCTGAGTTTCACTCTTGTCACCCAGGCTGGAGTGCAGTGGCGTGATCTTGGCTCACTGCAACCTCTGCCTCCCGGTCTCAAGTGATTCTCCTGCCTCAAGTGATTCTCCTGCCTCAGCCTGCCGAGTAGCTGTGATTACAAGTGTGTGCCTCCATGCCCGGCTAGTTTTTGTATTTTTAGTAGAGATGGGCTTTCACCACACTGGCCAGGCTGGTCACGAACTCCTGACCTCAGGTGATCCACCAGCCTCAGCCTCCCAAAGTGCTGGGATTACAGACGTGAGCCACCGTGCCTGGCCGTGAACAGGGTTTTTAAAGCCCTATAGCATCAACAATGCTTCCACTATCCACATCATCCAGGAAAATATCCAAATGGCATTTTGAGAAATAAACTTGCCACGATATGTCTTCAGATGAACCCTGCCCATAGCTCTCATGAATATGAAATTTACAGCTTTAAAGGTTAGCACTCTCGGCCAGGCGCAGTGGCTCACACTTGCAATTCCAGCACTGTGGGAGGCTGAGGTGGGCGGATCACGAGGTCAGGAGTTGGAGACCAGCCTGACCAACATGGTGAAACCCCATCTCTGCTAAAGATACAAAAAATTAGCTGGGCGTGGTGGTGCGCACCTGTAATCCCAGCTACTCAGGAGGCTGAGGCAGGAGAATTGCTTGAACCCAGGAGATGGAGGTTGCAGTGAGCCAAGATCGCACCACTGGACCCCAGCCTGGACAACAGAGCCAGACTCCATCTCAAAAAAAAAAAAAAAAAAAAAAGATTAACACTCTCCCTGCATTGCATGAAATATTCATTTGTAGGACTTTGGGTCTTCTAGATATTTTGGCAGAATATACAGGAGCTAAATGGTATTGTGTTGGATCATAATGGCATATTATGGATTATAACAGTGGTCCCCAAGCTTTTTGACACCAGGGACCGGTTTTGTGAAAGACAAGTTTTCCACAGGGGGTGGAGGGGTGGGGGATGGATTTGGGATGAAACTGTTCCACTTCAGATCATCAGGCATTAGATTCTCATAAGGAGTGTGCAACCTACATCCCTGCCATGCACAGTTCACAATAGGGCTCGAGTTCCTATGAGAATCTAATGCTGCTGTTGATCTGACAGGAGGTGGAGCTCAGGTAATGATGTGAGCGATGGAGAGCAGCTATAAATACAGAAGAAGCTTTGCTCCCTTGCCAACCACTCACCTCCAGCTGTGCAGCTGTGCAGCCCAGTTCCTAATAGGCCATGGACCAGTATCAGTTTGTGGCCTGGGGGTTGGAGACCCCTGGATTAAAATATATATGAGATGTGACATATCATTCACAAGTGAGAGAAGATCTACCAAGTTATTTGCATACTCATGAAGTGACATGGTTTCACACTGGGGTCCATCAGTGGAAAACATTGTTTAAACCTCACTGCTGGCTGGGTACAGTGGCTCACGCCTGTATCCCAGCACTTTGGGAGGCTGAGGCGGGCAGATCACAAGGTCAGGAGTTCAAGACCAGCCTGGCCAATATGGTGAAACCCCATCTCTACTAAAAATACAAAAATTAGCCAGGCGTGGTGGCGGGTGCCTGTAATCCCAGCTACTCAGGAAGCTGAGGCAGAAGAATTGCTTGAACCCAGGAGGTGGAGGTTGCAGTGAGCTGTGATTGCACCACTGCACTCCAGCCTGGGTGACAGAGCGAGACTCTGTCTCAAAACAAAACAAAACAAAAACTCACTGCTAAGATGGCTTAGTAAGACTCTGTCTCAAAAAAACAAAAGCAAAAAAAACCTCACTGCTAAGATGGCTTAGTACCTGGTGTCAAGTCTGACTTGTTTTTTTTTTTTTTTTGTCACCCAGGCTGGAGTGTAGTGGTGTGATCACAGCTCATTGCAGCCTCAATCTCCCAGGCTCAAGTGATCCTCTTGCCTCAGCCTCCCAAGTAGCTGGGACTACAGGCATGTGCCAGCACACTCAATTACTTTTCTTTAAAAACATTTTTGTACGGATGGGGACTCACTATGTTGCCTGGCTCATATCAAACTCCTGGGCTCAAGCGATCCTCCTGCCTTGTCCTCCCCAAGTGCTGAAGTTACAGGTGTGAGCTACCACATGCAGCTGAATTCTTATATCTTAAATCCCTACCTCCCACGATAAGCAGATGTTACTCCCACTTATTTTATAACTTTTTGCTCTTTATGTCTCTTTTTGTCCCTGGACACAGGGATTAGCAACCCACTCTCCACCAAATTTCAAGTCACTAGGGGCATTATGCTATGTCCCAGGAGTGGCCAAGGCTTCAAGGACCAATGATAGACCTGCTGCTCTAACCTAGGCCTGCTGAGGAGTACAATTCAACCTGTGTTTCTGTGTGGTTCAGCAATCTTGCTGAGCTCCTCTAAGTCAGTCCATCCTGCCACAGCTGGGAAGAATCAAGAAACTCTCCAAGAAGACGTTTATTGGTTGATAAAAATCTGTTTATCTGCCTGTTGCCAATGAGAAGACAGGTCTGCTGACCATGGCAGGCATGGCAGCACGTGACACCGTGTTTGCTGCTCACTGCATGTTCCACCTGAACTTTCCCGTCCGGTCAATGAGTCTTGACAGTGGGGTGAAGGGGACTCACTCTCAAAGACCAAGGCTGACCCGCTTTGAGTACAATGCCTTGACCTAGTTACTGTCACTGTGGTTTTGTCTTCAGGAACTAAAAGGTACAATAAAAACTTGTTCATTTAATTGTCCTGTTGATGTACAAAATACTTAAATGCTTCTACATAGGTCTGCTCTTCTGCGCCACAGAGCACTAAGGGAAAGTCCCCACAATACACATGCCTTTCACCTGAGCTGCTACGTGTGACAGTTGAGCAACTAAAGGTTAAAAAAAAAAAAAAAGCTCCCCAAATGCTGTGGGTGTGACAGCTGGTCCAGCTTCACAGTCTGTACTTTCCCTCTCTAACAGCATGGAAAAATACAGAGATAGCTAGCAACTGATGCCCTAGTGTGCCTAGCCATCGATGAATCTGTGTGATTAGAAACCAGCATTTAACCATACCCCAGATACATTAAAAATCAACCCCACACTGGTAGACTGTAATGCCACTTTGCTTCCAGATGGCAGTTACAATTGGCAAGGAAATACCTAGTTTACAGGAGGCATTGCTACTTATGTTGTTGCAGAAATTGAACCCTTAGAAGAATGTATTCTGGACTTTCTGACCTGGTTACTAACAAACAGTGAACAATATCTAAGAATACACTTGGAACAGAAATGTGAGAAACCAAAAGTAAGAGATATTATGAAGAATCAAATTTAAAATGACACACTGCTAAAGAGGCAACAAAGAAAATTGTAGAATAAGAAAATGACAAGAAGCACTATGTCTTAGTGCATTTGTGCTACTGTATAGCGAAATACACTAGACTGGGTAATTTCTAAAGAACAGAAATGTATTTCCCACAGTTCCATAGGCTGGAAGTCCAAGATCAAGATGCCAGCAGGAGTGGTGTCTGGTGACGGCCTGGTCTCTGCATCCAAGATGGCGCCTTGAGCACTGTGTCTTCAGGAGGGGATGCACTGTGTCCTCACATGGCAGAAGGCAGAAGGGCAAAACAGGGGAAGCCCACTCCCTCTAGCCCTTGTGTAAGGACCCTAAATCCACTCATGAAGACTCTCCCTTCATGACTGAATCACTTCCTAACAGCCCTACTTCCTAATACTATGACATTGGTGATGAATTGTAGAAGGACACATTCAGACCATAGCACCCTATATTCAATTTCTTAAAAATTATTTTGGGCCGGCACGGTGGCTCATGCCTGTAATCCCAGCACTTTGGGAGGCTGAGGTGGGCAGATCATGAGGTCAGGAGATCGAGACCATCCTGGCTAACATGGTGAAACCTTATCTCGACTAAAAATATAAAAAATTAGCCAGGCGTGGTGGTGCACACCTGTAGTCCCAGCTACTCAGGAGGCTGAGGCAGGAGAATCACTTGAGCCTGAGAGGCGGAGGTTGCAGTGGGCCGAGATTGTGCCACTGCACTCCAGCCTGGCCGACAGCGAGACTCTGTCTCAAAAATTAAAAAAAAAAAAAATAAATAAAATTATTTTGTTGTTTTGCTTTTCTGTTTTTCAAATGACTTAAAGTGCAAAAACTGGATTAATCATAATCCTTGGCTCATAGCTTACCTTGGCTTCTATTTCATCCTGTCTGTGCCTAAGCCTCTATGTAAATGTATTTGAATGTATTTGAATAAAATGTAATCACTTGTGAACCCACCACACAACCCAAGAACTAGGATCTGATCCTAACATCTGCTCCTCTTCTGTCCTTTTTCCTGATTCACACCCTTCAGCCCCAGGGGGAACTACTACCCTGAATTTATGTTTAGGATTCCCTTCCTTAAAAAAAAAAAATTGTTTTATTGCGTATATATGATTGCCCGAGAAAATATATTATTCAGTTTTTTAAGTGTATAATTTATTTACTCATTCTCCTATTAATTTACCCATTCTCCTATTAATGAACATTTGGCTTATATCCAGAATTTTGCTATTATGAATGGCATTACATGAGCATTTCTTTTCTTTTTTTACTACTTCTGGCACACATGGGCAAGAGTTTCTCCAGGGCTTATGGTACATGAATTACTGTGACATAACATATGAGAATGCTCAACTTTATAAGATAATCCAAATTGTTTTCCAAAGTGGTTGTTCTAATTTAAACTCTCACCTCTTGTATTAGTTCGAGACAATCTTGTTGATCCGCAGTCTCTCCATATTTGGTGATATGGTTTGGCTATGTCCCCACCCAAATATCAGCTTGAATTGTGTCTCCCAGAATTCCCACGTGTTGTGGGAGGGACCCAGGGTGAGGTAATTGAATCATGGGGATCGGTCTTTCCTGTGCTATTCTCGTGATAGTGAATAAGTCTCATGAGATCTGATGGGTTTATCAGGGGTTTCTGCTTTGACTTCCTCCTCACTTTCTCTTGCTGCCACCATGTAAGAAGCGCCTTTTGCCTCCTGCCATGACTTTGAGGCCTCCCCAGCCATGTGAAATTGTAAATCCAATTAAACCTCTTTTTCTTCCCAGTATCGTGTATGTCTTTATCAGCAGTGTCAAAACAGACTAATACAGTAAATTGATACCAGTGGAGTGGGGTGTTGCTGATGAGATACCCAAAAATGTGGAAGCAACTTTGAAACTGGGTAACAGGCAGAGGTTGGAACAGTTTGGAGGGCTCAGAAGAAGACAGGAAAATGTGGGGAAGTTTGGAACTTCCTAGAGACTTGTTGAATGGCTTTGACAAAAATGCTGATAGTGATATGGACAATAAGGTCCAGGCTGAGGTGGTCTCAGATGGAGATGGGGAATTTGTTGGGAACTGGCGCAAAGGTGACTCTTGTTATGTTTTAGCAAAGAGACTGACAGCATTTTGCCCCTGCCCTAGAGATTTGTGGAAGTTTGAACTTGAGAGAGATGATTTATTATATCTGGTGGAAGAAATTTCTAAGCAGTAAAGCATTCAAGAGGTGACTTGGGTGATGTTAAAGGCATTCAGTTTTATAAAGGAAGCAGAGCATAAAAGTTTGGAAAATTTGCAGCCTGACAGTGTGATAGAAAAGAAAATCCCATTTTCTGAGGATATACTCAAGCTGGCTGCATAAGTAACAAGAAGCTGAATGTTAATCCCCAAGACAATGGGGAAAATGTCTCCAGGGCATGTTGGAGGTCATCACAGCAACCCCTCCCATCACAGGCCCGGAGGCCTAGGAGGAAAAAAATGGTTTTGTGGGCCGGGCCCAGGATCGCTGTGCTGTGTGCAGCCTAGGGCCTCCGTGCTCTGCATTTCAGCCGTTCCAGCCACGGCTGAAAGGGGCCAACATAGAACTCAGGCCATGGTTTTGACAGTACAAGCACCAAGCCTTGGCAGCTTCCATGTTGTGTTGAGCCTGCACATGCAAAGAAGTCAAGAATTGAGCTTTGGGAACCTCCACCTAGATTTCAGAGGATGTATGGAAACGCCTGGATGTCCAAGCAGAAGTTTGCTGCAGGGGTGGGGCACTCAGGGAGAACCTCTGCTAGGGCAGTGCAGAAGGGAAACGTGGGGTTGGAACCCCTACACAGAGTCCCTACTGGGGCACTGCTTAGTGGAGCTGTGAGAAGAGGGCCACCATCCTCCAGACCCTAGAATGGTAGATTCACTGACAGCTTGCACTGTGAGTCTGGAAAAGCTGCAGACACTCAATGTCAGCCCGTGAAAGCAGCTGGGGAGGGGGGCTGTACCCTGCAAAGCCGCAGGGGCAGAACTACCCAAGGCCGTGGGAGCCTACCTCTTGCATCAGCATGACCTGGATGTGAATCATGGAGTCAAAGGAGATCATTTTGGAACTTTAAAATTTGACTGCCCTGCTGGATTTTGGACTTGCAAGGGCCCTGTAACCCCTTTGTTGTGCCGAATTTCTCCCATTTGGAACATCTGTATTTACCCAATTACCTGTACCCCCATTGTATCTAGGAAGTAACTAGCTTGCATTTGAGTTTACAGGCTCATAGGCCGAAGGGACTTGCCTTGTCTCAGATGAGACTTTGGACAGTTGACATTTGGGTTAATGCTGAAATGAGTTAAGACTATGGGGGACTGTTGGGAAGGCATGATTGGTTTTGAAATGTGAGGACATGAGATTTGGAGGGGCCAGGGGTGGAATAATATGGTTTGGCTGTGTCCCCACCCAAATCTCAACTTGAATTATATCTACCAGAATTCCCACATGTTGTGGGAGGGACCCAGGGGGAGGTAATTGAATCATGGGGGCCAATCTTTCCTGTGCTATTCTTGTGATAGTGAATAAGTCTCATGAGATCTGATGGGTTATCAGGGTTTCTGCTTTTGCTTCCTTCTCGTTTTCTCTTGCCGCCACCATGTGAGTTGTGCCTTTCATTCTCTGCCATGACTCTGAGGCCTCCCCAGCCCTGTGGAACCATAAGACCAATTAAGCCTCTTTTTCTTCCCAGTCTCAGGTATGTCTTTATCAGCAGTGTGAAAATGGACTAATACATTTGGTATTGTTAGACTTCTTAATATTTGTGGAGAGAATAGATATGTAGTATCTTATGCATTTTCCTGATTACTAATGAGGGTGAGAAAATTTTTATGTTTTGGGGGCTGTTTTCTCTTTTGTGAAATCCCTATTAATGTCTTTTCCCAATTTTCTGTTGGGTTGCTACTTTAAAAATGAATTCATGGGAGCTCCTTATGCTTTGTTGATATGATATTAATCTTGTGTAGGTTTTAGGTACTGCAAATATCTTCTTCCAGTTTATAGTTTATCTTTTCACTCTTTTTATTTTTTTAACTTTTAATTTTTTTTTTTTGAGACGGAGTCTCGCTCTGTCACCCAGGCTGGAGTGCAGTGGCTCACTGCAACCTCCGTCTCCCTGGTTTAGATGATTCTTGTGCCTCAACCTCCCAAGTAGCTGGGATTACAGGTGTCTTCCACCAATGTCTTGCTAATTTCTTGTATTTTTAGTAGAGACGGGGTTTCACTATGTTGGCCAGGCTGGTCTCAAACTCCTGACCTCAGGTGATCCGCCTGCCTCAGCATCCCGAAGTTTTGGGATTACAGGCGTGAGCCACCGCGCCCGGCTTATCTTTTCACTTTTTGATGTAAGAAGGTCTTAATTTTGTGATAGTCAAAATTTCTAATCTTTTTTGATGGTTAAATGCCTTTTTGTGTCTCATTCACTTACATTTTGTAATAAAAGTTTTAAAGTTTTGTTTCTGACATGTAAGTCTTGGTCCATCTGGAATTTAATGTTTGTATATAGAGTGAAGTAGGAATATAATTTCATTTTGTTTCCTATATCAATAACCATTATTTTTCTATTCTATTTATTGAAAAGTCCTTCCTTTCCTTGCTGATCTGCCATGTGATCTACATCACATATCAAAGATTAAATTTATGGAGATTTGTTTGGGAGCTCTCTATCTGTTTCATTGGTCAGTTTATCAGTTAAGACCACACTGTCTTAATTGCCACAGCTTTATAAAAGTTCTGATATTTGGCAGGATAAATCTTTCCTCTTCTTCAATAATGTCTTTGATATTCTTGGCCCTTTCCCTTTTCCATATATATATATATATATATATATATATATATAAAATTATATAATAGAGAGAGAGACAGGGTCTCACTCTGTTGCCCAGGCTGGAGTACAGTGGTGCAATCGTAGCTCACTGCAGACTTGAACTCCTGGGCTCAAGAGCTCCTCCTACCTCAGCCTCCCAGGTAACTAGGACTCTAGGCATGCACCACCACATACAGCTATTTTTTTAAAACATGACTATTTCTTTTTGTAAAGATAGGGATCTTGCTATGCTACCCAGGCTGGTCTCAAACTTTTGGCCTCAACCAATCCTCCTCCCTCAGATTCCCAAAGTGCTGGGATTACAAGTGTGAGCTACCACACCTGGCTCTATTTTCCATATTTTAAGACCATATTTTAAAAGCTGCTCAACCCTGCTTTTTTCTCTTGGTGCTACTTGTAACTCCCTTACTTAGCCTTGGAAATACTGTTAGTGAAGAAAATCTAAAGAATAGAAAAATAAAATATTTTTTTTCTTCCAATTGCAAAAGAACAGATGCCCTCCTGAATCATAAAGCTAGTTGTGATAAATTGGTGAACTGAGAGCCTACACAGTAGTATTAATTCTGTTCTAATTTCTGCCTAACTGTGGAGTCTCATCACATAGTCTTAAAAGATTATTGCTATGAAATATTCTTATACATGTAACCCATAACCCCTGCAGTTGCCATTGGTTGTCTTACCTAATAATCAATTGCTCCGCTTCATAATATTTAAATTGGCATCTCCATTTTCCAAAAGGCATAAATACTAGTATAGTTTTTTAGTTAAGCCAGAAGAAAGTCCACTTCATTTTTTATTTTATTTTATTTATATATTTTTTTGAGACAGAGTCTCACTCTGTCGCCCAGGCTAGAGTGCAGTGGCGTGATCTCGGCTCACTGCAACCTCTGCCTCCCAAGTTTAAGCAATTCTCCTGTCTTAGTCTCCCGAGTAGCTGGGACTACATGCACCCGCTACCACGCCTGGCTAATTTTTTTTGTATTTTTAGTAGGGACAGGGTTTCACAGTGTTAGCCAGGATGGTCTTGATCTCCTGACCTCATGATCCACCCACCTCAGCCTCCCAAAGTGCTGGGATTACAGGCGTGAGCCACCTCGTCTGGCCAGAAAGTCCACTTTATTTACTAACGTAACTTATACGTAAAGGCTTAATAAATCTCCCTGCTTCTTTTCTTTCGCATCTTAACAACCACTGAAAATAATATTTCTATAGCAGTTGAGGGTAAATGGACAATGGCTTTTGTGGCCAGAGGTGAATGGCCCAGGGGCTCCAGCACTCCAGGTCCCACTGAGCCTGCCCCACGGCTGAGGGCATCGGTATTTCCACACACCTATAATGCTCGGTGCCCCAGAACAGAGATCGGATGCTCTCCTTTATTCAAATGGCGAGTTGAGGGTATTGTAACTGTAATTTAATTAATAAATATGTACACACTGTTAAAATCTGGTTGGATTTGTGTCCCTTCGCAAAACAAATTGCTGAAATGAAACCACAGAGTTAACATAATTGAGTACGTCTGCTTCTATGAGAGGCTGTTCTAAAATCTAATTAGAATCTAATTTGAAATGTCAATAAAAAGTTTAAATATTCAACTCAATTATTTTTAGATTATTTTAGTTATTTTTATTACTTTATTGTTATAAAATGCTTGTTTTTAAAAAATGAATCAATATAAAAAAGAAGAAGATGACCAATAAGCATTCCCACCTCCATGATCTAGAAATAGCTGTCATCAATCCAGGAAAACACCATGCCATTCTCTCTCCTCTTGGCACATGCACAGACAGATAGAAGGATGGGAAAATAGACAGGTGGGCCGGGCATGGTGGCTCAGGCCTGTAATACCGGCACTTTGGGAGGCCGAGGCGGGTGGATCACCTGAGGTCAGGAGTTTGAGACCAGCCTAGCCAACATGGTGAAACCCCATCTCTACTTAAAATAAACACACACACACACACACACACACACACACACACACACACACACACACAATATTAGCCAGGCGTGGTGGTGGGCGCCTGTAATCCCAGCTACTCAGGAGGCTGAGGCAGGAGAATCGCTTGAACCCGGGAGGTGGAGGTTGCAGTGAGCCAAGATCGCGCCATTGCACTCCAGCCTGGACAACAGAGTGAGACTCCATCTCAAAAAAAAAAAAAAGAAAAGAAAAATAGACGAGGAAAGATGGATAGACAAAAATAATTCTGCATAAATGAGACTGCTACAGTGCTCATTTGTATAAAAAGCATTAATTTGCATTTGTTTGCATTTTGAAGCTCTGTTGTTGGATGCATACATTCAGGATCTCTGTCTTTTTGATGATTTTTAAATCATTATGTAATGTGTCTCTTTACATAAAGATTTTTAAATTATAATGTAATGTTTCTTATTACATTATGTAATGTCCTTATTAACTTTTTTTGGAAATCTATTTTATCTGTTATCAATACAACCACTTTTGGGTTTTTTTTTTTTTTTTTTTTTTTTTGAGACGGAGTTTCACTCTTGTTGCCCAGGCTGGAGTGCAGTGGTGCAATCTCGGCTCACTGCAACCTCTGCCTCCTGGGTTCAAGTGATTCTCCTGCCTCAGCCTCCTGAGTAGCTGGGATTAGAGGCATGTGCCACCACGCCCGGCTAATTTTTGTATTTTTAGTAGAGACGGGGTTTCTCCATGTTGGTCAGGCTGGTCTCGAACTCCCAACCTCAGGTGATCCTCCTGCCTTGGCCTCCCAAAGTGCTGGGATTACAGGCATGAGCCACCACGCCTGGCCAACTCTTGCTTATTACTGATGTTAGCATAACATATCTTTTTTCTTTTCTTTTCTTCTCTTTTCTTTTCTTTCTTTTCTTTTCTTTTCTTTTTTTTTTTAGTGTCAACTTATTTATGCTGTATTTGAAGTGAGGTTCTTGTAGATGGCATGTAGTTGGGTTATGTTTTATTTTCTTTAAACTGCCATCTCTATTCTTTACATCAAAGGTAAATTGATAGACCATGTACTTTTAAAGTAATTCTTGATGTGTTAGAGCTTAATTCTGCCATTTTATTATTTGTTTTCTGTTTGTTTCCTGTTTCCCTGTTCTAGTCTTCCCATGGGATACTTGATCACTTTTAAAATTCCATCTTGTTTAATTTATACTGTATTTGAGTATATCACTTTACATAGCTCTCTCGGTGGTTGCTGTAGGTATTACAGTATATATCTATAACTTAGCCTATTGCTATCAACATTTAACTCCTTGCAGTGGAGCATTGAAAACTTACTTTCATTTAGGTCTTTATCCTCTCTACTTTTTAGGTATAATTCTTTCAAATATTTATTTTTTTATATTGAGCATTCCAACATATGCTATTACAATTTTTGCTTTAATCATCAAATATGATTTCAGAAATTCATAAGAAGAAGGCAAGTCTATTATATTTATCTTTAGTTTTACTCATTCCATGGTTCTTACTTTCCTCTCAAGTTCTTGGCCTTCTTCTGTTATCATTTCCTTTCTATCTGGAAAAATTACTTCAGCTATTCTTTAGTGGTAGGCGTGCTAGTGACAAATTCTCTTTGTTTTCTTTGGTCTGAGGGCGTTTTCATTTATTTCCCCTTCCTTTCTGAAGAATATTTTCTTTGAATATAGAATGTGCAGTTGACGTTTTCTTTCAGACTTGCAAATTGTCACGTCACCTCCTCTGGCCTCTGTGATTTTGGATGATTTCTGTTGTTATTTGGGTTGGTGTTCCCCTGCAGGAAACGTTTCATTTCTTACTGATTGTTTTTAAGATTGCTTTCTTTGTTAAAAAGTCAGGAAACAACAGGTGCTGGAGAGGATGTGGAGAAATAGGAACACTTTTACACTGTTGGTGGGACTGTAAACTAGTTCAACCATTGTGGAAGTCAGTGTGGCGATTCCTCGGGGATCTAGAACTAGAAATACCATTTGACCCAGCCATCCCATTACTGGGTATATGCCCAAAGAATTATAAATCATGCTGCTATAAAGACATATGCACACGTGTGTTTATTGCGGCACTATTCACAATAGCAAAGACTTGGAACCAACCCAAATGTCCAACAATGATAGACTGGATTAAGAAAATGTGGCACATATACACCATGGAGTACTATGCAGCCATAAAAAATGATGAGTTCATGTCCTTTGTAGGGACATGGATGAAGCTGGAAACCATCATTGTCAGCAAACTATCGCAAGGACAAAAAACCAAACACCGCGTGTTCTCACTCATAGGTGGGAATTGAACAATGAGAACACATGGACACAGGAAGGGGAACATCACACACTGGGGCCTGTTGTGGGGTGGGGGGAGGGGGGAGGGATAGCATTAGGAGATATACCTAATGTTAAATGACGAGTTAATGGGTGCAGCACACCAACATGGCACATGTATACATATGTAACAAACCTGCATGTTGTGCACATGTACCCTAAAACTTAAAGTATAATAAAAAAAAAGAAAAAAAAACAAAATAAAAAAAAAGATTGCTTTCTTTGCCTTTTGCTTTTGGAAGTTTGATTATGATGTGTCTTGGTAGGGACTGCTTTGGATTTATTTAACTTGGAGTTCACTCAGATTTTCTTGAATCTGAAGACTTATGTCTTTCACCAAATTTGGGATGTTTTCAGCTGTTATTTCTCTAAATTCTTTTTTCAGCTTCTTATGATGTCTTTTCTCCTTGTATGACTCCAGTGAAATGAACGCTAGAACTTTTGTTATTTCAAGGCTTCCTGAGACTCTATTTTTTTCAGCCCATGTGTCTCTGTTCAGATTGAGTCATTTCTATTTACCGTTCTTATCTTCATCATCTCCTTCTTCCATTGAGCTAATTCAACAAGATTTTTTTTTTTTACTTGGGTGGTTGTATTTTACTTGAATTTAACAGAAAAAAATGACTAAAGTAAAAGTGAAGTCAATGCTAATCTTTTTTTTTTCTTTTTTTTTTTTGAGACAGAGTCTTGCTGTGTCACCCAGATCAGAATGTAGTGGCGCAATCCCAGCTCCCTGCAATTTCTGCCTCTGGGTTCAAGCAATTCTCGTGCCTCAGCCTCCCAAGTAGCTGAGATTAGAGGCGTGTGCCACCACGCCCCACTAATTTTTGTGTTTCTGGTAGAGACAGGGTTTTGCCATGCTGCCCAGGCTGGTCTGGAACTTTTGGGCTCAAGCAATCCAACTGCCTTGGCCTCCCAAAGTGCTGGGATGACAGGTGTGAGCCACCACGCCCAGACTAAATATAATTTTCCTATAAAATTTTTGAAAGGGTTTTTATAGTATAGACCTAACATTTTAATTAATTTTTATTCTTATATTTTTCATTTTGATAGGATAACATTTTTTTGAGATCTGAAATGTCCTTGGAGGTCCTTATGGCTTTGTGGCCCTAGACACTGCCTGTTGTGTACTGCCCAGTGGCTCCAGACCTCTTTTCTTTGGTGGGAGCGGATCTGGCACCTGGATGGGCCTTGCCAACATTTTCTTTCCCTTTTTGTTGACCATCGTCTCCTTCTGAAGTTTACAGCCTGACCTGTTTCTGTGTCTGGTTACTCCAGGTGACTTGTGCTTTTTCTGTTGTCTTTAGGTGTTAAGAGAGGTAGAACTTGTTATTAGGCTTCATTTTGTCATCTTTAACCCAAAGTCTTACAATTTTTATAAAAGTAAAAGCCATCATTGTTGGTCCTTTGTCAGTGACAGCTATCTAAACAAAGACATTAGCAGCTTTTTAGATATTTAAGGAAGTGTCTGTCATTCTTTGGTTGTCATTTCTTCAGGAAACATGTTTTCCTAAACTACTCCAAATTAAATTAAATTAATCCTACAGTTGGTCTAATTTAATTTCAGTTACTTTTTTTTTTCTTTTCTGAGACAGGGTCTCATTCTGTCACCCAGGCTGAAGTGTAGGGGTGCAATCATAGCTTACTGCAGCCTCAAACTTCTAGGCTCAAGAGATGCTGCCACCTCAGCCTCCCAAGTAGCTGGGACTACAGGTGTGCGCCACCATGCCTGACTAATTGAAAATTTTTTTTGGAGAAGTGGGGCCTCACTATGTTGCCCAAGCTGGTCTCAAATACTTGAGCTCAAGTGATCCTCTTACCTTGGCCTCCCAAAGTGCTAGAATTATGAGCCACCACGCCTGGCCCAATTAGTTGCTTTTTAAATAGCTCAAAAGGTTTTTCATCCTTTTAACCAAAGTTGCGCAAACCTAAAGCATTATTCCTTTTGGTCATTGAGTAGATGAAGGGATGAATATAGTTCAGTTTGCTTATTACTAAAATATGTTAGTAATAACACCTTTTATTCAGATCACTGCATGTTGGCTCCTTCTCATTTTCCATTTTCATGATAAACACACCCAAAGCTCAGCTCACTGTATTTACTTTCTTTTCATGATACTGGTTCCTAAGTTTTTTTTCTGTTTGCTTCATCGTATTTTGAACAATTTTCTATTAAATTAGGATACTTTAAAAGTTTGTCTTTCCAATTGTCTTATTTAGACAAACTCTATAAAGTTATTTGTTCTGCCTGATATTTTTGATGTTTGATGATGTTAATAATGTATTATTTTCAAAGCAATTTGTGGTTTCTACACTGATATTGGAAAAAGAATAAAGTGATGAAGTTAACAGGTGTTTTTAAAAATGTGAATAACAGGAAAATTTGTTTTGTTTTGTTTTGTCTTTGAAGTCTGTCACAGGCTAGATTTGAAGGTTTATGAAGGATGGGGCAAAATTATCTGGGGAAAGTTGCATCCTATGACCTCAGGCTGACTTCAAGTAAGAGAGAATGGATTTGATAAAGGCATTGTCATTCTTGGAGTATTTGCATCTTGGCAGAGGAACCTGGAGAGGGAGCATAGAAGAATTGTTTAAGATGCTGGATCCCTGTAACCTCCATTTACATTTTGTTGGGCCATTGTCATTTGGGGGAACATATGAAAAAGAAAAGATCATTATGATGCTACAATAATGCACATCACATAGAATTGCAATGATTTGTTGGTTGTTCATTCCAGGCCAAGAACTGTGAGTTTCTCCAGCCAAAGGTCTTGTATTTATTGATCTTTCTGTCCCACAGCCCTAAAACAGTGGTTGGCCCATGGACAGTTTAATAAATGTTTGCTGAATAATATGTAGCATATCTAAAACCTTTTCCATGGCCTTGTATCTGGAGATTAAAATTTTCCAGCACTTGTACATAAAAGATGTTTATGCATAACTATAGGGAAGACATTGTAATTTCTGAAGAGGAGGAACCAAACCTACAAGGTTATTGTAGCATTGATTATAACGAATGGTAGCAATGGTAGCAATCTATTCTCAGATCTGTAGATGCCTATTTACCTGATGTACTGGCACCAATGCCCCTATTTTGGTGTGCCATCTTCCCTTCACCATTGTGGGGCAACACAGATAATAAAATCAGCTCCAAAAGCTTACACATGGTGGATCCCTTCACACCAGTTCACAGTACAAAACAACCCCTTGCTTGTAGAAAACATTATGATTATCATTATTATTTTGAGATGGAATTTTGCTCTCGTAGCCCAGGCTGGAGTGCAATGGCGTGATCTTGGCTCACTGCAACCTCCACCTCCTGAGTTCAAATGATTCTCCTGCCTCACCCTCTTGAGTAGCTGGGATTACAGGTGCGCACCACTATGCCTGGCTAATGTTTTGTATTTTTAGTACAGACGGGATTTCACCATGTTGGCTAGGCTGGTCTCGAACTCCTGACCTCAGGTGATCCACTTGCCTCAGCCTCCCAGAGTGCTGGTATTACAGGCGTGAGCCACCATACCCACCCTAGCAAACATTATTAAATAGCAAACAGTAGCAGTATACTTGGGGGTTTTAGGATTGATTATTTTCAAATCTCTGGAAAAGCTCAATGCATTACCCTAGGCTATAGTCCCAGGGGAGAGTCTCATCTGTTAATGAGGGGCTGGTCTAAGGTTTCTTCCAGCTCTTAGATTCATGGTTTCCCAGATTGATCTGCTCTCTGCCACCCACCCATCCTCGGTTTTGTTTGTTTTTGTTTGTTTTTTACAGAGACAAGTTCTCACTATGTTGCCCAGGCTGGCCTTGAACTACTGGCCTCAAGCGATCCTCCTGCCTTGGCCTCCCAAAGTGCTGGAGTTACAGATGTGAGCCACTGTGCTCAGCCCATCCTTGGCTGTTCAAGTGTGGAGGTAAATAGTAGATGCCAAGTTTCCTCCAGGTCAGAAGTGACAGATGCCCCAGGGCAGCATCATGACCCTAACTAAGCCTCCCACTGCATGAAGACCTTATTTTCTGAAGCTTAAACCTGGACAAAGGTCTGCCCAGTAGCACTGTGTTCATGAATATCAGGTCAAAAATTTAGAACTGGGACTATCCAGAAGAACCTGGTAGATGCAGGTGCAGTCCGCAGTCCAATGGTCAGCCACAAAAACAGGCTACTTGTGCTTCGTCTTTTTCACGGAGTCTTTGATGGAAAAATTGATGACACTTTCTTGCTTCTGGTGTGCTTCCCTTCCACGTTCATTTTCCATAAGAAGCTTCCTCCATCCCACCTCCCAACAGGCCACAGTCAATTGAAGACATTTAACTGTGAAAATGAGGCTCCATAAAAAGAATTTAGAGGCCGAAGCCGGGCACAGTAGCTCACGCCTATAATCCCAGCACTTTGGGAGGCCAAGGCGGGCAGATCACCTGAGGTCAGGAATTAGAGACCAGCCTGACCAACATGGTGAAACCCCGTCTCTACTAAAAATACGAAATTAGCTGGGCATGGTGGTGGGCACCGGTAATCCCAGCTACTTGGGAGGCTGAGGCAGGAGAATCACTTGAACCCGGGAGGTGGAGGTTGCAGTGAGCTGAGATGGGGCCACTGCACTCCAGGCTAGACAACAAGAGCAAAACTCCATCTCAAAAAAAAAGGAATTGAGAAATTAAAATAGAGGAGAGAACAAAGGGGCCAGTCCCATAAAAAATCCCCCAAACCTCTTTAACAGGAGTTTAGGTAATAATATAAATGTGTGGAGGATACTTTTTGCCTTCGTTGATGAAGGACTCCAGCGAGATTGTGCTGATGATATTGTTATACTTGGAATGGACTGGTCCTTCCATTTCCTGGATTTATCCCTTTATTCTTCTGAGTGCAGGCATAACTCATGTTATTACACTTTGCAGATATTGTGCTTTTCACAGATTGAAGGTTTGGCAACCATGCATGGAGCGTCTATCTGTGCCATATTTCTATCATCACATGCTGACTTTGTGACTCTGTCACATTTTGGTAATTCTTACAATACTTCAAACTTTTCCATTACTATTATCTCTGTTTTGGTTATCTGTGATAGGTGACCTCTGATGTAACTGTTGTAACTATTTTGGGGTGCCATGAACCAGGCCCCTATATGGTGGCAAAGTTAATTGATAAACGTTGTGTGTGTTCCGACTGCTCCCCTGCCCAGCCATTTCTCCATCTCTCTCTCCTTGGCCCTCCCTATTTCTTGAGACTCAACAATATTAAAATCATGTCAATGAATAGTCCTACAATGGCCTTTTAGTGTTCAAATTAAAGGATGAGATACATGTTTTTCATTTTCAGTCAAAAGCAAGAGATGATTAGGCTTAATGAGGAAGGCCATGTTGAAAACCGAAACTGGCTGAAAGCTATACTTCTTGTGCCAAAGTTAGCCAAGTTGTAAATGCAGAGAAAAAGTTCTCAGAGGAAATCGGAAGTGCTACTCCAGTGAAAATATATGATAAGAAAACAAAGCCCTAATTACTACGGAGAGTGCCTAGGGGAGTACTCCACATCCTCTGGACGCACGATAGATATTATCTGATGAATTGGAAAGAAGCAAACCAGAAGTGGCTTTATTTTCCCCCACGGACTCCTTTGGACTAATTTTTAAGCCTTGGTTGGAAATCACTGAGTAGGTTCATAATGTGTGGGACAGAAATAAGCTTTATAGTGGTTTACCTTCATTTAGTTTTGGAAGTTTACCTTTGCCTTAGTTTTGGAAGTAACCTCTAGTTTGTAGTTCTCATTTGTGATGAACACATTACAGACTAGATTAAAAAATTGCCTTCAAGATTGTTCTTACTTTTAAGACTTGCCCCTACTTCTATATGCTGAAAATTGACCCTGGAGGGAATATTGTAAGGTCAAGAGTTAGCTGGAAAATGATCAGATTAATAAATGTATATTGGTAGTTGAATTTAGCAAAGAAATGGAGATAATCGTGATTATACCTTTATTTTTACAGGAAGAGATGATGTAACTAGAGTATGTGTCTACAGGAGTAATAATGGTTTCCAAAGAGTATTTATTTATTTAATTTTTTTTTTTTTTTTTTGAGATGGAGTTTTGCTCTGTTGCCCAGGCTGGAGTGCAGTGGTGTGATCTCGGCTCACCCCAACCTCTGCCTCCCGGCTTCAAGTGATTCTCCTGCCTCAGCCTCCTGAGTAGCTGGGATTACAGGCATGTGCCACCATGCCTGGCTAATTTTGTATTTTTAGTAGAGATGGGGTTTCTCCATGTTGGTCAGGCCGGTCTCAAACTCCTGACCTCAGGTGATCCTCCTGCCTCGGCATCCCAAACTGCTGGGATTACAGATGTGAGCCACTGTGCCCAGCCAGGATTTTTTTTTTTTTTTTAATGTGCAGAAGATCAAAGCTACTTGGAAGGAGTGCCTATAATTTGCCTGTAAGCCACAAATTAAGATTGCATCTTATATACCAGCATAGTAGCTTTAGCTTAGGGGGAGGGTGGGAAGGTTGGGGGGCTTTGAAGATTTAGGGGGACCTTGATAGAGAACTTTATAAGCTTCTTTCTCTTTAATAAAGACATGTCTTACATCTTGCTGTCATTAAAGGCAGCTGTTTCTAGAATTTCAATCATTTAAGTACACCCACAAAACAAGAATATGGAGATCTTCTTTTCCCTCCAATCTTCTTTTCCCCTCGACTTTAATTTGCCCAGTTATACCTCAGTGTTGTAACAGTGCTGTGATACCTGGCACAGTGCTTTAATCTCATGATACCCTCTGTACTGACCTGAAGGAGACCTAAGAGTCCTTTCTCTTTTTGAGTTTGAATCATAGCCTTGATGTGGTCTCTCTTTTATGTCCTTGTTCCTAATGTGAAAGTGCTTAACTGCTTCTTCCTTGTATTAGGTAGCACTGGGATAAGATTTTAACTGGGTATTCTTGAATTACTTTTACAATAAACCAAGTCTATAATATTAAAAATAAAAAAGAAAGAAAACAAAGCCTTATTGCTGGTATGGAGAAAGTTTAAGTGGTCTGGACAGAAGACCAGGCCAACCACAACATTCCCTTAAGCCAAAGCCTAATCCGTAGCAAAGCCCTAATTCTCTTCAATTTTATGAAGGCCGAGAGAGATAAGGAAGCTACAGAAGAAAAGTCTGAAGTTAGCATAGGTTGGTTCATGAGGTTTAAGAAAGGAAGACATCTCTATGATATAATAGCACAAGATGAAGCTGCAAGTTCTGATGTAGAAGCTTCAGCAAGTTATCCAGAAGATCTGGCTAAGATCATTGATGAAAGTGGCTATGCTGAACAATGGACTGTCAATGTAGGTGAAACAGCCTTCTATTGGAAGAAGATGCCATCTGGGACTTTGGATAGAGAGGATAAGTCCATGCCTGGCTTCAAAGCTTCAAAGGAGCCAGTCACAGTGGCTCATGCCTGTAATCCCAGCACTCTGGAAGACTGAGAGGCTGAGATGGGAGAATTGCTTGAGCTTAGGAGTTTGAGACCAGCCTGGGCAACATGGTGAAACCCTGCCTCTACCAAAAAAAAAAAAAAATTAGCCAGGTATGGTAGTGTGTGCCTCTAGTCTCAGCTACTCAGGAGGCTGAGGTGGGAGGATCGCTTGAGCCCAGGAGGTCAAGACTTCAGTGGGCCAAGATCATGCCACTGCAATCCAGCCTGGGCAACAGAGTAAGACCCTATCTAAAAAAAAAAAAATTCAAAGGACAGGCTGACACTCTTGTTAGAAGCCAATGCTCATTTGCCATTCCATAAATCCTAGGGCATCTTTTAAGAATTATGCTAAATCTACTCTGCCTGTGCTCTATAAATGGAACAACAACACTTGGATGACATCACAGCTGTTTACCACATGGGTTACCGAGAATTTTAATCCCACCGTTGAGACCTACTGCTCAGAAAAAAAGATTCCTTTCAACTACTTTAGCTTATTGACATTGTACCTGGCCACTGAAGAGCTCTAATGGAGATGGACAGGGGAATGAATGCTGTTTTCATGCCTGCTAACACATCTATTCTGTAGCCCATGGATTGAGGTGTCATTTTGACTTTCAAGTCTTATTATTTGAGAAATATATTTTATAAGGCTGTTGCTCCCATAGATCATGATTCTTTTGACGGATCTGGGCAAAGTAAATTAGAAACCTTCTGGAAAGGATTCACTATTGTAGATGCCATTAAGAACATTCATGGTTCACGAGGGGAGGTAAAAATTGCAGCATTAATAAGAGTTTGGAAGAAGTTGATTCCAACCCTCACAAATGACTTTGAGGGGTTCAAGACCTTAGCAGAGGAAGTAACCACAGTTGTGGTGGAGATAGCAAGAGAACTAGAATTACCAGTGGAGCCTGAAGATGTGAGTGAATTGCTGCAATCTTTTTTTTTTTTTTTTTGAGACGGAGTTTCACTCTTGTTGCCCAGGTTGGAGCGCAATGGCGCAATCTCGGCGCACCACAACCTCTGCCTCCTGAGTTCAAGTGATTCTCCTGTCTCAGCCTCCTGAGTAGCTGGGATTACAGGCATGCACCACCACGCCTGGCTAATTTTGTATTTTTAGTAGAGACAGGGTTTCTCCATGTTGATCAGGCTGGTCTCAAACTCCCGACCTCAGATGATCTGCCTGCCTCGGCCTCCCAAAGTGCTGGGATTATAGGCGTGAGCCACAGCGCCTGGCCAAATTGCTGCAATCTTAATGGATGAAGAGTTGCTTATTGTGAATGAGCAAAGAAAGTGGTTTCTTGAGATGGACTCTACTCCTGGTGGAGATGCTGTGAACATTGTTGAAAGAACAACAAAGGACTTAGAACATTCCATAAACTTAGTTGATAGAGCAGTGGCAGGGTTTGAGAGGATTGATTCCAATTTTGATATAAATTCTACTGTGGGTAAGATGCTATCAAGCAGCATAGCATGCTACAGTGAAATCTTTTGTGAAAGGAAGAGTCAATCAATACGGCAAACTTCATTGTCATCTTATTTTAATAAATTGCCACATTCACTCCAGCCTTCAGCAACCATCACCCTGATCAGTCAGTAGCCATCAACACTGAGGCAAGACCGCCCACCAGCAAAACGATTATGACTTGCTGAAGGCCCAGATGACAGTAGCCATCAACACTGAGGCAAGACCGCCCACCAGCAAAACGATCATGACTTGCTGAAGGCCCAGATGATGGTTAGCATTTTTTGGCCATCAAGTATTTTCAAAGTAAGGTATGTACATTATATTTTAGACTATTGCACTCTTAATTGACTACAATGGTGTAAACATAACTTTTTTTTTTTTTTTTTGAGATGGAGTCTTACTCTTGTCGCCCAGGTTGGAGTGCAGTGGCATGATCTTGGCTCACTGCAACCTCTGCCTCCCGGGTTCAAACAATTCTCCTGCCTCAGCCTTCGGAGTAGCTGGGACTACAGGTGCGCACCACCATTTTTGTATTTTTAGTAGAGATGGAGTTTCACCATGTTGGCCAGGCTGGTCTTGAACTTCTGACCTCAGGTGATCCACCCGCCTCAGCCTCCCAAAGCGCTGAGATTACAGGCGTGCACCACTGCGCCCAGCAACATAACTTTTATATGAACCAGAAAGCAAAAAATGTCATGTGACTTGCTCTATTGTGATGACCTAGAACCAAACCTGTAATATCTCCAAGGTATGCCTTTACCCCTAAAAGCAGAGCTGGAGTACGGACTTAGGTGTGGGTGGTTTATTTGGGAAGTGATCCCAAGAAGCAAGAGTGAGAAGTGGGGGAGAGTGAGGCAGGCGAGAAGGAAAAGCCAAAATAATGGCATGCTATTGAGGCTGCTGCCATGGACTGTTTTGTGCAGGATCTTCTGAGAGGCTCAGGAAAGTTATCCAGAACTGTCCACCTGAAAGGGGAGCCTCGAGCATTTGCCCACTTATCCACACCGGTTGAGGTCTTCCCCTGAGGCTGTTAACATGCAAGTAAGTGTACCTGGGCTGTATTTGTGCTCAGGCAAAAATCCTACAATAATGGATTTGCCCTGGGGCAGAAAGTGTAGCTTGAGTTTGCTGGCAGCACAAGGGAAGCCTGCGCTTCCAAGGAGCTCCCCATGGTAGCTGAGGCTGAATGAAAGGTGCACTGAGAAGACATGAGGCAGTCGCCACTACACTGAGCAAACGGAGCCGTCCATCTCAGCAAGAGGACCCCTACCCTGAATCCTGCGCTTGAGAAGGTGCCTCTCTGGCCCTCCACGGACTGTCGCCCGGTCCACCCAGAGCTCGCACCCTCGTTTCTAGGCCACACTCCGGGCACTCAGGCCCCTGGCCAAATGTGCCTGAGCCTGCACCGCCTCTTCCCTGGGTCCATTTCAAAGGGCAAACTGTGCTTGTCCAAATGGTGCCCAAGGCTCTGCTGTCTGAAGGGGTGAGACTTGTGCATGGAGCTTGCATGGGGCCTAGGGAGTCCACACAGGGGTACGCCAGGCTTCTCAAGTGAGGACAGGGCTATCTACAATGAAAGGGAAAAGTGTCGCCTGGGGCTGAGGATCAGCTCTTCCTCTGCTATCACATTCCTGTGCAGAGCACCAAGGAGTCTGAGAATTCTACACTCGACTTTGACCTTGTGGGTTATTATGGAGGTATATTTATCAAAGTAGGAGAATAGAACATATTTAGCTCTTTGTTGGCTTGATTTATAACTCATAATTATTAGACATAATGCAAATATGGGCTGGAATTCATGTTCTGATTTTTATGGCCTTGAGCTAAGGCAAAGGGACCCAGGGAAATGGGCTTTATATGCTTGGATGGCTGCATAGAATCCCCAACTTCATTAGCTTCCGTGACGACTCACGGTTGTTACTAAAATCAACTTTGTATTATCTCTAAAAACCAAGGGATATTATTTAGGTCAGCAGTTAGAAGGCATTAGACTCAAAATATCTATGAGCCAAAGGATATGAATGACTAAAAGCAGGAGGATTATTACCTCAAGGGGTGGAGGGTTGAACCTCAGGATATAACCTGTGAGATCCTTCCTGCTGGCTCAGTGCTGGCTGAACGGGGGGCCGGAGAGTGCCAGGAACAGCACATATCTGGGACAGGAGGGAATTCAGGGAGGAAGGCAAAGAGAAACAGGCCCTTTTTTGTTTTTATTGATACATGACAATTGTACATATTTGTAGGGTACACGTGATATTTTGATACATGCATAAAATGTGTAGCGATCAAATCAGGATAATTTGCATATCAATTACCTCAAATATTTATCATTTATTTGTGTTGGGAACATTCCAAATCTTCTAGCCATTTTGAAATATATAATAAGTTATTGTTAACGATCGTCACCCTACTGTGCTGTTGAACACTAGAACTTCTTCTGTTATCTAACCGTATTTTTGTGCCCATTAACCAACTTCTGGGAAGGGTAAGGGGGTAGGGGGATGAAAAGGGCCCTTTTTAAGGCAAAGATAATCTTACCAGAAGGGAAGAAATTTTAGAAGGAAAAAAAAAAGTTGACCGTGGGCTTAGAGCGGGGACTACAGAAATTGAATGGCTAAAAGAAAAAAACAACTTAGCAATGTGAAACTACATCTCATTGTCATTCCTTTCACAGGTCCAATATCTGATATTCTTTTGAGAAGCTGGATATGAAGTAGGACTCTTTCTTTGAGTCATATATTTTTATGATTATGATTATTATTATTGAATGGTAGTTGACAATTATTGAGTACAATTATTGAGCTTTGACTCAATAGCTCTCTTCAAAGGCCTTTACATACGTTTTCTCCACTTCTCATTGTTAGATATTCTTATTATTCCCATTTTGTAGATGAGGGATGCACAGGCAGCAAGCCTATGTGGAGGCAGAGAGCAGCTAAGTAACCTGACCACGGCCCAACAGCAAACAAATGATGGGGCCACATGCAAATCCAGGCAGAACCCTTCTATTATATGAAGCTCAATGTTTTCTTGTTTTCATCTTGTTCTGCATACACCTATTTGCAAATGGGTTTTGAAGCTACTTTAAAACTTTTTGTAGCCAGGCGCCGTGGCTGACGCCTGTGATCCCAGCATTTTAGGAGGCCGAGGTGGGCGGACCGCCTGAGCTCAGGAGTTTGACACCATCCTGGCCAACATGGTGAAACCCTGTCTCTACTAAAAACACAGAAAATTAGCCAGGCGTGGTGGCATGCACCTGTAATCGCAGCTACTCAGGAGGCTGAGGCAGGAGAATCGCTTGAACCCGGGAGAGGAAGGTTGCGGTAAGCCAAGATTGCGTCACTGCACTCCAGCCTGGGTGACAGAGCGAGACTTTGTCTCTAAATAAATAAATAAATAATCAACTTTTTGTTTACTTTTAAGATTTCAGAGCTTAGCTGTTGAATAAGGGGTGAGAGAATTCAGCAAGCATTTGGTGAAGACCCACAGCACTGGGGGACACCTAAGGACAACACAAGCAACAGGCAGGAGTTTATGTATATCTAAGTCACTGGACAGATTATAACGTAAGGCAGAAAGTGGAGAGTATTTTAAGAGAAGAGGTACAAAGTGCTGTGGGAACTCTAACGTGGGGAAGATTATATCCTGGGGTTGTGGAAGGATCAGAGGAGTTTCAGGGAAAAAGTTGCATTTCACTAAGGGTCTTGAAAGATGGATATGGTTTTAAATGTTGAAGGCTGGATTTTGAGCTCCTGACCACGTCTGTAGATTGTATTCATACGTATTTTTATGTCTACTGATTTATTCTTAGTGCATTTTTTTTCTTTTTGAGATGGAGTCTCGTTCTGTCACCTAGGCTGGAGTGCAGTGGTGCGATCTCGGTTCACTGCAACCTCCGCCTCCTGGGTTCAAGCAATTCTCCTGCCTCAGCCCCCAAGTAGCTGGGATTACAGGCACCTGCCACCATGCCTGGCTAATTTTTTGTATTTTTAATACAGATGGGGTTTCACCATGTTAGCCAGGATGGTCTCGATCTCCTGACCTCATGATCCACCCGCCTCAGCCTCCCAAAGTGCTTGGATTACAGGCCTGAGCTACTGTGTCCAGCCCATGCATTTTTTTAAGTTAAAGTATTTATTGAGCATCTACTGTATATCATGTGCTGAGATAGGCACCAGCAGTGCAGGGAATATATGGCACAGTCTCTGCCCTCAATAACTTTCACTCTCATACATATGTATTAGGAAATCAATATGTATGTGGATGTAAGATAGTATGATAGACATTGCAACAAAGAATTATATGCTGTAAACCTATTTCTTAGGATTTTAGACTTAAAGGGCTTTCATCCTATTTCCAATAAAACCTACTGCATAACCTTAAAGGGATTCTCAGTTTGAAATCATCATATAAACTACAGTAGCATCTGCTGGTGAAATACCACTTTGTATCTATTAGAATAGTCCACATTATTAGAGCTGTAAAAGGTATTGTCCAGAAATCTCTGAAAACAAGAGAAAGTGTTATGGTAGGTTAATAAGATGACATCTAAACTGTTCTCTTAAAGCTATTGAAGTTCCAAGAATATCTCACAGCACAAAGCTCAAGTGTATGCCAACAACTCCTCATGCCACAAGATGTGACACTCTCCCAACCTCTTTTTGCAAAAGCTTCCAATTCTGTGTCTTATAAGACTACTTTTTATACCCACATATTCACAATTTTGTAGTGCAAGTAAAGACAAGATGGGAAGGGGGCTTCCACTTGTTGATGCCAGCTGCTCTGTGGACCAGGCCGTGCCCATGCATCCGTATTGGTTCTCTTTTATCCCCACGTCAGCCATAACACATAAGGGTTTTTTTTTTTTTTTTTTTTTTTTTGAGATGGAGTCGTGCTCTGTCGCCCAGGCTGTTGTGCAGCGGTGCGATCTCGGCTCACTGCAAGCTCCGCCTCCCGGGTTCACGCCATTCTCCTGCCTCAGCCTCCTGAGTAGCTGGGACTGCAGGCGCCCACCACCACGCCCAGCTAATTTTTTTTTGTGGTTTTAGTAGAGACGGGGTTTCACCATGGTCTCGATCTCCTGACCTCGTGATCCCCCCGCCTCGGCCTCCCTAAGTGCTGGGATTACAGGCGTGAGCCACCGCGCCCGGCCTTACACGTAAGTGTTAACATCTGTTGTACAGACGAGGAAACTGAAACTCTAAGAGAATATGCCATCTACCCAGAGTCATGCAGCTTGTATATGTAAGAGTTGGAATGAAAATTCAATCTGTATGAGTCCCAAGTCCCCTTACACCATGTGATTTCCATTTCATTTTGCAATCATCCTGGCTGGGATATGTCTGCCCTAAAAGATAGTAAGTAGGAATACTTGTCTCTATACCTTAACCTAACATCCATGGGTTTGCTTTTTGTATTTGGAGGTGTCATAACATTATAAAATTTGATTTTATTTGAATAGTGAGTATTATGCTACTCAGTCTAGAGATTTATGATATTCCAGTCTAAACTGGATGATAGCAATGAAGCTTCTTCGAGGTGACCAGTATGATTAATAAGGTAGAAATAAGTTGAATTGCTATGGAGTTGCTACTTCTGAATTTAAAGCTAGTTGAGATCAAGTATATGTTCAAAAAGATCTCTAGGGGTGTGTGTTGAAGACCAGGGCCAGAGGTGCACATGGCGCTGGGAAGACAGAGAATGTCTCTTCCGGGCGGAGGTCGTGGAGGCTTTGATCGAGGTGGTGGAGGTGGCGGTTTCAACCGCGGCAGCAGCAGCAACCGCTTCTGAGGTGCAGGCGGTGGAAATATCAGAGGTGGCGACAGGGGAGGATTTGGATGAGGGGGTGGCCACGGAGGCTTTGACAAAGGCCAAGGCCAAGGACCTCCAGAACGTGCAGTCTTGTTAGGAGAGTTCCTGCATCCCTGTGAAGATGACATAGTTTGTAAACGTACGGCAGATGAAAATAAGGTGTCTTATTTCAATGCTCCTGTTTACTTAGAAAACAAAGAACAAATTGGAAAAGCGGATGAAATATTTGGACAACTTAGAGATTTTTATTTTTCCGTTAAAATGTCAGAAAACGAGAAGGCTTCATCCTTTAAAAAACTCTGGAAGTTTTATATAGACCCATATGAGCTGCTGCCACTGCAGAGGTTTTTACCTCGGCCTCCAGGTGAGAAAGGACCTCCAAGATGTGGTGGCAGGGGAGGCCGAGGAGGAAGAAGGGGAGGTGGCAGAGGCAGTGGCAGAAGCGGTGGTTTTAGAGGTGGAAGAGGAGGTGGTGGTTTCAGAGGGAGAGGACGTTAAGTGAAACAGTTGACAGATATCACCAGTTGCCTTCTGCATTAACCTGCGTGATCTGTTTCTACTATGGATTGGAAACTTGTTTCTCGAGCAAGTCTTGAAGATCTTGGTCATTTTATGACAATGGATCTAAAATGTCAGCATCATGCAAAGTGCCACGGAATAGTGAATTTTGCTCTAAAAGAGCATGAACAAGTCTTTCTAATGTTTTGTACGGTGCCTGGCACTCTGTGGGTGCTTAATAAATGGACAGGAGTTTTCATTAGAAGCATATTTGAATTTTTATTTATTTTATTTTTATTTTTTATTTATTTTGTTATTTTTTGAGACAGGGTCTCGCTCTGTCGCCCAGGCTGGAGTGCAGTGGCGCGATCTCAGCTCACTGCAACTTCCGCCTCCTGGGTTCAAGCAATTCTCCTGCCTCAGCCTCCTGAGTAGCTGGGATTACAGGCACCCGCCACCACGCCCAGCTAATTTTTAGATTTTTAGTAGAGACGGGGTTTCACCATGTTGGTCAGGCTGGTCTCAAACCCCTGACCTCGTGATCCGCCCGCCTCGGCCTCCCAAATTGCTGGGATTACAGGCGTGAGCCACTGCACCGGGCCTGAATTTTTAAAATAAAGTGTTTTATTCCCTTAAAAAAAAGATCTCTATAATCTTCACTTGAATAATACAAACATTTTTTATTTTTTACATATTTATTTATGGAACATAGTTGTAATTTTAAAACAGAATTTTTGTAAATTGTATTAAAATATATTAAAAACATACTACATTATGATCCAATGGAGTTTTTCACGGTAACTCAGTGTTAGTTTAAGATGTGAAATTCAATCAATATAATTCACCATAGAATACAGTATGTCTGTCAGTATAATGCATATTGAAAATGGAAAGGAGTAAATTTATCTTTGTTTTTTAATAAGATGAAATTAAAATTTTAATTAATCTTGGCCGGGCCCAGTGGCTCACACCTGTACTCCCAGCACTTTGGGAGGCTGAAGCAGGCAGATCACGAGGTCAGGGGTTCAAGACCAGCCTGGCCAATATGGCATACCCCGTCTCTACTAAAAATACAAAAATTAGCCGGGCATGGTGGCAGGCGCCTGTAATCCCAGCTGCTCAGGAGGGTGAGGCAGGAGAATCGCTTGAATCTGGGAGGTAGAGGTTGCAGTGAGCCGAGATCATGCCATTGCACTCTAGCCTGGGCGACAAGAGCAAGACTCCGTCTCAAAAAGAAAAAAAAAATTAGTTAATTTCAATGTTTATTTTAGATTCGGGAGGGTACCTATGCAGATTTATTACACTGGTGTATTGTGTGATGCTGAGAGTTGGGGTATGAATGATCCCATCGCCCAGGTAGTAGGCATAGCAACCGATAGTTTTTTAACCCCTGTCCCCCTCTCCCTCCCTTCCCCTCTAGTAGTCCCTGGTGTCTATTGTTGCTAACTTTATGTCCATGAGTACCCACGCATAAGTGAGAACATGCAGTATTTGGTTTTCTCTCCCTGTGTTAGTTCACTTAGGGTGGTGTCTTCTAGCTGCACCCACGTTGCTACAGAGGACATGATTCTTTCTTTTTATGGTTGCATAGTATTCCATGGTGTATATGTGCCACATTTTCTTTTCCCAGTCCACTGTTGATGGGCATTTAGGTGGATTTCATGTCTTTGCTATTGTGAATAGTGCTGCGATGAACATACCAGTGCATGTGTCTTTTTGGCAGAATAGTTTATTTTCCTTTGGATATGTTTATGCAGTAATGGGATTGCTGAGGCAAATGGTAGTTCTGTTTTGAGTTCTTTGGAAAGTCTGAAAACAGCTTTCCACAGTGGCTGAACTAATTTACCATTCCTACCAGCAGTGCATAAGTGTTCCCCTTTCTCCTCCGCCTCACCAGCCTCTGTTATTTTTAGACTTTTTTTTTGAGACGGAGTCTTGCTCTGTCGCCCAGGCTGGAGTGCAGTGGCACGATCTTGGCTCACTGCAACCTCCGCCTCCCGGGTTCAGGCGATTCTCCTGCATCAGCCTCCCAAGTAGCTGGGACTACAGGTGCGTGCCACCACGCCTGGCTAATATTTTGTATTTTTAGTAGAGACGTGGTTTCACTGTGTTAGCCAGGATGGTCTCAATCTCCTGACCTCAGGATCCGCCCGCCTCCACCTCCCAAAGTGCTGGGATTACAGGCGTGAGCCACTGCACCAGGCCTATTTTTTGACTTTTTAATAATAGTCATTGTGACTGGTGTGAGATGGTATCTCACTGTAGTTTGGATTTGCATATTTCTGATGGCTAGTGATATTGAGCATTTCCATGTTTGTTGACTTCTTGTATATTTTCTTTTGAGAAGTGTCTCTGCATGTCTTTTGCCTCCTTTTTAATGGGGTTGCTTTTTGCTTGTTGAATTTAGTTCCCTATAGATTTGGATATTAGACCTTCATCAGATGCATAGTTTGTGAATATTTTCTCCCACTCTGTAGGTTGTCTGTTTACTTTGTTGATAGTTTCTCTTGCTGTGCAGAAGCTCTTTAGTCAGGTCCTGGCTGGGCATGGTGGCTCATGCCTGTAATCCCAGCACTTTGGAAGGCAGAGGTGAGGGGAATGTTTGAGCCCAGGAGTCTGGGACCTGCCTAGGCAACATGGTGAAACCTCATCTCTAAAAAGAAAAAAAAATTAGCCAGGCATGGTGGTGTGCACCTGTAGGGGGGCAAATCACTTGAGCCCGGGAGGCGGAGGTTGCAGTGAGCTGAGATTGTGCCACTGCACTTCAGCCTGGGAGACAGCATGAGACTCCACCCCGCCCTAAAAAGTTTTAATTAGGTCCCACTTACCAATTTTTGTTTTTGTGGCAATTGCTTTGGAGGACTTAGTCACAAATTCTTCCGCAAGGCTGATGTCCAGAATGGTATTTCCTAGGTTTTCTTGAATTCTTATAGTTTGAGGTTTACATTTAAATAATTAATCCATTTTGAGTTAATTTTTTAATATAGTGAAAGGTAGGGGTCCTATTTCATTCTTCTGCATATGACTGGCCAGTTATCCCAGCACCATTTATTGAACAGGGAGTCCTTTCCTCAATGCTTATTTTTGTTGACTTTGTCAAACATCAGAGGGCTGTAGGTGTGTGGATTTATTTCTGGGCTCTTTATGCTGTTACACTGGTCTCTGTTTGCACCAGAACCATGCTGTTTTGGGTACTGTAGGCTTATAGTATAGTTTGAAGTTCAGTAATGTAATGCTTCCAGCTTTGTTCTTTTTGCTTAGGATTGCTTTGGCTAGCTGGGCTCTTTTTTGGTTCCATATGAATTTTAAAATAGCTTCTGCTAACTCTGTGAAAAATGACATTGGTAGTTTGATAGGAATAGCATTGAATTTGTAAATTGCTTTGGGCAGTATGGCCATTTTAACGATATTGATCCTTCCAATCCATGAGCATGGCATGCTTTTTCATTTGGCAAACATTTTTTACATCAAACGATGTGTGATATAGATGTTTACATATGAGCAAATAAAACCCACCCTAAAATGCAAAGGTCATTTTCTCTGCTATCTCTTGAGAAAAAAAAAGAAAAAGATATTGAATAGCAACTGTTGGTATTAGGCAACCAGTATCATGTTTCAGGGAAACCAACTGACTTAAACAAGTAGATAAGATTTTCAAAGATGAATCAATCAGAAACCTGCCTACAGCACAGATTAGCAATTAGTGTATTCAGACTCATCTACTTTTTTTTTTTTTTTTTTTTTTTTTTTTTTTTTTTGAGACAGGGTCTCACTCTGTTGCCCAGGCTGGAGTGTACTGGCATGATCATGGCTCACTGCAACCTTGACCTCCCAGGCTCAAGTGATCTTCCTGCCTTAGCCTTCTGAGACCAGAGTGCCCGACGGTCTAAAATGAGCTTGCAGTATAACTTAGGGTTCATGTCTTAACTCAAGTAAATTTCAGAAAGGGGTCAAACCCTTGTTTAAAGATAAATGTAAGCTGGATGTGGAGGCACATGTCTGTAGTCCCAGCTACTCAGGAGGCTGAGGCAGGAGGATCCCTTGAGCTCAGGAGTTTAAGACCAGCCTGGCCACCACCACGTCTGGCTAATTAAAAAAACTGTTTTTTTGTAGAGACAGAGTCTTCTTATGTTGCCCAGGCCAGTGCATCTCCATTTTGACACAAAGACTGAGGACTATGTAATAGTGTTTTTAACTGAATCTGATCTGGAAGTCAGAAGACTCAAGTTCCATGAACAGTTTGTTTATTCTCCACATTCTTCCCCAAAATACCTAATATTATACTGTTCGATTTGTTTTTAACAGTGTGACTTTGGGGAAAAAATTATACATCTTAGGTTTTCTATCTGTAAAATAAAAATCATAGTACTGTACTTATTTTTTTCCTTCCTAAAAATATTGTAAATGCAGCAAAAATTCCTGGTAGACTCACTTGCAGGCAATATGATTTATTATTTTTGTTGTTGTTTGTTTGCTTTTTGTCGTAACCATACAGCCAACCTTCATGCTCTTCTCCCTTCTCATGCTTTATTTTTGCCTTCTCCAGAGGGCTTGACTCTGATGAAAGAAAAACAGACCCCAGTTGAATTTTTGTAGAATAGAGGAGCGTGGGAAGGAAACAGGTGGGAGAGATATGGGGTTAAAAGCAGGGTCAGGAGACGACAGGTCAGAGGTTTGGATTTTGGCCCTCTGTAAAGGCTCGTGTGGCTAATTTATGGAAATTTGGCCGAAACTCTCAACTAGAAACTTGCATGGTTTACTAGGCTGGTACCACCTCCCTCAGTTCCCACCCTGCTGGCTACAAGGAAGTTTTGCTAGAAGGAAAAAACAAAAATCAAATTACACAATTATAAATCACTGGTGATCTACAACAGATTGATTTTAGTGAATTTCATGGCTTCCAGGTGTCGTCACTTAAATACCATGATGAATGCTCTTCATACCAAGGGTCTTACTCTCCCTGCCACTCAGTATCTCCATCACCTCCACTTCTGCCTAGGTGGCCGCATTCCAGTTCCCGGCTCATCACAGAGCCTGGTGCCCTCCACTGGTGAAGCCACCCCTCTCCTGGTCTGGGCTTTGGAGTGGAAGACTTGTGTACCTGTCAGGAGCACTCAACCCATGAGCAGCAGATCTGAGCAGAAGGCAGATGGCCTTTCTGAACCACGTTGGAGACTTAACTTGCAATAAGCTCATGTCAGGCAGTGCATCCTGTCCTCAGTGGAAATATTTCTCATCTCTCCAGGAGACTGGCCAGGTAATAAAGCCTTGGGAGGCAATGATCAAATTATCTAGAGACCCTCGGAGGGGAACAGAAATCACTGATGATTTTCCTGCCATCTCCTATCCCAGGTGAAACTGTGTGATTGTAAAGCAGCAAAAAGTCTAGGTACCTTGGGAGCAGGCTTCACTTCTCCAAGGTCAGCACAGGGAGGGGGTAGTCTGGTCAGCAGAAATGACCAGGAGATATACAGTGAAGGGTCCAGACACTAGGGGAGACATGTCTTTGGTGACTGTCTACCCAGCATCCGTGTCTTCATATAGGGAGGGCACAGGGCTGGGAAGAAATTCAGTGATTCAGCCCCAGAAGGAGGCCTTGCTCTGTCCTAGGCCCCAAGAGAGCAAGATTTGCCCTGTTGAATCTCCAGAGGAGTTGGTAGGAAGGCATGAGTGCCTGTCTTGAACTTGCACCCAGAGCAACCTCCCCTGATCAGCAGAGGGTAAACTAACTTGAATTACACTTGAATTTCTTAGGAGATCAGGTCACAAACGGCAAATAGTGGTCCAGAGACCAAAATGTCTGATGGTCTAAAATGAGCCTGCAATATCACTAGGGTTCATGTCTTAACATAAATAAATTTCAGAAAGGGGTCAAACTCTTGTTTAAAGATAAATGTAATCTGGGTGTGGGGGCACATTTCTGTAGTCCCAGCTACTCAGGAGGCTGAGATGGGATGATCCCTCAAGCTCAGGGGTTCAAGACCAGACTGGGCAACATAGGAAGATCCCATCTCAATTTTTTTTTAAAGGATAAACTTAAGCATATTAGAATTTTAAAGAGTTTATTTGAACAGACAGAGATTCATGGATCAGGCAGCGCCAAACTGAAATTGGTTGGAGGATGCACTGGTGGTGTTTGTAGGGAAGGCTTTTATAGGGTGAATGTAGGAGTAGAGAAACTATTTGGTGAAAATTTGGGCAGTTGCATTATTTGAACCATCCTGGTGGAAGGCCTCTCATTACACAGGTAATATTCATCCGGACACTTGTGACGGGCTAAGCTTGTTTCATTTTGTCTGTGTAGGAACCCAGGCCATAGGAGCTATCTCAGCCTAATGGTCTTCCATTAAGTTATTTTACACCTTCTCTCTGTGTCAGGGTAAGCAGAGGTCTTCCCCGTGAGGGTTCTTACCACCCTGTTTCCCTCAGCAAAGTGAAACTGTCCCTTTTGCCTCTGTAGGCAACCTTCTGAACAAGGGCTTTCCTAATATTCCTATCTCATCTTATTTTATCGTATCCTCTTCTCGGTATCTTGTTTACATGCTTCTGGAACACTTGTGTGTCTTGCACTCATCCCCTGCATTATTTAGGCAGTCCTAAAAGAAGACTTCCAGGATGGATTGGTAGAGAACTGCTGGCATATTGAACCTTCTCTCTTTGTGTCTGGAACTTTCATAATTACCTTAGTTCTCCATGCCAATTTTGCAATTATCTTTGTTCTCCACTTCAAAATACATGGACCTCTGACAGAAGCTGAGCACATAAAAGGGACCTTGTCCAGTGGTACATATGAGGCAGGAAACATGATATATTTAAAATTATAAGCTAAAAGCTTTCTGACACCAAAAGCATGGGCAACAAAAGAAAAAGATAAGTAAACTGGACTTCATCAAAATTTAAAACTTTTGTGCAATCAAAGGACAACCTGCAGAATGGAAGGAAATATTTCAAATAATATATTTGATAAGGGATCAATATCCAGAATATATAAAGAATTCCTACAACTCAACAATAAATAAACAACCCAATTAAAAAATATTCAAAGGACTTACGTAGACATTTTCCCAAAGAAGATATACAAATGGCCATCAAGCACATAAAAGATGCTCAACATCACTGATTACTAAGGAAATCAAAACCACAATAAGATACTACTTCATACCCATTAAGATGGCAATTATCAAAAAAAACAGGAAATATACATTTTGGTGAGGATGTAGCCAAATCAGAACTCCTGTGCATTGCTGGTGGACTCTACGGTGGTATAGTCATGGTGGAAAAAGAGTACAGTGGCTCCTAAAAAAATTGGAACATAGAATTACCCTGTGAGTCATCAAGTCCACTTCTGGGTTTAAACCCATAAGAATTGAAAGCAGGGACTTCAACAGATATTTGCAAATTCACTTGCATAGCAGCATTATTCATGATAGCCAAAAGGTGGAAGCATTCATTGACAGAGGAATGGATAAACAAAATGTGGTACAGACATACAGTGGAATATTACTTAGCCTTAAAAAGAGACATTCTGACACATGCTACGATATGGATGAGCCTTGACATAAGGCTAAGTGAAAGAAGCTGGATACAAAAAACACTGCATGATTCCACTTATATGAGATATCTAGAATGTCATTTTCATAGAAACCAGAAGTAGAATGATGGTTCCCAGGTACTGGGAGGATAGAGTAATGAAGAGCTATTGTTTAATGGGTACAGAGTTTCAGTTTGGGAAGTTGAAAAGGAAAAAGCTCTAGAGATGATGGATGGTGGTGACGGTTGTACAATCAGGTGATTGTATTTAGTGACGCTGAACTATGCACTTAGAAATCGTTAAAATGGCAAATTTTATGCTATGTATGTTTTTCCACAATAAAAATTAAAAGCTTTTTTAAAATTAAAAGCTTTAGAAGAATTAATTAAAATAAAAGTAATTAAAGCTATTTTAAAATTAAAGCTAAAATGAATTCTTCCTCAATCCCAATAACTATGTGCCAGAAGTGCTATTTCTGCTCTGATTATTCTACCTACTGTGAGTATCCATGTGTGACTTTTTGGCTAGTTCATAAAATAAACTTGAATGAGCATTAATTTTTTCTAATACTCTTCCTCTATCCACAAGCTACATTCTACACCCTGCAACTTGCAGACCACACGTGCTACAGATGAATCATTTTTCTGCTCCCTCTCCTAATTCCCTCTAGTATTGGTGTTTTATATACTACCTCCTGCTGCTCTAGGTCCAATCTCTGTGCAGTTTGATGTCTTGGTATTGGTAACTCTTGACCTGGGTAAGCAAAAAACACAGTGAAATTGATGTTTTGTCTTTGGAGATTACCCTGGGATAGGAGCATCTTTGGGTGGTCCATCCATCTTCATTCATTCCTGTTAAAAATGTTAACAAGTGTTTTCTGGCTTAGGACTTTAAAGAAGGAGAATTTTATTAATTTATCAGCTGAATCGGCATTTCAGCGGCTTATGAAGCATTTGCCATTGTTTGGGGTTACAGTGATGATAACATGAAACACTTAATGAAAAACTTTCACAAAACCTGGTCTCTTTCCAACAGCTTAGCTATGTGAGAAGAGCTTTTGTAACATGACAACTCTAAAAATAAAACCGTTTTCAAGTTAAAGCTGTCCTTCCAGTTGCTGTTTCAAACTTTATCCCAAGAACTGAGGTACCATTCAGTAAAAGGCAACTCAACAATAAGGCTAAGTACTTGTTTTATGTTTTCTCGTGATGAATTTATTTCTTGTCTTTGAGTTTACAATGACAGCTATAAAAGTGATTGTCAATAATATTAGTATAATTTAATTTCTAATAGAATGAGTTTTCTATGTATGTGTTAGAGCTACGATATTCTTTTTTTTTTTTTTTTTTTGGAGATGGAGTCTCACCCTGTCACCTCGGCTCAATGCAACCTCCACCTCCTGGGCTCAAATGGTTCCCCTTGCTCAGCCTCCCAAGTAGCTGGGATTACAGGCGCCCGCCACCACACCCATTTAATTTGTGTATTTTTAGTAGAGACAGAGTTTCACCATGTTGGCCAGGCTGGTCTCGAACTCCTGACCTCGTGATTTGCCTGCCTCAGCCTCCCAAAGTGTTGTGATTACAGGTGTGAGCCACCATGCCTGGCTGTAATCCTCTTGCCTCAGCCTCCCGAGTAGCTGGAATTACAGGTGTGTGCCACCACACCCAGCTAATTTTTGTATTTTTAGTGGAGACGGGGTTTCACCATGTTGGCCAGGATGGTCTCTCTCTCAACATGGTGATCTGCTTGCCTCAGCCTCCCAAAGTACTGGGATTACAGGCGTGAGCCACTGCACCTGGCTGATATTCTTAATAATATCAGAATTTGTTTTGTGCTCTATGATGATGATACTAGTGAACTGTATTCTCAGCAATATTTTGCAATGCCTCACACTATTAATACACTTATTTGTGTTTTTGGCTGGGTGCGGTGGCTCACATCTGTAATCTCAGCACTTTTGGAGTCTGAGACAGGTGGATCACTCAAGCTCAGGAGTTCGAGACCAGCCTGAGCAACATGGCGAAAGCCCATCTCTACTAAAAATACAAAAATTAGCCAAGTGCGGTGGTGCATGCCTCTAGTCCCAGCTACTTGGGAGGCTGAGGTGGGAGGATCACTTGAGCCTAGAGGTGAAGGCTGCAGTGAACCGAGATTGCGCCACTGCACTCCAGCCTGGGCGACAGAGCTGGACCCTGTCTCAGGAAAAAAAAAAACAAAAAATCAACTATGTGCCATGCACTGGGAAGACAAAAAGATAAAATCACTCCTGCATTTAAGAGGCTCACCTCTCTCAGAGGGAAAAAATAGAAACAATGAGAGGTAATGACTATGTACAATGGGAGTGAGACAGCAATCTCCAACCGGCCTGTGCACCGGGGTGGACCCTCGGCAAGTTCACGCCCTTCGCACTGGGGAGGAGCCCGGCCCCACCTCTTTCTGGGTGGAATCTAGGATTCAAATTGGCAGACAGGAAGGGCACCAGCAGGGACTCTGGCTTCGCAGAGGGTCCCTTTTCCTCCCTTTTTTCCTTTTCACCCAATAAAACCCTGCTTTACTCACCCTTCAAACCGTCTGCAAGCCTACATTTTCGTGGCCGTGGGACGGACAAGGACCCCGTGGTTGGCTGAACTAAGGGAAAGTCCTGTAACAGGAACAGGGAAGGAGGTCTGCTGAGGGTCCGGAGATCTTGCAGCTGAACTAAGGGAAAGTCCTGCAACAGGAGCATGGAGGGAGGTCTCTGCTGAGGGTCCGGAGATCTTGCACAAGAGGCAGGGCTTCAGGTCAGACTTGCAGGATGAGTAGGTGATGGGCAGGGGCGTGGGAGTGGGGAGGGGAGGAAGTGGAAACAGCCCGGATCCAGGAAAGAGGCAGAAGGCAAATGCCAGGAAAACGCACATCATTCCCTGGAGCTGGAGGGAGAAGACCAGCACACAAGAGCCGGAGAGTACAAATAGGAGACGAAACGTGTGCTGGATCCTGGTCACAAAGGAGCTGCTGTTCCCTTCGAAGGAGGGGACACTACCTTGAAAAGCTACAGAGGGATTTCAAGCAGAGAAGAGCTGCAACCTGATGTGTCAATCTGAAGAGCACTCTTTGTCATTTATGAGTAAGGAAACGTTGGAACTTTAAGAGACACAGAGCGACGTCTGCATACTTCCTTTTGTATGGCAACTTCCTGTATTAAGGGTGAGAAACCCTTAATACAGATTCTCATGATTATGTGTATTGTGAGGTGGTATTGGGGTTCTCAAAGGAGAGGGTTATTCCTGGTTGTTAGTTGTTTTTTAAATTTTTGTTTCTTTTAAAATTATTTGTTTTGGGGCCGGGCGCGGTGGCTCACGCCTGTAATCCCAGCACTTTGGGAGGCCGAGGCGGGCGGATCATGAGGTCAGGAGATCGAGACCATCCTGGCTAACACGGTGAAACCCCGTCTCTACTAAAAATACAAAAAATTAGCCGGGCGTGGTGGCGGGCGCCTGTAGTCCCAGCTACTCGGGAGGCTGAGGCAGGAGAATGGCGTGAACCCGGGAGGCGGAGCTTGCAGTGAGCCGAGATGGCGCCACTGCACTCCAGCCTGGGAGACAGAGCCAGACTCCGTCTCAAAAAAAAAAAAAATTTGTTTTGGTTTTTCTGTTTTTTGTTTGTTGCTGGTTTTTTAGAGGTGGGTCTCACTATGTTGCCCAGGCTGGTCTGGAATTCCTGGGCTCAAGCCATCCTCCCCACTCAGACTCCCGAGTAGCTGGGACCACAGGTGCACACCATTGCTCCTGGCTTTGGTGCTGCTTTTTATTAAGGGGATTTTCAAGTGTATACAAAATCAGACAAAACTGAATAATGTACGCTTATGTCCCCCTCACCACTCTCAACAACCAGCATCCTCTGGCCTTTACACTGGAAACTGTAAAGATAAAGTCTCCTCAGCATTGTTTAGAATTATGACAGATGAAATCTCTCAGGCAGTTCCCTGGTAATTAGATAAAATAAACTCTGCATTTCCCTGGTAATCAGATGACCACCCCCGGCTACCAACAGCCCCACCCGAGTACTACTTCCTAGAGTACTGTACTTGCCCTGGGCTAGGCAAAGCTGGGCTTCCAGAGCCTGTCAAAACAGTGGGCGCGACAGACTTCCTCAGAAATGCTCTGTGTTCTGCCTTGATCTTTCACATTTGTTGCTTCCTCTCAACACTGAACGTTTGCTTGGGTCAGGGGTGAATAAACCATGGGTGAATTCAGGCCTCAAACTCCTTGGGAGGAAGCAGAGTTCATGCCAGACAGAAAGGAGGCGGGGGTTCCCCCAGTTCAAGGTGCACACAGCTGGGACCTGGGGTACACAGCACCTCCTTCACTCCTCTGCCGTCTCCGCAGTCGGACCTGGCCAAGAGGACTCTGCACTCTGCACTCAGCCTCCTGATTCAAAACTCCACATAGGGAGTGGCCAGCATAGCTTGATTACTGTCTATTGAGTGTTCATCATATGCCAGGTATTGTGTCAACGCTGTCAATCCTCATAATTGCCCTTTGAGTTAAGTCTTCTTAACACCTTTACACAGATGGGGAAACTGAGGCTTTAGAGTTTAAGCAGTTTGTCCCAAGCTACATAGACTGTAAGTGGCAGAGCTAGAATTTGAACCCAGGTCTGACTGACTTCAAAGCCCAATACCTATTTGGTGGATGGAAACGAGAGGTTCATTGGCTGAGCGTGGTGGCTCATGCCTGTAATCCCAGCACTTCGGGAGGCCAAGGCAGGCAGATCATGAGGTCAGGAGATCAAGACCATCCTGGCTAATGCGGTGAAACCCCGTTTCTACTAAAAATACAAAAATTAGCCGGGCGTGGTGGCACACACCTGTAGTCCCAGCTACTCAGGAGGCTGAGGCAGGAGAATTGCTTGAACCCGGGAGGTGGAGGTTGCAGTGAGCTGAGATCATGCCATTGCACTCCCACCTGGGCAACAGAGCAAGACTCCGTCTCAAAAAAAAAAAAAAAAAAAAAAGATGAGAGGTTCAGCAGAAAGACCACAGTGTCCTGACACTACTATTTGTGTGCAGTTTCATTGTGTGTTTGTCTGTCTTGATCCAGGCTATTTCAATGCTGAGTGGCTTTAAAACTCCCAGCTGAAACCATGTACATACACATGGGAATTCGTCTCAACAGTGCAACTGGAACTGTATTTCTGCATGTTGTCATTGATATTTGAATAGTCATCCGGCAGGTTTGCATTCATGATCTCATTTGTGTCTCTGGAACTGAATTAGGTTAATGTATTCCTGGAACCCAACATGGAGACTTTAAAAGGTAAAATGCATACAAAATAGGACAATGTCCATTGATGATAATTCTACACCAAAGATTTTCAGTCAAACCTATGTCAGATTCTTCTCTGGACAAACTCAGAACTCTCCATGCCTTAGATTAGCAGCCTTCCGTTCTGCCCTGTGCTGGAACACCCTGGCTCATGAGAACAGGAGCACGCAGGATCCCAGCCCTGCATTCAGGGGAGTCATGTTACTTGGCCAAGATGGATGGGTTGAGCATCCCCTATCTGAGACGCTTGGGACCAGAAGTGTTTTGGATTTTGGACTTTGGAATATTTGCATATGCATAATGAGAGATCTTGGGATGGTACCCATGTCTAAACACAAATTCCTTTATGTTTCACGTACACCTTCTAAACAGAGACTCAAGCGTCATTTTATGCAATATTTTTAGTAATTTCATGCATGAAACCAAGTTTTTTAAAAATTATTTTTACTTTTATAGATTTGGGAGCTACAACTGTAGTTACCTTACATGGCTATATAGCATAGTGGTGAAATGTGGGCTTTTAGAGAAACCCTCACTAGATGAGTGCATGTTGTCCCTAATAGGTGATTCTTTGTCTCTCACCCTGCCTACCCTCCTACCTTTTTGAGTCTCTGATGTCTATTATCCCACTCTCTATGTCCATGTGTACATGTTATTTAGCTCGCACTTAGAAGTGAGAACATGTGATATTTGACTTTCTGTTTCTGTTATATTTCACTTAAGATAGCAGCCTCCAGTTCTATCCATGCTGCTGCAAGAGACATGATTTCATTCTTTTTTATGGCTGACTAGTATTCCATGGAGTATACATCACATTTTCTTCACTCAATCCTCCACTGATCAACACTTAGGTTGATTCTCTATGTTTGCTATTGTGCATTGATTGCATTTTGACTGCGACTCATCCCATGAGGGTGGGTGTGAAATTTTCCACTTGTATCATGTTGGCACTCAAAAAGTTTCAGATTCTGGAACATTTTGGATTTTGGATGTTCGGAATAGAGATACTCAACCTCTATTTACACCATGTGTATTAGTTTCCTAGGCTACCATGGCAAAGTACCACAAAGTGTGTGGCTTTAAACAATAGAAATGTATTCTCTTCTAGTTCTGGAGGCCAGAAATCTGGAACCGGGGTCAGCAGAGCTATGTTTCCTCTGAGATCCTGGGTAGAAGTCTTCTTTACCTCTTCCTAGCTTCTGATGGGGGCGTCAATCCCTGCCACTCCTTGGTTTGCAGACATGTTGCTCTAATCTCCACCTCCAGAGTCACGTGGCATTCTTGGTGGGTGTGTCTGTCTGTGTCTCTTCTCCTCCTCTTATAAGGACACTAGTTGTATTAAGAGCCCATCCCACTCCAGTATGACCTCATTTTAACTAATTATATCTGCAATTACCCTATTTCCAAATAAGGCCACATTCTGAGCTTCTGGGAGTTAAGATTTCAACATATCTTTTTGAGGACACAATTCAAATTATAACACTATGGAAATCAGCAAACACTACAAATCAGGGCTTTAAGAAAAATAATTAAAATGTAGAATTTTTTAGAATTGGTTTCCAACACATCAGTGTGTTTGTCTGTCATATGACATCAGGACAGGGCCACTCACCTCAAATATCACTTTTCCATGGGAATTTTTCATCATAAATTTCCACATACTCCAAATGGACTATATGCTGTCTGTCAGAGTAAGATTTAAAGGTGACAACATGCTAGTTAGGATTTACCAGCCATTTCTCAGCCTTTTAAACATTTCTTATATGTGTTTCCACTATAGAAAACTTTAAAAATATGGAAGAGTAGAAAGAGAAGTTTAAAAAATTCATTCATAGTTTCATCATCCAAGGAGAGAGCTATTAATAATCCTTGAAAAATTTTCTTCAAAAATATTTTTGGAACTTTTTCTCACTTTTTCTTTTGCCATTTATATTTTTTCTTTTGTGATTAACCTGTTTGAGAACTTTGGCTTTTTTTCCTAATGCTTTTTATTATATATATATTTTAAATGTATGAGTAATACATGAACCCACTTTCAGTTAAAACAGTAAGATAAGCAAAATCCATCTTGACCACCGCCTCAATACCAGTCTTTCCCTCTGGAGGTAGACACTGTTACTAGTTTCAGGTAGATCCTTCCAGACCCTTTTCAATGCATTTTATGCGTTAATATTTTTGTTCATACATAAACCATATCATATGATGTATTTCTATGCCATAGTTTACTCCGCCCCCACTCACTAAATCGTATGTCCTTGACAACCTTTCATATTAGATTTAACTTGTTCTCTTTAACTGCTGCAACATATTTCATGCTATAAATAAGTCACAATTTATGTCATTGTTCTCCTGTTGCTGATTTTTAGATTGGTTTTGATCTTTCATGATTGCAGTTATGAAGCAATGAATGTCCTTTTACATGACTCTTTGTGCCCATGTACAAGCGTTTCTCTAGGATAAATGACAAGAAGCAGAATTTTTAACTTGAAGAGTATTTATAATTTCAATATCATGCCAAATCCCCTTTAAAGTAATACCAATACACCCTTCTACTCTATCCATTTCTCCACATCCTAACCAATATAAACATTATATTCTTTTAAAAGTTTGTTCATCTGATAGGAAAAACATGGCATTTTTCTGCTGCCGTTTTGGTTTGCATTTTTAAGAGACTGCTAGTGAGGTTTACTGGCTGCTTAATATCTGTCTCGGTTTGGTCAATTTCAGTGGGTCTTCATGCATATGGAACCCATCAGCCCCTCTTAATGGCCTAATCTGCAGTAGGTTTAAAGCTCAGGCCCTTGAAATGAAACTTCATGTATTTAATAATTGGTGCATTATGGAAATAAAGCTAGTGTTTCATCTGAATTCAGATGGTCTCTCAGTTTATTAATGAATCCATTTCTATCACTGATGCTCTTTTAAGGAGGTGTGATAGTGTCTCAGGATTTGAAAAAGTAGGATTGGATTTTTAAAAAATTTGTTAACTTAGAATTTACCGTGGAAAAAAATTCTGCAAAGTCAACTACAGAATCAAAAACTAAGCAAATCATCCAATAGAGTAATCAGCTTCACTGCCTAATCCAGGGGGAACTTCAATCCTAATTTCTAAATTCCTGAAGATTATTTTCAGTTATGTCAAAGAATACAGCAGAAGCTCTCTTAACTGATGTGATTTACATTAGTAGGTAGTTGTATAATTACAAAAGTTAGTAAAAATGGAGAGTTGAGAAATAGAAACAAATGTTAAACATTGTAACTGAAAATAAAAATACACTCATTTATCAATCTTTTATAGGTAGAGCCAAGGTGTTTTCTCTTTATATAGATCTGCTGACCTCATTTCTATGTAGTCTTTTTTTTTTTTTTTTTTTTTTTTGAGACGGAGTTTCGCTCTTGTTGCCCAGGCTAGAGTGCAGTGGTGTGATCTCGGCTCACCCCAACCTCTGCCTCCCGGGTTCAAGTGATTCTCCTGCCTCAGCTTCCCGAGTAGCTGGGATTACAGGCATGTGCCACGACACCCAGCTAATTTTTGTGTGTGTGTGTCCAGCTAATTTTTTTTTGGTATTTTTAGCAGAGATGGAGTTTCACCATGTTGGCCAGGCTGATCTCGGACTCCTGGCCTCAGGTGATCCGCCCACTTCGGCTTCTCAAAGTGCTGGATTACACGCGTGAGCCACCACACCTGGCCCTATGAAGTCTTTCTTGCATAAATCACCCCCATATGTATCATCTCCAATTTTCCAGTGTCTGTTTCTTTAAAGTGGATTGAAAACTTTAATGTATTTGAAAAGCATTCTTTGTATAGTCTAATTAAACAGCATTTCTCAGCCACTTAGCTTTCTTGCCTTTCCTCAAAGCACTCAATGATTATCATTGAAACAGCAAGTCTCTTGTTTTGAACTCATAGTTCCTTGTCTTGCATACAGCTTAATTAAATTACATGTTAACAGTAAGTACAAATGGTGCCAGTGGGTTTTAAGACAACAACTAACTCTGGAAAACTAACATCTCAACTGATGGAAGAAAAAGGAAGTTGGCATATTGGAGAAAAGCCTCCATGCGCCAGTGGCACTAGTCAGATATATTATTGAGGTTATGGGTAGAATAGGTCAACTGGGAGAGTCCATTAAATGGAAATCTTTTTAGCAGAGTTCACTCTGTTATAAAACACACTAAAGTAAATGTCTCGGTGCAAAATTAGTTTTGAAACACTCGAACTGAGAAAAGATAAAATTTAACTAGGCACAGAAAAACAGATTGGGTAATGTGGTCAAAGTGCTTTGATTTCTTGGGTAAAAAAGATACCATGAGGTAAGACATTGAATAGTTCAGCGGGAGAAAGGAAAACTAGACTTAAGTTAGTAGAACTGAGACTTAGTATGTTATTGGGAGATTATTTAGTTACGCTGGAAATAATAAAATTATTTAACCTCTTTGTGCCTCGGTTTCCTCTTGTTAAATTTGAAAAATCATTCCTAATTTACGAAATAGCATCATTATGATAATCAGAATATATATTAGTGGATGACGTGCTCCCAAAGGCAGAGACCACGCCCTGTTCATTTTTTGTGATCCGTGGCATTTGTGTGGAGACGACCCCTTTAAAAATAAAATGTGAACAAGATAATACTTGTCTTCTAAGTATCCACTGGCTGGGAAAATCAACCCATGCATAGGAGGGTTCTCAGGGCCCCCTGCAGTGTTGCCTCACCCACGAGGTGTGAGCTGCACTGGTTGGGAGTTGAATTTTTTGGCACTCAGCACACGACCCATTTCCATAGTGCACATTTCACAAGTGTTTGCTGAACTTTCAAAGGCAAAGTCACCATAGCAGCAGTAATTTTTTCTTTTTCTTTTTTTTTTTTTTTTTTGAGACAGAGTCTTGCTCTCTCACCCAGGCTGGAGTGCAGTGGCATGATGTCCGCTCACTGCAACCTCCACCTCCCAGGTTCAAGCAATTCTTGGGCCTCGGCCTTCTAAGAAGCTGGGATTACAGGCCTGCGCCACCATCCTTGGCTAATTTTTGTATTTTTAGTAGAGATGGAGTTTCGTCATGTTGGCCAGGCTGGTCTCGAATTCCTGGCCTCAAGCAGCCTGCCTCAGCCTCCCAAAGTGCTGGGATTACAGACATGAGCCACCATGCCTGGCTATAGTAGTAATATTTATATTAGACTTAAACTTTGCTGTTGATATAGTCAAAACAGAACTGTTTTAAGTTTCTTTTTCACTATATATATAGATATAGATTTTTTTTTTTTTTGAGATGGAGTCTCACTCTATCTCCCAGGCTGGAGTGTGCAGTGGCACAATCTTGGCTCACTGCAACCTCTGCCTCCCGGGTTCAAGTGATTCTCCTGCCTCAGCCTCCCAAGTAGCTGGGACTACAGGTGCATGCCACTACACACGGCTAATTTTTGTAATTTTAGTAGTGACGGGGTTTCACCATATTAGCCAGGCTGGTCTTGAACTCCAGACTCCAGACCTCGTGATTCACCGCCCCCCCACCTTGGCTTCCCAAAGTGCTGGGATTAGAGGCGTGAGCCACCACACCTGGCGTTTCACTAGATATTTTATTTGTGATGGAAGCTATCTCAGCAGTTCGGATGCCTGGCTGACAGCTGGGTCAGGATTCAGGTGCCATTGCCACTAAAAGCAAGGGCCATAACTTTCACCCAACTAGAGGGATTAATAATTCTTAATGATTTGTACTCGGCCTTCCCCTCCCTTAGTACAGATAATTGAGAATTGACTGTTACTGTTTTATTTCTTTGTTATCTTTTATGTAGTATTATTTGTTATTTATTATATTATTATGTAGTATTATTATCTTAATCAATATAATACTCCAATAAATCCAAATAACCAAATAATAGTATAAATATAGTATCAATAATATAAATACTACTAACAGCCAAATCTTAAGTAATTGAAGAAATAAAAATCACAAAAAAAGATGTTTTATGCTGGACTCCATATTTGGTTGTTTATACCTAACTTTTAGAAAATTCCAGCTTTCCCTTCTCTGAATTTCCTGGGTTTTATCTAAGTTCTCTGATTAAGAACCTCATCTTTTGGCTCCAACTATATATTCCTTGATTGTAGATTTAAATTCCCAGGTGGTTGTCTCACTAGAATCCACTCCTCCCCTCCCCTAAAAGGAGCTGATTAATTAGGTGAAAGCACAGTCCCAATAACTAATTTAACTATGTTCTATTTAAGTAGCAGGCTTTCTCTCTTGTGAGATCCTGCTATTTGATGTAAAGAAAAAAGGCCTTCTTGTCAAAATTTATCAAGACTTTATATATACCGTATAATCTTCAACCTCCTAGTTCTGCTCTGATATGTATTATTTCTTTCCTTCTTCTAATTTTGGGTGTGATTTATTCTTGCTGTTCTAGTTCCTTGAGGTGCATCATTAAGTTGTATATTTGACATACTTTTCTATTTTTTTGATGCAGGCATTTATTGCTATAAACTTCCCTCTTAGCATTGCTTTTGCTGTATCCCACAGGTTTTTGTATGTTGTTTATATTTTCATTTCTTTCAAGAAATTTTTGAATTTTTTTCTTAATGGTTGTTCTGAAGCAGGCTGTTCGAGCTCCCTGTATCTGTACAGTTTCTGAAGTTTCTCTTTTTATTGATTTCTAGTTTGACTCCATTGTAGTCTGATAAGATACTTGATATGATTTTGATTTAAAAAATTTGTTGAGCTGGTCATGGTGACTCATGCCTGTAATCCCATCAATTTGGGAAGCTGAGGCAGGCAGATTGCTTGAGCCCAGAAGTTGGAGACCAGCCTGGGCAACATGGTGAAACCCCATCTCTACAAAACTACAAAAAATTAGCCAGGCATGGTGGTGTGTGCCTGTAGTCCCAGCTATTAGGGAGACTGAGATGGGAGGATCACCTTAACCCGGGGAGGTTGAGGCTGCAATGAGCCATGAGTGCTATTGCACTCCAGTTCTGAGAGACAGAGTGAGACCCTGTCTCAAAAAACAAAAACACAGAGACATATACATAAATACTCTGCAGAATCTATGTATGTATGTATGCATTTCCCTGCAGAGGACAAAGGGCTACATAAGGGACACTACTTGTAAAGTTTTTGTTTTTTGCATGTGTGTTTTTTGGGGATGGAGATTTTTTGAGACTGGCTATCTGGCCAACTTCAAAATTCCACAAGAATGAAGATTGGGTGGCAGGCATTTGACTTGCACAGTTATGCATTTTATTTGGTCACCCAGGTCTTCCACACAACCCATTTCATTAGTCATTAGTCAAATTCAATTTTCTTTTTTTTTTTTTTTTTTTTAGACAGAGTCTCACTCTGTCACCCAGGCTGGTGTGCAGTGGCACAGTTTCAGCTCACTGCAACCTCTGCCTCTCAGGCTTAAGCGATTCTTCTGCCTTATTCTCCCGAGTAGCTGGGACTACAGGTGCGTGCCACCACGCCCAGGTAATTTTTGTATTTTTAGTAGAGACGGGGTTTCACCATGTTGGCCAGGATGGTCTTGAACTCTTGACCTTGTGATCCGCCCGGCTCGGCCTCCCAAAGTGCTGGGATTACAGGTATGAGCAATCGTGCACGGCCATAATTTTTTTGGTTTTCTTTTCTTTTCTAGAAAGAAACAGGGAGGAAGGAAGGAAGGAAGAGAGGAAGGATCTGAAGTAAATATGATAAAACTTTGTCGTAGATACCAAGGTGTTTAAAAATTGCTCTATGTGTTTTTCTTTATACTTATTTCAAACCAAAAAATTATTTCATCTTTGTAAACAATGAGGAAAATACACATAAGTTTTATAAAATGCAACACTCTCATCCAAAGAAGACTAATTTTAACATTTTGATGTATATGAGTCCAGACTGTGCCATACGTTCATTTGCCTACAAGTCCTAATATATAATATGCGTTGGTGCTTTTTGTTGTTGTTTTTTTTGGGGGGATAGTTTTTGAAGAAGCCAAAAATTTTTTAAAAAGTTCTATTTATAAGGTAGATGACTCTGAGGTTTGTTCTTTCTCTGAGTCTGCGTCGGCTCGCCTTCCTTGATTCTACGACGTTTTGTCACAGTTCCACAGTCCCGTTTGTAGATCGTGTGGGTTATTCTTCACCCCACTCTGTCCACTTGGGGGCTATCTCAGTCCATTTCAGATCTGAGACTGGACGGAGGCCGACACCCGTTTCCAAGCCAAGTCTTCCTGTGCGGCCGACATTCATCAGATCACCCTCCCTCTGTGAAACGAGGTCTCCTAACGGCACCCCCTGACTTTTTTTCGACACCCTCATACATTTGGCCCTCGGTATCCACAGTGTTCCCCACCGATGGATTCAATCAACCAGGAATCGAAAATATCCTTTAATAAATTGCATCTGTACTGAACACGTACAGACTTTTCCTTACCATTATTCCCTAAACAACACAGTATAACAATTATTTACATTGCATTAGGTATTAGAAATAATCCAGAGAAGATTTAAAGTACACGGAGGATGTGCGTAGGCGATATGCAAATATTACGCCATTTTATATCAGGGACTTGAGCATTCCGGATTTGGTATCAGCACAGGTCCTGGAACCAATTCCCCAAGGATGTGGAAGGAGGACTGTATCATTCAGGAAAAAGTACAATCCTCTGCGGTGCTGCCCCCAGCTCCCCGCCTTCACCACTGCGCCTGCGCCTCCGAGAACGGACTACAACTCCCAGGATGCACCGCGCCCGCCACCGCCCTGGCAGCCCGACTTCCTGCTGGAGGTTTCCTGTGGCTTGGGGCTCCGCCCGGTATGGGGAAAGTTTAAGGCGGAAGAGCCCTCGTTTGTCGGCTGCTTGGGAAGGTATTGGGAACAGCTTATGTTTTTCTTTCACAAAAAAGCAGCAGGCACCACAGAGAGAGACGGCTGTCTAGTTTTTTGTTGGGCACAGATCTTGCTTCTCTGAACCGGGAGAGAGGTGTTTGCCCCTCGCTGCGGGGGCCCAGCACAGGTGGTTCCTGCTGGCTGTTGTCCTTGGTCACATCGTCCTTGGAGTTGTAGGAATCCCTCCCAGACTGTGGGATAGGCTGACAATCTTGGATATTATTGTAGTGGTGAATGTTTTCTCTTTAAGGGATTTCAGTGGGAAATTTAGAGGAACGTAGAGGAGGCTGTTGGGTATTTTACCCTGCGTGCTTCCTTTAGAGATTGTTCTGAGCTGTGTACTTTGTAATCCTTGGGCCCGGGATTCTTATCATGTTCTTTTCACTGGTTTTGGTTAATGTGTTTGTTCTGAAGACAGTAGCCTGGGGGAATGAGACATCTCCTTAAGGCGCCGCTTGACTGACAGACACCCTTAATGTATGTAATTCATGGAAAACTACAGTCCCCACCTCACCCCCCTAAAAAAGCAAAACATCTGAGTTAGGGGGTGTGTCAGATTGAAATGGTTGAAGAGTGAATGGTGGCTGGAAGGTGAGCAGTTAGAAGTGATTGCAAATTCCTTTCCAGTATATTGTCAAGAAGGATAGGATGGTGGCCTGACACCCAGCTCTGCTATTTATTCTGTTATCTCTTACAGGTTAGTCTCCCTCTTTGAGTCTTAGTTTCTTGTCTGTAAAATAAGGGTGATATTACCGGTCCTCCCTGCTTGTCAGTTTTTGTGAAGGCAGTTCAAAATAAAGTATGTCAACATAGTTCCTAAACCCCACAGTCTCCCAAAAGTGAGTGAGTTGGTAATCAGTAGAGTGTCCAGTGTAATACAAGGCCAGGGCCGCTAGAAATGCCGTTCAAAGCAGACCGCATCTACAAAATACCTTCACAGTAACAGCTAGATTAGTGTTTGATTAAATAATTTAATTAAATAATAATAATTAATAATAGCCTAGCCAAGTTGACACATAAAACTAACCCTCATACCCCAGAAAGTCTTTGCTCAAATATTATGTTTTCCTAACATTTAAAATTGCAGTCCTACACACGTGTACATCTTCCCTAATATTCTCTCTTCCCGTTCCCCTAGCCTGCTTTCCTTTAGCATTTATTATCTTTGAGCCATCCCTGTATTTCTTATCTCTATCTTTATTGTCTTTTTGCCTTCTCTGGAATGTTAGCTCCACGTGGGCGGGGCATTTTTGTCAATGTTGTGAACCGATGAATCCTCAGCACCCAGCACAGCATCTAGCACACAGTGGGCTCCTAAGAAACCTTTGCAAATCACCGAATGAAGCATTAATGTGAGCACTCAGTAAATATTTTTTCAAATGAATTTAGAGCTGGAGTTCATCATGAGATATTCCTGAACAGCCTCAGTAGGAGAGAAGTAGGAAAAGGGTAGAAGCATGGCAGATTATAGGAAAAAAGAGAAAATTTTCAGAGTTTGACATCTAAGAAGTCGAAGATTTAGTGAAGAAGGAGCACAGACTTGGGTGTTAAGTTCCCTTTACCCCTTAGCTGTGTAACTTTGGACAGGTTGTCTAATCTCCTTGAACCTCAGTTTCTTCGTCTGTAAACTGGAAATAGTAATACTTATCATGTAGGGTTGTACCAGTGGTGACAAGTTGATGCGTTTAATGGGCTTAGCATAGGACCTGGCCCACAGTGAGTGTTTATTAAGAGGTGTCTGTTGCCATCACCACCATCATCATCATCATTATTCAATATCAAAGTGGGGAAATTTATAAGAAATCATTGAAGTGTACTAAAAGTAAAATTTTGGGATTTCAGTCTAGCCTGTGAAGTTGGGATGTTAAAAATCTGAAACAATGTTAACACACAAGTTTGGTTTGTACAGAGTGTCAGGGCATAGTCACTTTTGTGCCAGGTCCTTTTATTTTGTTTCAAAACAGAATGAAAATCTTTTCAGCATATATAGCCCATAAAACACAGTAATTGACATCAAATCCTTCAGTTTGCCCCAAGCTGCCACTTAAAGTGCAGAGTTAGTTGGTTCCAGGTCAGAGGTGCCATTCATTTATTTTCAACTGATACATGAGACAAAAAGTGCAGTCTTCACTGCTGATGTTCTGCTCACCAGGATTCTTTTGTTATCTCCTGAGGTTGTTGCTTTGGACAACAAGAGAGATGTTAGGTTCCAGCAAAGCTCCATAAAGACACTGACTCAACTCCACCATAAGTATAACCTGTCACCATAAGTAAAACTGAAAGGATACACCTTATCACCATACTATATATATATACTGTATACTATAGTATATACCTTATCACCATAAGTATAGCTGAAAGGTTTCCTGAAAGATCCAAAGGAATATACACTCACAGAACCCTCGATATGTCGCGTTGCTTGCATATCAATATCATTTCTGGTGTTCTAACAGAACTTTTAGGATTGGTCCCCTCTGATAAATGGTAATTTTCCTGATATGTGGGTTGCGTGTTTATCTGAGAAATGCTAATTCTGGAAAAGTGTGAACCTGGTCATTCTCCATGGCATTATGCCCAGTTTTAACTTCTTGAGAGGAGACATTTGTAGTTAGGAAGAAAAGTAGATTTAATGTAGAGGAAAGATGAAGGCCGGATGTTTGAGGTTTTTCTTCTGGTCTTTCTGTTTCCTGTAGTATCTGAATATAGCTAGTTACAATATTTCATGTCTATTTAAGAAGTGGGCAGATTGTGAAAAAATAGCTGCAGTGTTCTGAGTTATGATCTTGTTTCTTGGTTTCTGTTTTGCTCTGTTGTTATGAGAAATAAATGGGAGGGAGAGCCATAGTTTAAGAATGATAGATTCTTCCAGCAGTTCTTTTTTGACTCAAGGCCATTTCCTCACAGAGGGCTGTGGAATGTGTAGTAACATTCTTCAGAGTGTCATTCAATTCAGGATGGATGGACTTTAGTAGAGAACAGCAGTCACTGTGAACTTACTTCAGGATTACAAGATATTTTCTTACCTAAATGTTAGAGATGGAATCATGAAAGTACCACTGTTCTGTGCTCTGTTTCCCGAATGGAAAAAATACTGATTTAAATTGAATTAGTCTTTGTTCTTCTGTGTATTTATTAGGCATGCTTATAATAAAGAATTAAAACAATACTTTCAAATTTATTATTTATTTATTTTTATTTTTTTGAGGCAGAGTCTCACTTTGTCACCCAGGCTGGAGTGCAGTGGTACAATCATGGCTCACTTCAGCCTTGACCTCTGGGCTTAAGTAATCCTTATGTTTCAGCCTCCCAAGTAGCTGGGACCCACAGATGTGTGCCACCATGCCTAGCTAATTTTTTATTTTTATCTTTTGTAGAGGTGGAGTCTTGCTGTGTTGTCCAGGCTAGTCTTGGCCTGGCCTCAAGTGATCCTCCCACCTTGGCCTCCCAAAGTGCTGGGAGTACAGACATGGGCCACTGTGCTCAGCCCAAATTTATTATTTTCAAATTAAAGATGTACCTAATTGATGTCCTGTCTAAAGCATTAAAATATCTTGATAAATCCTTTCCTAATAGGAATAGCCCAGGATAAAATTGGGTATGACTCTGCCCCTCACTCTTTTTGTTTTGAAGGTAGCATGTCCGAGTCTACGTTCTTTCTGATAATGAATGCATCTGGCAGAGATGCAAGCCTTATCTTCTGTTGTTAACATTGTTTCACAGCCTCAGATCAGTCACTGCACAGCCCCAGGGGGGCCTACACATCAAATTGTGATTTTTTCGAGGAGGAGGCCATGAGTATGTATTCTCATCAGGTTCTTAATAGGAGAGGGGGATAATTCAGGTTCTATTTAAACATTGCTCTTTTTGTTCCTGAGGTATGTCAGCTGAGGTCACTTTGTAAGGAAAATTGAGATTGTGTTCCCAAGATTCCGGCCACTTCCCAAGGACACTGACTCAGTTCTTGTTCTCACCCAATTCAGTATCTCAGCTTCCAGCGGGCAGAACCTTACCTCACCAGATCCTTAACGGGTATCTTTTTCTCCAACTCTAGCCTCCTCCCACATTGCTTAGTTTCCCCATTTTTTCCCAACTCATCTGGAGCCCTGATTTTTTTTTTCTTTTTTTGAGATGGAGTCTCTCTCTTGTCGCCCAGGCTGGAGTGCAGTGGCGCGATCTCGGCTCACTGCAAGCTCCGCCTCCCGGGTTCATGCCATTCTCCTGTCTCAGCCTCCCGAGTAGCTGGGACTACAGGCGCCCGCCACCACGCCCGGCTAATTTTTTGTCTTTTTAGTAGAGACGGGGTTTCACCGCGTTAGCCAGGATGGTCTCGATCTCCTGACCTCGTGATCCGCCCGTCTCGGCCTTCCAAAGTGCTGGGATTAAAGGCGTGAGCCACCGCACCCGTACTTTTTTTTTTTTCTTTTTTTTGAGGCATGGTCTCACTCTTGCCCAGGCTGGAGTGCAGTGGCGCGATCTCGGCTCACTACAAACTCCGCCTCCTGGGTACCAGGGATTCTTCTGCCTCGGCCCCCCAAGTAGCTGGGACTACAGGCGTGCGACACCACGCTTGGCTAATTTTTGTATTTTTAGTAGAGATGGGGTTTCACCATGTTGCCCAGGCTGGTCTCAAACTCCTGAGCTCAGGTGATCTGCCTGCTTCGACCTCCCAGAGTGCTGGGATTACAGGCATGAGCCATGGCGCTCATAGATACAGGTATAGATTGAAGTTCTTTTTTTTCTTTCAGCAAATGGATATCTAATTGTTTCAGTATCATTGGCTGAAAAGACTATTGTTTTTCCACAGAATTTCCTTTAACTTTGTCAAAAATTAATCACCCACGTTTGTGGAAATAATTCTGTTCTCTCTATTCTGTTTCATTAGCCTATTTGTCTATCTCTATGCCAAGATAACACTGTCCTGATTACTGTACCTTTATAATAAACCTTCAAATCAGGTAGTGTTAGCCCTTCAACTTCATTCTCCATTTTAAAAGTTGTTTGGGCTGTTCCAAGTCCTTTAATTTCCCTGTGAATTTTAGAATTAGCTTTTCAATTTATATTAAAAACTTTGCTAAGATTGTAATTGGGATTCTCTTAAATCTGTAGATCAATAGATTTAACTGACATATCAACAATATTGAGTCATATACGTGCATGCCCATGAATAAGGTGTATTTCTCCATTCATTTAGCTCTTTAATTTCTCTGGTAAAAATTTCTTCAATAGGACATCAAAAGCACTAGGCATAAAAAGAATATTGATAAATTGGACTCACCCAAATTAAAAATTCTGCTTTTAATTTTTTTAGTTAAAATTTTATTACTAATATTATTTTTGATGGACAGATCTTAATTTTATACATTTATTGGGTACAATGTGATGCCTTGATATATGTATACAATATGACATGATTAAATCAAGCTAATTAAACATGTCCATCACCTTGCTTACTGTCATTTTTTAGGGTGAGACATTTGAAATTTACCGTGTTATTCTGAAATATATAACACATTATTATGACTCTGGTTACTTTGCTGTGCAATAGATCTCAAAGTCTATTCCCCTTGTCTGTCTGAAACTTGTGCCCTTTGATTAACAGCTCCTCATTCCCTGCATCCTCACCACCCTACCACCTCAACCTCTGGTAACCATCATTCTATTCTCTATGTCTATGAATTTAACTTATTAGATCCACATATAAGTAAGATTATTCAATATTTGTCTTTCTGTGCTTGTTAATTTCACTTAGCATAATGTCCTTCAGATTAATCTATTTTGCCATAAACAGTATTTTGGGACTAAATAATATTCTATTGTATATATATATCTCAGAGACGCTCTCAAGAGAATAAAGAGACTGGGAGATAATATTTGAAAATCATATCTGTTAAAGGATTGGTATCTATGATATTAAAAAAAACTCTCAAAAGCCAACAATAAGAAAGCAAACAACTCAATTAAAAAATGAGCAAAAGATTTGAACGACACTTGTTCAAAGAAAGCCTGTGGATGGCAAATAAGCACATGAAAAGATGCTCAACTTCATTAGTCAGTAGAGAAATGCAAAATTTTTTATGTGTATAAATTTACAGGCACAAGTGCAATTTTGTTATATGCATTCATTACATAGCAGTGAAGTAAAAGCTTTTACAATATCCGTCCCCAAATAATGTGTATTGTACCCATTAAGTAATTTCTCAGGGAAATGCAAATTAAAACCACAAGGAGAAACCACACCTACTGGAATGATAAAAATAAAAAAAATCTGACTATATGCTAAGTGTTGTTTGGATGTGGAGGATCTGGAACTCTTATTCACTGCTGGTGGGAATATAAAACTGTGCAAATACTCTGCAAAACAGTTTTGCAGTTTCTTAAAAATTTAAATGTACACCTGTCATCTGATCTGGCTATTCCATTCTCATATTTAGCCTGGACAAATGAAAGCATATGTCTCTACAAAGACGTGTATTTGAATGTTCGTAGAAGCTTTACTTGTAATAGACCCAAGCTGGAAATAACCCAAATGTCTATCAGCAGGTGAATGGATAAACAAACTGTGGTATATTTAAATAGTACTCAGCAATAACAGGGAGGGAACTATTGGGGCATGCTGCAACATGGATGAATCTCAAAATTATTATGCTGTGTGAGACAAGCAAGGCAAATAAAAACGTACATATTGTATGATTTTCACTTATAAAAATTCTACAAGATGCAAATGCATGTATAACAACAGAAAGGTGGTCTGGGAAGGAGGGGCAAGAGGGAGGGATTTCAAAGGGGCCCTAGAAAGTTTCCAAGGGTGATAGATATGTTCATTATTTTGATTGTGATGATGGTTTTACAAGCATATTCATGTGCCAATACTTATTACACTGTACATACAAAATACTGTCATCCCTCAGTACCCAAGGGGGATTGATTTCAGGACCCTCAAAGATACCAAATTCCATTTGCATATAACCTACACACATCCTCCCATATACTTTAAATCATCTCAAGATTACTGTATTAGTCCGTTTTCATGCTACTGATAAAGACATACCCGAGACTGGGTAATTTATAAAGAAAAAGAACGGACTCACAGTTCCACGTGGCTGTGGAGGCCTCACAATCATGGTGGAAGGTGAAAGGCACGTCTTACATGGTGGCAGGAAAGAGAGAATCAGAATCAAGCGAAAGAGGAAACCCCTTATAAAATCATCAGATCTCGTGAGACTTATTCACTACCACAAGAACAGTATGGGGGAAGCTGCCCCCATGATTCAATGATCTCCCACCAGGTCCCTCCCACAACATGTGGGAATTATGGGAGCTACAATTGAAGATGAGATTTGGGTGGGTGGGGACACAGCCAAACCGTATCAATTACTTATAGTACCAAATACAGTGTAAATGCTACATTACTATACTGTATTGTTTTGGGAATAACGACAAGGGAAAAAAATCTGCACATGATCAGTATAGAGGCAACCATCCATTTTTTTCCAAATACTTTTGATCTGAATTGGTTGAATCCATGGATACAGAACCCATGGATATGGAGGGCCAATTGTATATACAGTTTATTGTTTGTCAATTACAGCTCAATAGTCTTTCTAAATTAAAAAATGTAGCAAGAATAATATACGTATTCCCATCACCCAGCTTCAGTACTTTTCAGCATCCTGCTATTCTCTTTCAAGGAGTTTTTCTGTAAAGGGGAAAGGAGAGATGGTCTGTATCTAGAAAGAGATGTGGAATCACATAAGAATTTTTGTTTTTTATTAAGGTGGGAGACACGACAGCACATCTATATGCTGGGGAGGGGTGAGCGCAAATTGATGCAAGAGTAAGAGGAACTTCCTGAGTCTTTGTGTGGGCAGGACCAGCAGGGATGGTGTCTTGTGTGCAAAGGCAGGAAGGGCCTCAGGGGAGAGGACAGCTCATCCAGACCAGCAGGGAAGACAAAGACATGAACGGGGTTTTCTTAGTATCCCACACAGACTCTTTGTTAATATATCAATGACGACAACCATAGAATAGTTAATAGGCCTTTGTATTCGTTCGTAAGATGAGTCACACAAATCCAGCAGTACTTGAGTTCCTTGGATGAAGTTTTCAACAAGGACACCTTGAGGATCTTGTAGGTATAGATTTCTCTGTATCTCCAGCTAAGGAGTGATGCACCCCCAACCCAACTCTCCTTTGAAGCAATGCTTACTTGGTCTGAATTGATCAATTGGTAGAGATGATAGAAAGTCCTCCACCTGTGTATTCAGTAGAAAATTATACTGTCATTCTATTTTTTTTTCAGTGTTAATGGTATTCTCATAAAAGCTTCCATTCCCTGTCCCCTTGTCGGTACCACCACCATCACTCTAATCACCGTTACCTATGCAACAAAAATAGCAGTAACTACCATTTAATAAGTGGTGCTCTCTGAGGCCAGGAAGTCAGGAGGTCGAGGCTGCAGTGAGCCAGGATTCACCACAGCACTCCAGCTGGGTGACTCTGTCTCAAAAAAAAAAAAGGAGGGCTGGGCTCCGCCATCTCACTTCTCTTCACAACAGCCACATGGGGTCATGTATGACTGTATCAGCCCCTGTTAACATTTGTGGAAAGTTAGGCTTACAGAATTAGGCTACTGCCTATTGTCACATCTCAGAAGCATCAGAGCCAGAATTGAAATCCAAGTCCAGGTGACTCCAAAGTACTTGCCCTTAACAATAATTTTCTGTCATACCACCTCCCTTTATGAGTGAGAATTTTTCCTGGCAAGAGTAGATATATGCATGTTTTCCCTCCAATTCTCATTTATTGTAAAGACCACATTTTGACAATAATAAAGGAACTCAGAAGAATGAAAATAATTCACAGTTCCAACATCCTCTTGCAGCAACTGTTTTCATTTTTCTCCATTTCCTTTTGACCCGTATCCATACATACATCATTTACATAGTTGTAAATGCAATTTTATTTTCTGCTTTTATGCTTAATGTTATACCAAACATTTTTCTTTTTGCTATTTAGTCTTTGATAGATGCACAGTATTCCATGTTGTTTATGTGCCACAGTTTAAACAATCACCCACGATGGACAGCAATTTGTTTCCAGTTTCTTAGTTTTTAAACTATGCTGCAACAAACCATTTCGTTTTCCTCCCATCTTTTGTCATTTTTTTCTTAGAATAAATTCCCAAGAGTGAGATGACGGAACAAGCATTTGAACATGTTTATGGATTTAATACTTTAAAAGGAAGTGAAATTGGGAGAGTTTGTATCTTACATCACAGTGGATAACTTTCACAGCTGGCAAGAACAGATTAACTACATGAATTATCGTTTAGGTGGACCAAAATTAAAGACAAATGGGGAGTGACTGCTAAGGGGGACAGGGTGTCTTTTTGAGGTGATGAAATGTTCTGGAATACGATAGCAGTCATGGTTGCACGACTTTGCCAATGTGCTAAGAACACTGAATTGTATGTATACTTTAAAAGGATGGATTTTGTGGTATGTGAATTATATCTCAATAAAGCTGTTATTAAAAATTAAAGAAAAAATTTCAGACACTCCTAGTAATAGTTTTAACCATTGCTATAGGAGAATTCTAGATTTGTTTTTTTATGTGGAGGCAGCATATCAATAGTGTTTAAGAGCATAAAACCATCAGAGTTTGAATTGTAGGGTCATGACTTATCTGCTCTGTGGCCCTTGGCAAGTGCTATAGGTTGGGTCCTCCCAAAGCCAGTGCTGAGACAGAGTTTGGGGTGCAGGGTGTTTGTTAAGGATCAACACAGGACAGGCCAATGGCGGAAGCAGGACTGGGCAGAGAAAGGGGTGGAAATGAGATGCAGGCCCGACGCAGCTGCGCCAGCCCTGCAGGAGCTCCAGACAGTCAGTGCTCCTGCACTGGACTGAAACGGCCAGACCTTTATACACTGGCCTGGCTCCGAAGCGTGCTGTGGTGCGGCCCAGGAAGGGCATTAATGAGGGGCTCTGTATCTAGGGCTGACCTGAACAGCTGGCAGCAGAAGGCCCACTGCATTGGTCACCTCCCCACAGCCGGGCAACAAGGCCAGGTCTGACCAGGGGTCTGGGTGGCACTTCTTTGTGTCTACCATAGCAAGTTGCTTTCACTGCTTTTGCCTCTGTTTCCTCACCTGCAAAATTGAGATGATAACAGTATCTACCACTTAAGATTGCTAGAAAATTAAATGCAATAACACATATGAAGTACTTAGAGCAGTGCCTGTCATATAATAAATGTTCAAAACATACTAGCTATTGTTATTTTACTTTATTTATTTATTTATTTTTTTTGAGATAGAGTCTTGCTCTGTCACCCAGGCTGGAGTGCAGTGGCATGATCTTGGCTCATTGAAACCTCCTCCTCCCAGGTTCAAGCGATTCTCCTGCCTCAACTGCCCAAGTAGCTGGGACTATAGGCGCCTGCCACTGTGCCTGGCTAATTTTTGTATTTTTAGTAGAGATGGGGTTTCACCATATTGGCCAGGCTGTCTTGAACTCCTGACCTTGTGATCCGCCCACTTCAGCCTCCCAAAGTGCTGGGATTACAGGCATGAGCCACCGCACCCAGCCTGCTGTTGTTACTTTATTATTACTCTACTGAATAATATAGTCAGCTTTGCCCAGTCTATGCTAAAGAATTACCATGCAGCATATATACTGAGAAGTCTGTGAAGACTTAAAAAAAAGAGACTTTATTTTTTGAAGCAGTTTTAAGTTCACAGCAAAATTGAGCCCTTGCTCCCATACATGCACAGCCTCCTTCACTCTTCTGAAGACTTTTAAGAAAAGGAATGACAGCTCTCTGAGATGACTTATGTGTATGTTGAGGCCAGAATTGCCAGGACCTACAAGGAGCGAGGTGAATGATGTTGTGAAAGCTTCCCTGCCTCCAATTCTCCATGATCTGCCTATTCCTGACAGATATTTCTGTCTCATTCAATTATTCTTGGTTATTAACAGCTTTACATGGTGAGGATGGGTTTATTGAACCCTGCCTACTGTCACAATTAACTGAGAGCAGAACCTCAAATTGAGGAAGTGAGTTTTGATAAATAGATTAGGGTTCTAGAATGGGAGGAGCTGCCTAGTGCAGGGATTCGGAGCAGTGGGCCTGGCTGTCACAAAGAACAGAGCATGTGCCTAGGGATGACCAAATACAGTTCTAGAGAAGGAAAGATAGCCTAGATTTTTACTTTTAAGTTTTTGGGTCAATTTCAATGTCATCCACATTGGATAGCAGAAAATTTTTCTGTTGAAGCAGCTGTTTTTTAAAAAATTATACCACAAAATGGACTTTTCATGGGGGTGTGTGCTTTCTATGAATTTTAATACATGTATAAGTTCATCCCTACAAACCATCCCCACAAACAGGATACAGAACAATTCCACTACTAGAAAAAATTCCCTGTTCCCTATCCTTGTGGACACACTAAGCTTTCATAACCATGGATCTCTTCTCCAACACTACAGCTCAAGACAGCTCTGCTTTTAATAATCTTGCCTTTTATCTTGATGGAGTTTGCAAAAAAAATGTGGGCTTTGTCCCCAAACAACAGAATATACATTATTCTCTTTGCCACATGGCACTTACTCTAAAATTGATCATATAATTGGAAGTAAAACACTCCTCAGCAAATGCAAAAGAACTGCAATCATAACAAACAGTCTCTCAGACCATAGCACCATCAGATTAGAACTCAATATTAAGAAATTCACTCAAAACTACACAACTACATGGAAACTGAACAACCTGCTCCTGAATGACTCTTGGGTAAATGACGAAATTAAGACAGAAATCAAGACGTTCTTTGAAACTAGTGAGAATAAAGATAGAACATACCAGAATCTCTGGGATGCAGCTAAAGCAGTGTTAAGAGGGAAATTTATAGTACTAAATGCCTATATTAAAAAGCTAGAAAGATCTCAAGTTAACAACCTAACATTACAACTAAAAGGACTAGAGAAACAAGAGCAAACGAACCCCAAAGCTAGCAGAAGACAAGAAATAACCAAGATCAAAGCTGAACTGAAGGAGATAGAGACACAAAAATCCCTTCAAAAATTAACAAATCCAGGATCTGGTTTTTTAAAAAAATTAATAGGCCACTAGCTAGACTAATAAAGAAGAAAAGAGATAAGATTCAAATACACATAATCAGAAATTATAAGGGGGATATCACCACTTATTCCACAGAAATACAATTATCAGAGAATACCATAAACACCTTTATGCATGTAAACTGGACAATCTAGAAGAAATGGATCAATTCCTGGACACATACACCCGCTCAAGACTCAACCAGGAAGAAATTGAATCCCCGAATAGTCCAATAACAAGTTCTGAAATTGAGGCAGTAATAAATAGCCTACCAACCAAGAAAAGCCTAGGACCAGACAGATTCACAGCTGAGAATTCTCCCAGAGGTACAAAGAAGAGCTGGCACCATTTCTACTGAAACTATTCCAAAAAATTAAAAAGGAAGGATTCCTCCTTGACTCATTCAATGAGACCAGCATCATCCTGATACCAAAACCTGGCAGAGATATAACACAAAAAGAATACTTCAGGGCAATATCCTTGATGAACATCGATGCAAAAATCCTCAATAAAATACTGGCAAACCGAATCCAGCAGCATGTAAAAAGGCTTATCCACCACAATCAAGTAGGCTTCATCCCTGGAATGCAAGGTTGATTCAACATATGCAAATCAATAACTGCGATTCATCACATAAACAGAACTAAAGGCAAAAACCACATGATTATCTCAATAGATGCAGAAAAGGCCTTTGATAAAATTCAACATCTCCTCATGTTAAAAACTCTTAATAAACTAGGTATTGAAGGAACATACCTCAAAATAATAAGAGCCATATACGACAAAACCACAGCCAATGTCATGCTGAATGGGCAAAAACTGGATGCATTCCCCTTGAAAGTTGACATAAGGATGCCCTTTCTCACCACTCCTATTCAATATAGTATTGGAAGTTCTGGATAAGGCATTCAGGCAAGAGAAAGAAGTAAAACATATTCAAATAGGAAGAGAGGAAGTCAAACTATCTCTGTTTGCAGATGACAAGATTGTGTATTTAGAAAACCCCTTTGTCTCAGCCCAAAACCTTCTTAAGCTGATACGCAACTTCAGCAAACTCTCAGGATACAAAATCTATGTGCAAAAATCACTAGCATTCCTATACGCCAACAACAGGAAAGCAGAGAGGCAAACCGTGAATGAACTCCCATTCACAATTGCCACAAAAAGAATAAAATACCTAGGAATACAGCTAACAAGGGAAGTGAAGGACCTCTTCAAGGAGAGCTATAAACCACTGCTCAAAGAAATCAGAGAGGACACAAACAAATGGAAAAAATTCCATGCTCATGGATAAGAAGAATCAGTATCATGAAAATGGCCATACTGTCCAAAGAAATTTATAGAGTCATTGCTATCCCCATTAAACTACCATTGACATTCTTCACAGAATTAGAAAAAAACTATTTTAAAATTCACATGGAACCAAAAAAGAGCCTGAATAGCCAAGACAATCCTAAGCAAAAAGAACGAAGCTGGAGGCATCATGCTACCTGACTCCAAACTATGCTAAAGACTACAGTAACCAAAACAGAATGGTATTGGTATAAGAATAGATACATAGACCAATGGAACAGAATTGAGAACCCAGAAATAAAACTGCACACCTACAATCATCTGATCTCCAGCAAACCTGACCAAAACAAGCAATGGGGAAAGGAATCCCTATTTAATAAATGGTGCTGGGAGAACTGGCTAGCCATATGCAGAAAATTGAAACTGGACCCCTTCCTTACACCATTTACAAAAATCCACTCAAGATGGATTAAAGACTTAAATGTAAAATCCCAAGACTATAAAAACCCTGGAAAAAAATCTAGGTAATACCATTCAGCACATAGGCGCAAGCAAAGATTTCATGATGAAGATGCTAAAAGCAATTGTAACAAAAGCAAAACTTGACAAATGGGATCTAATTAAACTAAAGAGTTTCTGCATAGCAAAAGAAACTATCATCAGAGTCAACAGATAACCTTTGGAATGGGAGAACATTTTTGAAATCTATACATCTGACAAAGGTCTAACGTCCAACATATACAAGGTACTTAAACAAATTTACAAGAAACAAACAAACAGCTCAATTAAAAAGTGAGCAAAGGACATGAACAGACATTTCTCAAAAGAAGACATACATGCAGCCAACAAACGTATGAACAAAAGCCCAACATCACTGATTGTTAGAGAAATGTAAATCAAAACCAAAAAATCCAATCAAAATTCTCACTGGTGTGAGATACCATCTCACACCAGTCAGAATGGCTCTCATTGAAAAGTAAAAAACAAAAACAAAAACAAAACCCACAACAGATGCTGGTAAGGTTGTGGAGAAAAAAGAACGGTTTTTACACTGTTAGTGGGAGTGTAAAATAGTTCAACCATTGTGGAAGACAGTGTGGTGATTCCTCAAAGACCTAAAGGCAGAAATACCCAGCAATTGACCCAGCAATCTCATTACTGAGTATATACTCAAATAAATATAAATCATTCTATTATAAAGATACATGCATGTGTATGTTCATTGTAGCACTATTCACAATAGCAAAGACATGGAATCAACCTAAATTCCCATCAATGATAGACTGGATAAAGAAAATGTGGTACATATACACCATGGAATACTATGCAGCCATAAAGAGAAATGAGATCATGTCCTTTGCAGGGACATGGATGGAGCTGGAAGCCATTATCCTCAGCAAACTAACACAGGAACAGAAAACCAAATACTGCATGTTCTCACTTATAAGTGGGAGCTGAATGATGAGAATACATGGACACATGGGGTGGGGGGAACAACACACACTGGGGCTAATCAGGAAGAATAACTAATGGATGCTTCACATAATACCTAAGTGATGGGATGATCTGTGCAGGTGATCACCGTGGCACATGTTTACCTATGTAACAAACCTGCACATCCTGCACATGTACCCCTGATCTTAAAAGTTGGAAGAAACAAAAATATGAGCTTTGGAGTTGGAAAGAAATACTCCCTCCTTCCCTGCTATGTATGTGTATGTGATTCTGGGAGATTAACTTAATGAGATGTGGAAAGAAAAGGTAACATATGCATAGGGTCTCCTCTTCTGAGGGTAAGTCTGTCTTCGCCATCTTACTAACTGGGACTTGCTCAGCAGATCATGGTAAAGCTAAGGAGGTGGGAGGAGGTTAGACTAGTATGCTTTACAGTGGAAGGAGCAGAATGTTACTTGGAGAAAGAAAGTGAAAAAATTTTGCAGGTGAAATGAGAGAGATAAAATGAAAAAGAGCCATCATAGGCTGAGTAACTTTCCTAAGGTCATACAGATATGTCCTGGCAGAGCCAGGATTCTAATCCAGATGGTCTTGTTCCTGCTCTTGTGTTCTTGACTACTTTATTTTACCATACAATGGTAACACATGGAAACAATGAATGCATGTTGTCTTTAAATTTTACATTGCACTTGATTAGATTATCCCGACACTTTACTTTCTTTACAAAAAATATCAATTTAAACATTTTACTTAAATTTCTAAAATTTAAATAATGCAAACAGGCATTTATCATTACAAAATGTCCTTTTGAAGATTGAGGGTTTATAGCTCCCTCTCTATTCTCTGCATCTTGAACAAACACAACTCTGCCAAGTTAAGCCACAATACTTCTCTTGAGAAGGTCCAAATGAAGCATCTGTTTGCTTTTATAAGCATATGCAAAGCATTGTGGAAAAACCATTTTGCTAGTCTGTATGATTTTGGTATCATATTGTTTTTTATTTCTAGAGTTTGCCCTTTTTTTTCTTACTTTTACTCAACTTTGTTTTATAATCATGGTTCCAAAATAAAGTGTACAAAACAAGGTGTATTCAGAGGAGTCTAGTTTCTATCACTCACCTCTACCTGGTTCTTCAGTTGCTCCTGTAGGGTAATAATTTTGTTTATAATTGTGTAGTTTATTCTTCCATTTAGAAACATATATAAGATATATTTCTACCTTGCTTTAGTCACACTATATTCTGGAGATTATACCATAGAAATGTATGAAGATACTCTTTATTTAAAGGGTATTTTTGAGGAGAAAAACATGGTGTGCAGAAATTCATATAAAGTAAGTTTTCTGACCACATTGAATTAAACAAGAAAGTAGTAACAGAAATATATCTGGAAAGAATTCTAAATATTTGAATATTAATCAACACACTTCTAAATAACCCATGAGTAAAGGAGAAATCACAAAGAATATTAGAAAACACTATGATTTAAAGGAAACTGACAACACATGTCAAATTTGTGGGACACAGCTAAAACAGCGTTTCCAGAGAAATTTATGGTAGTAAAAGCTCATGTTGGAAAGGAAGAAAGTTTTCAAATTATTAATCTAAGTTTCATCTTAAGAAACCTGAAAAACAAAGCAAATTAAAACTAAAGCTTGCAGAAGGAAGGAGGTAATAAAACTAAAGGCAGAAATCAATGACAGGAAAAATAGAGAAAATGAATAAAACAATAAAACAAAAATCTAAATCTTTGAAAAGATCAACAAAATCAGTAAACTTCTCTCCAGACTGATGAACAACAAAAAAGACACAAATGACCAATATTAGGAATGAGAAAGGGATATCACTACAGATTCTTACAGATATTAAAACGATAATAGGGAATATTGTAGTAAATTTTTTTGCCAATAATTTTGAAACTTTAGATAAAATAGGCAAATTTCTTGAAAGACACAAACTGCCAAACTCACTCAAGAAGAAATAGATAGCCTGAACAGTCTTCTATTAAATAAATTGAATTCATAGTTAAAAACTTTTCCATGAAGAAAATCTTGACCCAGGAAACTTCAATGGTGAATTTTACCAAACAGTTAAGAAAAAATACCATCAATGCTTCACAAATTTTTCTGAAATATGGGACAACATTACCCTGATACCCAAATAAGGCAAAAACATTATAGGGCAAAAAACCTACAGATTAATATTCCTCATGAACACAGATGCAAAGATCCCTAACAAAATATTACAAAATAAAATCCAGGCCAGGTGCTGTGGCTCATGCCTGTAATCCCAACGCTTTGGGAGGCCAAGGCAGGCGGACCATGAGGTCAGGAGTTGTAGACCAGCCTGGCCAACATGGTGAAACCCCATCTCTACTGAAGATACAAAAAACTAGTTGGGCGTGGTGGCATGCACCTGTAATCCCAGCTACTCGGGAGGCTGAGGCAGGAGAATCACTTGAACCCGGGAGGCGGAGGTTGCAGTGAGCTGAGATCGTGCCATTGCACTCCAACCTGGGCGACAAGGCGAGACTCCATCTCAAAACAAACAAACAAACAAACAAATCCAACATGTAAAAGGACCAAGTGGGGTTTATCTGAGGAATGCAAGTTTCTTTAGATGTTTGAATTTAGATATTTGAAAAATTCATCATACTAACAGAATATAAAATATTAACTCTATGCATCAATAGATGGAGAAAAGACATTTTACAAAATTTTATGTTGAATCATGATAAAACAAAAAAATCATTCTCAGGAAATGAGGAATAGATCTACTTATTTTGATAAGGGACATCTGTGAATAACCTACAGGTAACTTTACACTTATTGGTGAAAGAATGAATGTTTTACCCCTAAGAATGAGGGCAAGGCAATTATGTCAGTTCTTAACACTTCTACTCAATATTGTACTAGGGGTTCTGCCCAGTGTACTAAGGCAAGAAAATTATACAAAATGCATATAGATTCAAAAGGAAGAAAAAATACTCTTTTTAGTCATGGATTGCATGATCATTTGCATATAAAATCCCAATAATCTACACATAAAGCTAGTAGAATAAGTGAGATTATAAAGTTACAGGTTACATGGTCAATAGAAACAATCGAATATTAAAAATAATTTACAATATCATAAAAATGAAATTCTTAGGGATAAATTTAACAAAAAAGCAAGACTTGTAGATAGAAAACTACAAAACATAACTGAAATTAAAGAAGACTTAAATCGTGTTCATGGATTAGAAAACTCAATTGTTAAGTGTCAGTCTCTCCAAATTAATATATTCAATGTAATCTCAATCCAAATGCCAGCAAGCTTTTTGTCAAAATTAACAAGCTGATCTTATCATTTATGTCAAATGCAAAGGACCTTATACAGCCAAAATGTTTTTGAAGTTTTACTAACCCGATTCAAGACTTATTTATTATAAAGCTACAGTATTCTAGATAATATGTTATTGACATAAAGATAACATGTATAGATCAATTGAACAGAATAACGAGACCTGAAATAGACCCACACATATATGGTCAATTGATTTTGGTAAAGGTACCAACATAATTTCATGGGGAAAAGATAGTCTTTTCAATAAATGGTGTCCTTACCAAAAGACCAGGGGTTCTGTCTGGGTCCTACTGCTCACCAAACAGAAAGCCAATCACTGAGATGACCAGTATTGCCAAGGAAGAAGGCTTTAATTGGGTGCAGCCAAGGAGATGGGAGCTCAGTCTCAAATTCATCTCCCTGACCAACTAAAACTAGGGGTTTATATAGCAGGGAAGAAATATAACAATGTATAAGGAAACAGGAGCTAGGGAGGAGCAAGGAAGCCATCATGATGAATGAGGGGTCTGGCATCTCATTGCCTGGATGTGGGATTTGGTGAGTTTCAGTTCTTTGATACCTTTTATGATAGGCCTGAAGGTCATTTCCTGAGGAAGGAACTCAGATAAAATAAATGTGAGATTCAAGCTTTAAGGTAAGACGCGTCAATTTCTATGTTTATCCAAAAAACTATCTGTGGGACTATTGGGTCAGTATCAGTGTTAGACATCCATAGGCAAGGGAATAAGCCTTGGCCTTTACCTTGCACCATATGCAGCTTAACTCAAAATAGATCATAGACCTAAAATAAATATAACAGCCCAAACTATAAAACATCCAAAAGAAGGGCCGGGCGTGGTGGCTCACGCCTGTAATCCCAGCACTTTGGGAGGCCGAGGCGGGCGGATCACGAGGTCAGGAGATCGAGAGCATCCTGGCTAACACGGTGAAACCCCGTCTCTACTAAAAATACAAAAAATTAGCCGGGAGTGGTGGCAGGCGCTTGTAATCCCAGCTACGGGGAGGCTGAGGCAGGAGAATGGCGTGAACCCGGGAGGCGGAGCTTGCAGTGAGCCGAGATCGCACCACTGCACTCCAGCCTGGGCGACAGAGCGAGACTCCGTCTCAAAAAAAAAAAAAAAAAAATCCAGAAGAAAATTCAGGAGAACATTTTTGTGAAGAACTTGTGCTTTTCAAAAGACACTTAAGAAAATGAAGCCTAGCAATAGATTTGGAGAAAATATTTGCAAAATATATATCTGATAAAGGACTTTTATTTAGAATATAGAACTCCCCAAACTCAACACAAAATCAACTACCCAATTAAAAATGAGCAAAAGATTTGAACAGATACTTAACTTAAGACAAATGGAGGCCAGGCACGGTGGCTCATGCCTGTAATCCCAGCACTTTGGGAGGCCGAGGCAGGCAGATCACGAGGTCAGGAAATTGAGACCATCCTGGTTAACATGGTGAAACCCCGCCTGTACTAAAAATACAAAAAAATTAGCCGGGCGTGGTGGCGGGCGCCTGTAGTCCCAGCTACTCGGGAGGCTGAGGCAGGAGAATGGCGTGAACCTGGGAGGTGGAGCTTGCAGTGAGCTGAGATCGTGCCACTGCACTCCAGCCTGGGTGACAGAGCGAGACTCCGTCTCAAAAAAAAAAGACAAATGGATAGCAAATAAGCACATGAAATAGATGCTCCACATGATTAGTCATTAGGGAAATGCAAATTGGAATAATAAGGAGATACTACTATATATATGTTAGCCTGGCTAAAATTAAAAAGGCTATCAATACTGGTAAGGGTGTAGAGCAACTAGAACTCTCTTTCATTGCTGGTTGGTATGCAAAATTATATAGCCACTTGGAAAACAGTTTGACAGATTCTTATAAAGTTAAGCATACACATACATTTTCTATACAACCTATGCCCCATTCCTATGTATTTATTTACCCGAAAGAAAGAAACATATTTACATAAAGACTTGTATGTGAATGTTTCTAGTCGCTTTATTCATAGTAGCCCCAAACTGGAAATAACTCAAATGTCCTTCATGTGATGAATGGTTAAACAAATGGTGATGCATGCCTGCAAAGGAATACTACTCAGCCATAAAAAGGACTCAACTATGGACACTCATAACAATATGGGCAAAATCAAAAGCTCCCTCCTAAGGGAAAGTAACCAGACACCAAAGGTTCTGTATTGTATGATTCATTTACATTTCATTATCTGAAAGGAAAAACTAGGGAAAGAAAATAAGATGAGTGATTACCACAGTCAGGAACTAGGGAAGGGGACTGACTGTAAAGGATCATGAAGCACTTTTTGGGGTGATAGAAAAGTTCTATATCTTGATCATCATGGTAGTTACACAACCATATGCATTTGTCAAAACTTGTCAAACTATACTTAAAAGGAGTGAATTTTACTTTTGTATATTATACCCATATAAACTCGACTTTAAAAAACATAACAAACGGGCCGGGCGAGGTGGCTCATGCCTGTAATCCCAGCATTTTGGGAGGCTGAGGTGGGCGGATCGTGACATCAGGAGATGGAGACTATCCTGGCCAATATAGTGAAACCCCATCTCTACTAAAATACAAAATAGTAGCTGGGCATAGTGGCACATGCCTGTAGTCCCAGCTACTCGGGAGACTGAGGCAGGGGAATCCCTTGAACCTGGGAGGCGGAGGTTACAGTGAGCCGAGATTGTGCCGCTGCACTCCAGCCTGGTGACAGAGTGAGACTCTGGCTCAAAACAAAAACAGAAACAAAAACAAAACATTATAAATGTAGAAAAGCCGCTAAAAAAAGTGAAGGCAGTGGGCAGAGGAACCAGTAAGGAGACTGAAGAAAGAATGAGGTTTACATTAGGGCAGAGATTGCTGAATTAGAGACACAGAGCTTCAAAATCCTCCTCTTTAAATTCAGAAGGACTTGAGCTTGATTTTTATTTATTATTTATTTTTTATTATTTATTTATTTATTTTGAGATGGAGTTTCCCTCTTGTTGCCCAGGCTGGAGTGTAGTGGTGCAATCTCGGCTCACTGCAACCTCCGCCTCCCTGGTTCAAGTGATTCTTCTGCCTCAACCTCCCTAGTAGCTGGGATTATAGGCATGCACCAGCACGCCTGGCTAATTTTTGTATTTTTAGTAGAGATGGGGTTTCACTATGTCGGTCAGGCTGGTCTTGGACTCCTGACCTCACGTGATCTACCCATCTCAGCTTCCCAAAGTGCTGAGATTACAGGCATGAGCCACCGTGCCCAGCCAAGCTTGATTTTTAGCTTTGCCATATACTGATTGTGTGATCTTAGGGAAGTTATTTAACCCCTGCAGCCATGTTTATTTATCCGTAAAATGCACATGATAACAATAGTGCCCATCTGTGGTGCGCCTACTACAGTGTCTACAGAAGAGGCTATTATATTGTTGGAGTTGTGTCTATGGGGTAAAAGTGATAGGATGTGGTGATTGATTGGATCTTGAGTGTAAGGGAGTAGAAGGGGGCAAGGGTGATTCACAGGTCCTGACTTGGGTGATTGAGTGCCACCAACTGACATACAAATTTGGAGGAAAGACAATGAGTTCATGTATAAACATGCTGAGATGAAAGAGCTGCTCTGAGGGACATCTCGGTGAACCTTCCACAGAGAGTTGCATAGAGATGTCCAGAGCTGAGTTTAAAGTGAAAGGCCCATTTTGATTGAACTTTTAAAGCAAACACATTTTAAAAATCACAATATAGAAATTTAGTTGTATTTTTAATTCAGGCTCGTGTTGAATATGTCTCTCGGGGGTTCCCAATGATAGTCCAATGGTTAATTTTATTGGGCTGATATCCATGCCAATTATTAGTGACTGGAATGTGGTAGGCGCTGAACAAATATTTGCTGAATAACTCTGTTGAATATTTCCTATTTTCAAAGTTTTGGAAACTTCTGGATTCCCTGGACTCTGGCTGGGAATTCAAGACAATATCTTATTGACAATATCTTAGGTGGGCTTAAGATGCAAACTCTGTGAAATGGCTGCATGACTGGAGACCACTTTAAATTCATGCTGTCTGATGGGAGGATGGGAGGAGTTGGTGCTACTTGCTACTTGATTCAGTGACTTTGCACCAGGCTGCTGGTTCCTCTTGTCCATTCTTCAGAAAGTTTCCCCGAAATCCAGCTGCAATCCTCCTTCTGCAGTCATTCCATTTTTATATCACACGAGTAGTTGGAACCATGCAGGAAAGCTCTAAACCGTCTCTGAAAATTGGTTTCTTGAGTTTCTTTTGTGACTTTGCAACAGGGCCTGGAAGTGTCACAGGGAGAATAAGCTTGAGCTTCTCTGCTTCATGGCAGGAAGCCATTTCAGCTCATTGTTACCAGCTCAATCCGGCCTGGGCACCAAAGTATTGTGTTCCTAATCATGCAGAAGCCTGTGCATTCAATTAAAATGTTGTGTGGCTTTCTGAAAACCACCAGTTAGGATGACTGCATTCCCTTAACTCAATTGGGCCTGATGGCACATGTCCTAATACTTGCTGTTGTCTCTTATTAGCAGTTATTCCTCATCACCCAGCATCCAAGAAAACAGTTCTTACTCTGGCCATTATTTCTTCTGTGGACCCTTAATTCTCACTGTGTGTTTTCACAGCGTCCTGTGCACAGAGCATGTTGGGTTTGAATGTCATGGTTATTGAGCAAATTTGAAAATAAGTGGGTTTGTAGGAGTCAGAGCGAGAGGAGTAGCTGGTCTGGTGACAGGAGTGGGAAGTTAACGGACTGCAGGAGGGATGAGTCACAGCTGCTCTGAGCTTCAGAAACAGCTCAGCCTGGCCAGCTGCGGGAACTTGCTTCGCCATTTCAGCAAGCGAATCTGTCCATCCTCCTTCTAGTGGGGTGGTACAGGAATGAGTTGGGAAGTCCTGAATAGGAAATTCCACATTTAGAAAATGTACCTTAACATCTCAGTTCCACTCAGGGACAATCTTTGAGGACTAGTCATTAGGCTGAGCTCACAGGGGGGACCTGGGGGAGGAGCTGCCAGGATGGTGTAGGCATATGCATACACAGAATCTCACCCTTTTTTGGGAGAGTTGCACAGAAGGATCTGCTGATATTGCATATTCAAAACTAGGACATTCCTGATGCTTCGTCATTTTCTCAATTCAAACAAGCAAAAGTTCACATGTACACGCTTGCACCACCCCCTTAAATGTGTTAGGAGGAAAGAGTTCATAATAAAAAGAAGCTAAAAAAAGAGGCATAAGCAATGTGGTTGGGTTTCATCCGTACCACCCTAAGATGAGTGATGTCACTGGAAAGAAGCTCAGAGATGTCAGAGATGTAAAGAAGAGAAGAGAAGAGAAGAGAAGTAGTGTCAGACTGGAGCAACCATTCAGTATGTCAAGGACATCTTTAGGCAGAAATTGTCCAGAGAGACTCCTGGATGTCACAGCTGCCTGAAGGACTCTCTGGTCTGTGATCTAGGTGAGGCTGTCTGGTTAGGTTCAAAGGAGGAGAGTGCATGGAGGAATGTTCTCTTCCCCTTCTCCATGGCTCTTCATCCTTCATCTTCTTAGTGTACCTTACAAGGATCTTAAATGATCACTCCCTTCCTGTTCGAAGGGCTTTATTGTAAAAGTCCCTTCAGCTCTTGGGCAAATGAAGTGCGATGAGGATTCCCTACAGATGCCTCCGAGTTACAGCTCTGAGTTAAGACATTTACTGTTGGGGTCCTGGTGTCCAACTCTGGGAAACTGCAGGCTTCAGTCCCACCTTGTCTCTAAGCTGCTCCACACACCAAAAAGAGATGCCATCGAACACTTACGTGACAGTTGGCTTTGTCAGGCATACAGCGTGTTACCTGTAGAAATTCCACTATGACAAACCACAGAACCTCAGGTTTGGGACAAAGAGAGGAAGGGAATCAGATGCAGCAGCTCTGTGCACCAAACCCTCTTGTATAACCTTGTGTCCTAGACCCCAAAGGTCACCCCGTCAAGGACCTCTTGGTTCTGTGGAAAGTATTTTGCTGAAAGTTGTCACCTTGCCACCTGAGTCCCATCTGGGAAGGGAAAAATTAAATGGCTATATATGACAGCCAAATGGCATAAAGCAAGACCTTGACATTTCGCTTCTATGCCATCTCTGACAGAAACAAAAGCAAGACAGAAGAGGTTGAATATGTAACAGAAGACAATGGCAATCATGACACGACTACTTTTCTATAGATTTCCATAGAATCTAGAATCACGACTCAAATATTCCTCTGGAACACAACTAAATACCATGATTTGACATTTGGTGTTACAGATAATTGGTGCAAGTATTTGGGATGTGGCTAACTTGGTGTGGTCAACTCCAAATAATTTGAAAGGAAGAAAAAGTGATAGCTGGGCAATAAACCAGCGTTTGGCCAATAGCTGTTCCTGAAGTGCATGAATAGAAGAGGTCACGGGATCTAAGGAAAGCCTGCGAGGACCTCTCATCCCATTAAATGCCAAGTCTCATCCCAGTAAGTGCCAGGTTTGGTGCAGCTAACCTGCCAGGTGGACTTCCAGGTGAGCCTACCCCTTCTCCCTCCATCCATCTACAGGTGTGAGTTGTGCTACAACTTTGCAGCTGTGTGGTTTTAGAATCATAAAGAACAGCTTGAACTCAGGCTGATGGAGTTTTGTAAAGAAAATCTCCTTTAAAGCTAAAGTGTTATCATTTTGTGGTATTCGTTAACTCATTCCTTCAATAACATGTATTGCCTACTGACCGCGTACACTACTTGTGAGTTGGGCATTCACTTCTAGATGTTCAACATTGGATAACAACACTGAAAAATCCAAACTTTTCTCTCTCCTTTTGCCTAGAGGGAATGAGGGCTTTGCAGTCCTCCTGAATGCAGGTGTTTTCTTGTTCAGAAAGAGGACCGAAGGCTGCTCTGAGGAGAGCTTTGTCTTCTCAAGAACAGCTTTTTCAAAGAGCAGCTCTGCTAACTTGCTGCCCCTTTCTTCTCATATTCAAAGTGGACTCTGTAGGTAGGGAGCTTAATTGGAGAAATATTTTAAATTCCTCTGATAGGTGGCCCTTCACCAATTCTTGGAAGCAGAAAATATTTTGCTTTTGGTCTAAAGCAGCTCCAGGGACAATGCACAACATTCAACCTCTTGCACAGAGTGGCCAAACAGCTGCAGGTTCTTACAGAAGATGGAACACATTTTGTATTTAAAATGAAATCCCTACACCTTACAGCAGCTGCAAAAGCATCCTTGCTTTGGAGAAAAGTGGCTCTCATGAGCTAGGGCCTTTGAAATGTTACACACCAGGACAAATCCCTCCTGCTGGGAGGAAGGGGAAAATTTGCCTGCATCTCACAATCATTTCATGTGAGATCGCTAATTAAATTTACTTATTTGGGTTTCCAAATTTCCTTCTCCAGGGGCTTCCATGACATCCACATCCTCTTGCTTTTGAGAAGGCCGGTCATGTGATGAGCCATAACTATTAATGAAGATGCTTATGAAATAAAGTACTAGATATTTAGAATTTCATCCTTGCTGAACTTTTCTTCATTAGCATCAAAATAGCTGAAACGATACAAAGCCATAACAATTCCAGATAAGGCTTTAATTGTAGAGCACAGGAAAACCAAAGTAACTATGTGCCCAAGGCACTTGAGGGCATATGTTTCTTGCCCAGCAAAAACAAAACCCTGATCCCTAAGAATTCTACACCTGACATTTCTCTTGATTTAATTAGATGCAAGAAAGAAACAAAGGCTGCATTCAAATGAATGAAAGCGAATGCCTAATTATTTTTGTAGGAAATTATCCGCATGTTTTCCTGACATGTGTGTGGCTTGCCAAGCCTTTCACAGTGTTCTCACCCACATGATCTTATTTGAACCTTATGGTCATTTTGGGAAGAAAACAGGTGACAATAGCTGCTGTCGCCATTTTGCAGATGAGGAGACTGAGGCTCCAAGAGGTCACACGTCTGAGAACTGACAGTAAGCTCTGCAGCAAAAGTAAGGATTTAACCATTGCTGCTTCCCGAAAAGAATTGAAGCAGTTTGTCAGCACAGCTCATACTTGTGTGAGAGTGCCATGGTATAAGCTTGAGGGGAAAGGGAGTAGAAAGATTTAAAAAGTAGTAAAAGGAACAGAAAATTGAAATAAAAGGGTGAAACTGATGCTATAAACTTTATTTTTATTTTATTTTGTTTATGTATTTTGAGATGGAGTCACGCTCTGTCACCCAGGCTGGAGTGCAGTGGCGCGATCTTGGCTCACTGCAACCTCTGCCTCCGGGGTTCAAGCGATTCTCCTGCCTCAGCCTCCCGAGTAGCTGGTACTACAGGCACCTGCCACCACGCCCGGCTAATTTTTTGTATTTTTAGTAGAGACGGGGTTTCACCATGTTAGCCAGGATGGTCTCGATCTCTTGACCTCGTGTTCCGCCCGCCTCAGCCTCCCAAAGTGCTGGGATTACAAGCGTGAGCCACCGTGCCCGGCCTGACTCTATAAACTTGATAAAATTAATCAGAAAATATGAAAGGGGGAGACATGAAAATAAACCCAGCTTGCATCACCTTCAGCATTGACCTTGAGGTCAGCCAGCTCAGACCTGCTTCCTCAGAGTTGTTTGAGGAACAACTATTGTTGTCCTAGGATCATGTAGACCCTGTTATGAGATTATACTTCCCCTTAACTGCTCTATAGAAAACAACTTGAGAATTATGAAACATTAAGTTTTCCCTTTGAGCTACTCCTTCAGTTCCCGCATATTGATGAAACTACTGACTCAGCTGGTCCAAAGGACCACAAAAGAGGCTGGCTCACCAAAGAATGCAGTTTTCACATCCTGATGATTTCATCCCCCTATGAGCAATCAAGGACCCCAGTTATCCAGCCCCTTCCCCTTCATGATCCCCTTAAAAGCCCCAGCCAAGAACTCCTTGGGGAGGTGGATTTGAGGGTCTCCTCCTGTCTCCTTGCTCGGCACCCTGAGATTCTTAAACTTTCTCTGCTGCAAACCCTGCTGTCTCTGTGTTATGGTTCTGTTACTGCATAGTGAACACATGAACCTGTTGGTCCTATAACAAGGGACTGAGAGTAACCAGAGGGGTTATGCTAACGTGTGGCTCAGTGCAGCCAATCAGCCCCATGTGCCTCAGAATGAAAATATTAGGTGGACAAGTACATGTGCGAAGCTTCATGTTTTCTCAAGATATGATACATGAACACCCTTTGTTCGGCACCCAAACAAGTCACTAGGCATTGCTTTTGGCTGATAGGTGGGACTGACCATGTATATCAGTTCATGGGGTGACACTAAGACAATCCCAACTCAGAGATAAGTTAACCTCTCAGACTGCAATGAAGAAGAATAAAAAGGTAATGAGTGAAGTCAGACTAATGAATAAACAGTAAACTACTGACTAAGGAGTGATGCTCCTGATGAATCAGTGTGTTGTATCGGGACATCTACAGGAACGTCTGTGAGACTGAACATAATAAGTGTACTGACCTGGAAGAACATGAATCTGTTGTGCTTGCTTTATCTAGGAAAGAATGACTATGAATAGCAGGAGATGGGTGGACATAAACCCTCTCCAGAACAAATGAGACAGCCAGCATTGGGGGTAGGGTGGGAAAAGGAAATGGCAGTCACTGGTGGACACAGCTTGGGGCAGGAGCTTCAGTAGGTGTCACCAGGCCTGTGGGTCTCTGTGCTCTGTTTTCTTATTCATCCAGTAGCCTTGAAGGGACCTGGATACCTGGAAGGGGCTGCCGAGGATGGAGTAAGTAGTCTTTGGAAAGACCTAATCTTTCTTATAAAGTAATAAATTGGCTTCCTGCTTTACAGTTCAGGTCTTTGGGGAGAGTTATATAGCTATTCCTTTATAACAAACAATCACAACTTTAGTGGCATAAAATAAAAAAATTCATTCATTCTTATTATCTCCTACAGTCTGAGGATTACTGGGACTAACAGGACTTCAGCTGGGGCTTCAACGTGTGGTGTGGGCTTCCTGACACCACGGCCACTGGTTTCCAAGAGTGAGTATCCCAAGAAAAAGCCAGTAGGATATGGCATTGCCTTTTATAATCTAGTCTTAGAGTCACAGAGTGTCACTTTTCCCATCCTCTATTGGTTAAAGCAGGCACAAAAGCCCACCCAGGTTCAAGGGGAAGGGACATAGACTTCACCTCTTGATGGGAGGTGACAAGATCACATTATGAAAACAGCATGTGGGCCGAGGGGTGCTCTCACACCATCTTTGGATCACGTTAGTCCACCAGCCTGTCCTCTGGCAAATAACTCACACCCTTCCCACATGCAAAATACACTCATCTCCCACCAAAGACCCCTAAGTCTTACTCTTTTATGGCATCGGGACAGGTCAGGATGGAATAAAGCCAGGTTTCCCTCACTTGCTCTGCCATGCAGGGATGCCTGTTCCTATTCCATTGATTGGAAAGAGAGAATTTCTCTTGAAATGTTTCCTGTCCCTGCCACTTAAGCAGTTCTGGGTTTGGCTGCCCTGAATCTATGTCAAGAGACATGGAAGGGGAAGAAGAGGAAACTTACCACCTTATTCATCTTTCTTGGAGTTCGGCTCTCCCTCTCCAACCCACCTGCTGTTTTTTCCTTGCAGAGTCCCTATTAAGTTGCTTTATGTATCCACTCTGGGGTTCTTAGAAGTAACCTGTTGGGGAGCTACCATGGCATCGGCTCACTCCATTTTAACTAGAACCAGATCCACAAGCCATTTCTTAATTTTTGAGATGTTTGCCATTTGGAGAGGCTGGGAATGGCAAACCATTTTTTTTTTTTTCCTTTTTTCAAATCCTGCAAGTCCTGCCACCTTTATATTTTGCCATGGGTTCCTTAGCTCATATCCATTCTCTCTTATTTTTTATTTATTTTTAATTTTATTTATTTACTTTTTTGAGATGGAGTCTCTCTCTGTTGCCCAGGCTGGAGTGCAGCGGCGCGATCTCGGCTCACTGCGAGCTCCACCTCCCGGGTTCACGCCATTCTCCTGCCTCAGTCTCCTGAGTAGCTGGGATTACAGGTGCCCGCCACCACAGAAGGCTAATTTTTTTTGTATTTTTAGTAGAGATGGGGTTTCAACATGTTAGTCAGGATGGTCTCGATCTCCTGACCTCCTGATCTGCCCGCCTCGGCCTCCCAAAGTGCTGGCATTACAGGCGTGAGCCACCGCGCCCGGCCTACTCATTTTTATTTTTATTTTCATTTCTTTTTATTTTTTTTCGAGACGGAGTCTTACTCTGTCGCCCAGGCTGCAGTGCATTGGTACGATCTCAGCTCACTTCAACCTCTGACTCCTGGATTCAAGCAGTTCTCCTGCCTCAGCCTCCCAAGTAGCTGGGATTACAGGCGTGAGCCACCGCGCCCAGCCTATTTATTTTTATTTTTTATTTTCATTTCTTTTTTTTTTTTCGAGATGGAGTCTTACTCTGTTGCCCAGGCTGGAGTGCAGCGGTACAATCTCGGCTCACTTCAACCTCTGACTCCCGGATTCAAGCAGTTCTCCTGCCTCAGCCTCCCACGTAGCTGGGATTACAGGCGTCCGCCACTAGGCCCTGATAATTTTTGTATTTTTAGTAGAAACGGGGTTTCTCCATGTTGGCCAGGTTGGTCTTGAACTCCTGACCTCGTGATTTGCTCGCCTCGGCCTCCCAAAGTGCTGGGATTACAAGTGTGAGCCACCGCGCCTGGCCCATTCTCTCTTATTTTATTGTGGCAGCTAGAAGTTAGGTGGCCCGTGTGCCTGTCAATTCCCTCCACTCAGTCATACAGCTCATTGATACATTTTCTATTTTCCAAGTTATCTTGGGTTTCAATGTTGCTAAACTTCCCACCGCTACACAAACCTGTCTTCCTTCTTCCAGGTTTCAACAATATTTTCATCATATTTATTGAAGGCCTCACTGACAGACTTCTCAAGGCCCCTCTACCTTCTATTCGCTGCCTGGCCCCAAAGCCAGTGCCACACATTTTAGGTTTTTAACTGCAGCAGCACCTATGATGTTTCCAAAATCTGTATCATTAAAGTTTGATCAGAGAAGCAAAACCACCTTGAGCAAAACAAGGAATTTATTAAAGAGATTAGGATACACATTGTTATGAAAGCTGCAACCTGCTGCCCCTGTGTCCAGAAGTGGGCCTGAAGTCAGCAGGGCTGGCAAATGGATGTGCAGTGGGAGAGAGTAGGCGTGAGCTGCACCTGCAGGGAGGAGATGGAACTCCTGTGGATGGACTGAAACTGATGTCTTCCACGTCAGCCTCTCAGGCCTCCAACACTCCAGCGCTGATGATGAAGATGACCTGCAGAGGAGCTGGTGCCCTTCACCATGGAATTGCTCATAAACCCAAGATTCAGTGAAGCTGAAGAAGCAGTTCTGGTGGGAGCTGGAGGAACTGCAGGCACAGCTGCTGCCCTGTACCAATACATTGAGCCAGTGGCTGCCTGGCATTGTGTGTGAGCCACCACAGCGCCTGGCCCTACACAGACTTTGACTGTAAATATGACTGCTGTTTCACTTCTGCCTTCCAAATTTTGCTCAGATTTTCTGAGAAACATAGTTCAGCTTAGGTACATTGACACAGTACAAAGCCACCGCAGTGGCTGGTTAGGGAGGGATTATGAATGCAGGCTGAGAATGCACGGGAAGCGTTTGTCTATTTATAGAGTAGGTACCATTCAAGGATTTATGTGAATCAGGTGCAAAGAACTCACACAAAGATGGGGAAAGTTAGTACTTAGAAATCAGTGATACTAGATAACCAATAAATAAAAATAAACTTATTTTTAGAAAATAAGAAAATAGAAAAGCTTTAATAAAATAGTATTGGGCCGGGTGCAGTGGCTCACGCCTGTAATCCTAGCACTTTGGGAGACTGAGGTGGGCGGATCACCTGAGGTCAGGAGTTCCAGACCAGCCTGGCCAACATGGTGAAACCCAATCTCTACTAGAAAAAACCACAAAAATTAGCTGGGCGTGGTGGTACGTGCCTGTAATCCTAGCTCCTCGGGAAGCTGAGGCAGGAGAATCGCTTGAACTCAGGAGGTGGAGGGTGCAGTGAGCCAAGATCGTGCCATTGCACCCCAGCCTGGGTGACAGAACAAGATTCTATCTCAAAAAAATAAAAATAAAAATAAATAAATAAAATAGTATTGAAATGGTGAATAATACTATTTCAGCACATCCTAAACAGATCATGCAGATAGTAAGAGGTTTTCTGCATGAGTTTGCTAGGGCTGCCGTAACAAAACACCATGGACGGGAGCTTTAACAACAGAAATTGATTTCTCACAGTTCTGCAGGCAGGGTGTTCAGGACCAAGATATTGGCAGGCTTGGTTTCTCTGAATCCTCTCTCCTTGGCTTGCAGGTGGCTGTTTTCTTTTCTTTTTTCTTTTTTTTTCTTTGAGATGGAGTCTCACTCTGTCACCCAGGCTGGAGTGCAGTGGCGCAATCTCAGCTCACTGCAGCCTCTGCCTCCTGGGTTCAAGCGATTCTCCTGCCTCAGCCTCCTGAATAGCTGGGATTACAGGTGCCTGCCACCACGCCCAGCTAATTTTTGTATTTTTAGTAGAGATGGGGTTTCACCATGTTGATCAGGCTGATCTCAAACTCAGGACTTCGTGATCCACCTGCTTCGGCCTCCCAAAGTGCTGGGATTACAGGTGTGAGCCACCACGCCCGGCAGCTTGCAGGTGGCTGCTTTCTTGCTGTGTGTTCACATGGTCATTCGTCTGTGTGTGCACACGTGTAGTGTCTGTGTCTGTGTCCTAGCCTCCTCTTCTTATAAGGACACCAGTCAAACTGGATTAGGGCCCACTTTCCTGACCCCCTTTTACCTTAATTCCCATTTTAAAAGGCTTATCTTCAAATACCATCACATTCTAAGGTACTGGGGGTTAGAGCTTCAATATGTGAGTTTTAGGGAGACACAGTTGAGCTCATAACATTTTCTATAGAACAATCAAGTTTGAGACATGCCACATGCTATATTTTCTTCTTGGAAATTTGCAAGGTATATATGCATATGAATGACTGTGCAAAGTCCTGGAAAACATCCAGTATTCATCTTTCACACTCTCCCTGTTTGATCCATTATTTATTGATAACCTTCCACTGGCTTCCTTTATGCATTGGCTGAGTGCATTGAGCTGCCGCATGGAAATATGATCTGCCGGCTGCCGCTGGCAGTCAGGAAGGGAAGGTGGACATGGAGAGAGCAAGCAAAAGCTGGAGTCTCAAGGAGATGAAGTGGAACCCAGGGCTGTATCTCATTAGAGCGCATGTTGGCCTCTCATCACTTCCAGGCCTCCGGCTTTGAAGATGCTCGGGGAGTTGCTTTGGAGGGCTACGTGGAGAGAATGGGATTGGTAAGTGGGCAAGAGGGTTGGTTCTTGCTGGATGGAATTGCGTCTTCCATCTCTTCCAAGGGGACTTCTGGATTGCCAGGGGCCTGGCATGTCCTGCCTCACCCATACTTGCTGGCCAGGGTGAGTGGCCTCTCACCTGGCCTAACCTTGCTGCCCTCTTTGTTGTGCTCTTTGTGGGTGAGGAAAAGAGCAGAGCTGCGGATGCCACTGGAGCGTGGCCAGGCTGGGTGAGGACCCACACAGAAAAGTGTGGGCAGGCGTGGTGGGTGGGGGCGGGGGATAAGGCATGGGCCCTGGGCAGTCAGCCAGTGCCCCCGTCACGCCCTGGCTCCAGGTGTCCAGCATCAGCCGTGTGCACATCCCACCTCGCAGGCCTCTCCCGGCTGCTGGCCCACTTTCTGCATGCTACTCCTACTTCTCTGACCTCCTGCTCAGCTCAGCTATCCTAGCTCCGAGTTTCGCCTTTCTTCTTGAATACAATCAGAATTCTCTCTGTTGGCCCTGGACCCCCATGCTGAACAATTCCCATGGTGCTGGCCTTCTCTCAATCCTCTGAATTAAACCCCAGACTCACTGCAAGTCTTCAGCCAAGTGAAGACTTCCGGTGGCCTCTCTGCCACCCTGGCACTCGAGGAAGCAGATGCTTCTCTCTCTTCCTGTAGTGCTCTTACCATGAATCATCTCCAGGTCCTCCCAACAGGATCAGTCAGCTCCTCATCTCAGCTGTGCTGTAACCCTGGTATCTCTGCAGCCTGGTGAAGATGACGGTGTTTTAATGAAGCGTACATCTCTACAGTAACTGGCCTGGCACATGCAAACAGGAACAGCAGCTTCCTCTCCTGCAAGGCACGGTGCAGATTGCTTTCCACGCATTATTTCTGCTCCTCGCACCACCCTCCCCAACCCGAAAGATAGAGCATATTGTCCTAATTTTACCAAGCAGAAAACTGGCTCCCAGAGAGCAGCTCTGCTCAGCTAGGGCATGTCAGAGCACTGCCTGGGACCCACATCTCCTGACTCCAGGGCCAAGGCACCTCTGGGCCCTCACACGGGCATTAATAGAGATACATTTCATGTTCAAACCAGCCCTTTGGCCAAGCATCATCCTCAGTCTCTCAGAACTTACTGCATTTTCTTCTAAACCCCAATTCAAAAGTTCCATATAGCATGGTGGTTCGTGCCTATAATCCCAGTGGGAGGCCAAAGTGGGGGGACTGCTTGAAGCCAGGAATTTGAGACCAGCCTGGGTAACAAAGCGAGACCCCATGTGTAAAAAATAAAATAAATGAAAAATTAGCTGGGCGTGAAGGTGCACTCTTGTAGTCCCAGCTACTCCAAAGTCTAAGGCGGGAGAATTACTTAAGCCCAGGAGTTCGAGGCTGCAATAAGTCATGATTGTACCGTAGCACTCCAGCCTGGGTGACAGAGAGAGACCCTGTCTCTAAAAAACAAAAGAAATAAAAAATTAGCTGAGCAGGGTTGCACATACCTGCAGTCCCAGCTCCTTGGGAGGCTGAGGCAGGAGAATTGCTTGAGTCTAGGAGGTCAAGGCTGCAGTGAGCTGTGGCCGTACCACTGCACTCCAGCCTGGGCGACAGAGCAAGACTCTGTCTCAAAAAAAAAAAAAAAAAAGTCCCTCAGTAGGCTCTGTCATAATACTCCCCTTGGTATTCACTGCACTTGGTAACCCTGAAACAATTCCTACAGTGAACCCCATTCACTGAATTGCTTTGGGAAACGTACACTTTCTAAATTAAAGCTGTCACATTAGTGTGAGAGTTATGCTTACCCAGGAGGTCTGGACGCATTTCTCTCCTGGTTTGGCCTTGATCTGTTATCCTTGCGGCTTCCTTTTTCAGAATCTCCCTCTCTCGTCTCTGCCTCCACAGTCGGTCCCCACCCCACATCTCACAGAATGTATTTGCATTCTAAGCAACATCCCTTCAAACCTCACACATGTCTTTTTCTCCTATATATATTTAAAAGTAATACATTTAAGGATGTGCCAACTTAATTAAATACTCTTGAGATACTCACAAAATCATGGGAGTTGTCCATGGTGGCATTTCTTCTTTTTATCTTGAGATGGAGTCTAGCTCTGTCACAGTGGTGTGATCTCGGCTCACTGCAACCTCTGCCTCCTGGGTTCAGGTGATTCTCTTACCTCAGCCTCCCGAGTAGCTGGGATTACAGGCGCCCACCACCATGCCTGGCTAATTTTTGTATTTTTAGTAGAGATGGGTTTTCACCATGTTGGCCAGGCTGGTCTGGAGCTCCTGACCTCAGGTGATCCACCTGCCTTGGCCTCCAAAAGCGCTGGGATTACAGGCATGAGCCGCCACACCCAGCCCTGTGGTGCACTTCTTAAGCAGAATTTTGTGTTCATGCCATCGAGAAAGGGCTAGTAAAATATTTTGTATTTCTTTAAGACTTAGTTTAAAAAGCGTTGTAAAAATATTTTCTCACCAGATCCTTAAACAATCTCTAAGAGGATTAGGCTGGTTGGTATTTTACAGATGAGGAAATAGGCTCAGAGTGGGTGGGTGACTTGGAGCACCCTGCAGCTGATGTGGAGGGAGGTCTTCTGAGCCAAGGTCCGTGCACATTGTCTACACCACACCGCACTACACGTGGTGTAGACCATGTGCACTGACTTTAGCTCGGAAGACCTCTCTCCACATCATGGATAAATGTAGCTTTTATCCAGAGGGCCTACTGACGCCCTGTTTGGTGGACCAGTGCCCTGTAATAAAAGCAAACCTTATCCTCTGTTGGAAGTCCCATGTCCACAATTCCGTTAAGAATTCTGGCCTGTGCTTGCGCCCTTGCTGGCTATAATGTGATGGAGATGTGGTTGAAACGACCACGGGGAGAGTTTCAGTGACATCTCGTTTTCTCCCCTGAGTCTGGGATATGGAACACACAGTCTCTTCCTTCAGCTTCTTAGTCTCCTGGGTGGGAGAGGGGAGGAACATCCATTTATATCAGGGGTGTCCAATCTTTTGGCTTCTTCCCTGGGAAGAAGAAGAATTGTCTTGGGTCACACATAAAACACACTAACGATAGCTGATGAGCTAAAAAGCAATCACATACCCAAAAAAATCTCATGATGTTTTAAGAAAGTTTACGAATTTGTGTTGGGCCACATTCAAAGCTGTCCTGGGCCTCTTGCAGCCCATGGGCTGTGAGGTTGGACAAGCTTCATTTACGCCAATTGCAGGAGAAATCACTAGGTTGATGGAGTTCAGAACCAATCGTGGCCTCAAGAAAGCTCTCATTGCCTCGCTACTGCCAGATAAAAATGTAGAATCTGAAACCAAATCTGTCTATGCAGGGTTTGGAAACTGGTCACTATGGAAGCAGATACAGTCTGACAGTATATGACCTTCTGCTGGTTTTGTCCAAGTTAAGCCAGACTTTATGAGAACAAACCAGCCACGTGAAAAGCTAGAGAAGAACATACCAGGAATAAAGACTAGGAAACAGGGAGCCCTGAGGAAGGAATGCACAGAGTGAGTTTCAGCAACAGAAAGGTCTTCATTGTGGCTAAAGCAAAATTGGCAAACTTCTTTTGTAGTGGGCCAGCTAGCAAATATTTCAAGCTTTGTGGGCCATTTAGCCTTGGTTGCAACAGCTGAGCTCTAAAAAATAAGAGCTGCTTCTTTAGCCTAAAAGCAACCCTGGACAATACGTAAATGAATGGGCATGGCTATGTTGCAACGTAACTTTATTTATCAACACTGAAATTTGAATTGCATCTCATTTTCATGTGTCACAAAATATTGCTTTTCTTTTTTCTTTTTTTCTAGCCATTTAAAAATGTAAAAATCATTCTTGGTTCAGAGGCTGTACAAAAACAGGGAGTAGGCTGGCTTTTGCCTGTGGGCTGTCGTGTGGAGACCTCTATGCTAAGCACAGTGAGCAGGGAAAAGAATAGTTGCAGATGAAATTAGAAAGTTAGGCAAAGGCCAGACCATATGCAGAGAGAGGTTTTAAGCCATTGAAGGGAGTGTGAATTTTATTCTAATTGCTATGGGAAATGTGTGAAGAACTTTAGGCAGGAAAGTGACATGATATATTTGAATCACACTCTGGTGCCTCTGAGCAGACTGAACTATTGGGAAAAAAAAAAAAGTAGAAGCAGAGATACCGGTGAGGAGCCTGCTCCAGCCGACCAGGCAAAGATGATAAAACACGACACTGGGAATTCCATCCCCAGCCTCAAAACGGATGACCTCTCAGGATGAGAGAGTGTTTAAGTATCCAAGAGTTCCCGGCACATACTTTATACTCAGAATGTTAGCGCCATGTGCTTTTTTCTCTTTCTTTGGTGGAAAAAGCTAAGGATACTTGGCTTTGTCCAAATTTCTAAAATGGGTCGTTCTACTTAAAGCAGGTGAGATAATGTCATTAAAAGCAAGTAGACATATGTTTAAGTTCTGTTAATGACTCTGTGACAGAATACAGGCACACACACACACACACACACACACACACACACACACACACACATATATATGTTAACTTTAGGTGTCAGTGACTAGGCTAAAGGATACCCAGGTAGCTGGTAAAACATTATTTTTGGGTGTGTCTGTGACTGTATTTTAGGAAGAAGTTAGCATTAGAGTCTGTAGGCTGAATAAAGAAGATCTTCTCTCATCCATGTGGGCAGGCATCATCCACTCTGTTGAGGAAGTGCCAGAATAGAACATAAAGCCAAAGGAAGGGTGGTCAAACATTCTCTGTTTGAATGAGAACAGCCATCTTCTCCTGCCCTTAGCCATCAGTGCTCCTGGTCCTTGGACCTTCAGACTTGAACCAGGACTTACATCATCAGCTCTCCTGGTTGTCAGGCCTTCAGACTTGAACTGAATTATACCACTGGCTTGCCTACTTCTCCAGCTTACACATGGTGGTGGGACTTCTTGGCCTCCATAAACACATGGGCCAATTCCTGTAATAAATTGCTCTCTCTCTCTTTCTGTGGTATATATATATGTGTGTATACACACATATATATGGTGTATATATGTGTGTGTGTGTACACAGACACACATACCTATTGATATATGGTATTAGGGTTCTCTACAGAAATAGAACCAATAGTCTAAATACCCCTGAGGGTCATGGGAATCTAAGCATGTCAATGGAGGCATTTTTACATTATTAACTGAAGAAAAATGTGGACTTTTAATGATTTTTTAAGATTAGGGAACAAAAATAAGTCAGGAGTCAAATCAGGACTGTAAGGTGGATGCCTGATGATTCCCTTTAAAACTCTTGCAAAAATGCCCTTGTTTGATGAGCAGAATGAGCAGGAGCATTGTCCGGGTGGAGAAGGAGTCTCTGGTGAAGCTTTCCTGGGCAATTTTCTGCTAAGGCTCTGGCTGGCTTTCTCAAGATACTCTCATCATAATAAGCAGATGTTATTGTTCTTTGGGAATCCAGAAGGTCAACAAGCAAAATGCCTAGCGCATTCCCCAGAATGGTCACCTTTGCTCTTGACCAGTCCTCTTTTGCTCTGACTGGACCACTTCCACCTCTTGGTAGCCATGGCTTTGATTGTGCTTTGTCTTCAGGATTGTACCGGTAAAACCATGTTTCCTCTCCTGTTACAATTCTTTGAACAAACGCTTCAGATTATTGATCCCTCTTGTTTGAAATTTCCATAGAAAACTCTGCTCTTCTTTGCAGCTGATCTTGGAGCAACAGTTTTGGCACCCATTAAGGGGAAAGTTCACTCAACTTAATTTTTTAGTCAGAATTGTGTAAGCTGAACCAATTGTGATGTCTGTAGTGTTAGCTATTGTTTCTGCTGTTAATTGACAGTCCCCTTTAATTGGGGGCATGAACAAGACTTTTTTTTTCCTTGCAAATTGATGTGAATGGTCTGCTGCTGTGGGCTTCATCTTCAGCATTGTCTCATCCCTTCTTGAAACAACTTTTTGGGGCTCCTGGAGGCAGCAGAGGCTGAGGCCTGGAGCCAGGCTGGGGCAGCCCTAGGAGGCGTCTTAGCCAAAGCAGGTGTCCTTCGGGGGCCACAGGCCGCCCACCTGCCTCAGGCCCTTGGCCACCCCTCCCCTCCCTGCGCCCAGTCCCCAGTCGTGCCAGAGAAGCTGTGCTACTGCCTGGTGGGAATTGGGGGAAGGGAAGTCGAGAAGAAGGTCCTGGGGTAGAGCTCGGGCCTGCTGCCCACACAGACTGCCGTGGCTGAGAGAGTAGGATCTGGCCGTCCCTGTGCCTGTCTTCTTGGAAGGAGCAGGGGCGCCTTGTAGCTGCACCTGTGAGGAGCAGGATTCTGCTGCAGGCACTCAGCCAGCAGCTGCAGGCTCTGTTGTTTTTACACCGGTGACAAATGACATGGCCAGACACACTGCAATGTCTGAAGAAACCTCTGTAGAAGAGCAGGATGCTGTGGACGCGCTGTGGCCCAGACAGAGGCTGCCAAGCAGATGGAACCTGCACTCGGCCAATTTGGCCAAAGAAGCCCCCATACTCTCCGTGAAAGAGTTCCACCAGAAGCTGTTGTGTCAGTAACAGTCTCAAAAAAAAAAAAAATCAAACAACAACAACAACAACAAAAACCCCACAAACCCACCAACACTAAAGATCAGTTTTGAGTCTGATTTGAAAGCTAGGATCCAATTCTGCAGAGGCATTGACATGGCGAGACACCATCCTAATAGCCAGATCTGCAGGTTCCTCCATCATGCCAGTGAGAATGCTCCATTCACCATTCCTCAGCTTCTTGTTCTGGTTTCAGAGTTCTGTCTGTATTGGAGGAGTGTTAAAGCTAGAGGGGTCTTTACCCACTTCCTCTTATGCCCAGATCTGAATATGGAGGTCAAGAGGGGAAAGTGACATGTCCTAAGTCTGAGTAGAGTGAACACCCTGCAGAGAGGCCTGGCCTGCTCGCTCGTCAGACTCTGGGACTTGTGCTGTGAGTTCTTTACCCCTTTATAGGTTCTATACCTACTTCATTTTGTGTATTTACAAAGATAAAAGCATTTAATCATTAGTTATTAATGTTAAGTACACAGCAAAAGCATAAATATGACCTTTATTCTTGGCTTCAAACCTGATCTAACTTGCTGAATTTCTTATGGGGTCATAGATTCAGGGAGATTCAGGGTGAATGACTGATTGTATTTGTTTTCTAGGGCTGCTGTAAAAGATTACCACAATTTGGTGGTTAAAAAAAACAAACAAACAGGAATTTATTCTCTTACTGTTCTGGAGACCAGAAATCTGAAATCAGGGTGCCAGTAAAAGGCCCTAATCCTTGCAAAGGTTCTAGGGAGGATCCTTTCTTGCCTCGTCCAGCTTCTGGTGGCTCTTGCAGTTCCTTGGCTTGTGGCTGCATCACTCCAATCCCTGCCTCCATCTTTACATGGACTTCTCCTCTGGGTATGCGTCTTCTCTTCTATCTCATAATGTCCTTAGATTTAGGGCCCCCACCCATGTAATCCAGGATGATCTTCTCATCTTAACATCCTTAATTGAATTATATCTGCAAAGACTCTTTTTTTTCCATAGAAGATTGCATTCACAGGTTTTGGGTGTTAGGACATGGACATATATTTTGGGGGGGTCACCATTCAACCTGTTGCAACTATGGACTCTGTCTTGGACAAAAGGTTACTTTAGGAAATCAGTGGCATAATTTGTCTACGTATAAGATGCAAGTTGATGCATTGCCCTGGAATCATTTCCTAATTGCTTCCAGTATGCAAATCTTACCTCTTTGATTAAGTTCTAAGTTGTATGTTCAGGGCTTTTAAAATTAAATTCCTGGATCTAATTATGAACTAGTGTCATCCCATTGTCTTGGCTTGCAAGATTCCGATAAGTTTGCTGTTAACTTTATTTTTGTTCCTTGTATATAATATGTTATTTTCTTCTCTGGCTGCTTTAAAAATTTTTCTCTTTATCATGAGTTTTCAGAAATTTGATTATGATATGCCTTATTGTGTTTTTTATTTGTTTGATTACCTTGCTTATGGTGTGTTGAGTTTCTTGGATCTGTGATCTTAATTACTTTCATCAGACTTGGAAAAATTTTGTTCATTATTTCTTCAAATATTTTTCTCTGGCCTCTGTTTCTCATTCTGAGACTTCAGTTATATATATTTTTCAGACAGCTTTGCATTGTCCCGAGAGTCACTCAGTCTCTGTGCATTTTTTCTTTCAGTCTTTTAAAAAAAAGTTCTGTGCTTTATTTTGGACACATTCGATTACTATGAGTTTCTGTCCCTGTGTCTTTTCTGTCTAATTTTCTGCTAATCCTATCCAGTGAATCGTGAAGAATAAAGTTTTATTTTAGAATAGTCATAGATTTATAGAAAAATTGTGAAGATATACTCTGTATATCTGCTTTGCTATAAAGAAATGCCAGAGACTGGGTAATTTATAAAGAAGAGAGGTTTAACTGGCTTACGGTTCTGTAAGCTGTACAAGAAGCATGAATCTGGCATCTGTTTGTCTTCTAGGGAGGTCTCAGGAAACTTTCAGTCATGGTGGAAGGCAATGAGGAAGCAGGCAGTACATCTTACATGGCCGGAGTAGGAGGAAGAGAGAGAGGGGAAAGGTTCTACACATTTTTAAATGACCAGATCTCACAATAACTCACTCACCCACTATTGCTAGGACAACACCAAGGGGGATGTGTTAAGCCAGGAGAAGCCACCCCCATGAGCCAATCATCTCCTACCAAGCCCCACCTCCAACTTTGGGGATTACAATTCAAAATGAGATTTGGGTGGGAACACAGATCCAAACCATATCACCCCAACCCAGTTTCAATTTTCTGCATATGGCCAGCCAGTTTTCCCAGTGCCATTTATTAAATAGGGAATCCTTTCCCCATTGCCTGTTTTTGTCAGGTTTGTTGAAGATCAGATGGTTGTAGATATGCAGTCTTAGTTCTGAGATCTCTATTCTGTTCCGTCGGTCTATGTGTCTTGTTTTTATACCAGTACCATGCTGTTTTGGTTACTGTAGCCTTGTAGCATGGTTTGAAGTCAGGTAGTGTGATGCCTCCAGCTTTGTTCTTTTTGCTTAGGATTGTCTTGGCTATACAGGCTCTTTTTTGGTTCCATGTGAATTTTAAAATAGTTTTTTTCTAATTATGTGAAGAATGTCAATGGTAGTTTAATGGGGATAGCAATGAATCTATAAATTGCTTTGGGCAGTATGGCCATTTTCACGATACTGATTCTTCTTATCCATGAGCATGGAATTTTTTCCATTTGTTTGTGTCCTCCCTGATTTCTTTGAGCAGTGGTTTATAGTTCTCCTTGAAGAGGTCCTTCACTTCCCTTGTTAGCTGTATTCCTAGGTATTTTATTCTTTTTGTGGCAGTTGTGAATGGGAGTTCATTCATGATTTGCCTCTCTGCTTGCCTGTTGTTGGTATAAAGAATGCTTGTGATTTTTGCAGATTGAACATATTTTTTTAAAAAGATAAAAATAAAAAATAACAATAAAATAATACAAATAAAAATACTGTATAACAACTATTTACATAGAATTTACATGGCATTATGTACTATAAGTAATCTAGAGATGATTTACTGTATACAGGAGGATGCACATAAGTTATATACAAATACTGCTCTGTTTTATGTAAGGGACTTGAGTATCTGTGAATTTCCTCATCCATGGGGTCCTCAAACTAATTGCCCTTAGATAATGAGGGATGACTATACTTTATTTATTTTAATGCTCAAAATTTTACAGCATTGACTATCCTTAGTTTGCTACTGTGTTCCTCTGACATTTTACTTTTTAGCACTTTCTTACATACTACCATTTTTTATTAGCACTTTTTAACTTCTGGCACTATAAGATGCTCCAGGCTCATCTTGTATATTTCCTGCCCCAGTCCTAAAATCAGTCATTTCTCCAAGGAGGCCTGGTTCCTTTTGTTGGAGAATGGTTTTAAAAACCAAGATCTGAGCACTGGCTCTACTAAGTGAAATTTTCATTTCAGATGGTGTACTTTTTTTTTTTTTTTTTTTTTTTTTTTGAGATGGAGTCTCGCTCTGTTGCCCAGGCTGGATTGCAGTGGTGTGATCTCGGCTCACTGCAAGCTCCACCTCCCAGGTTCACACCATTCTCCTGCCTCAGCCTCCTGAGTAGCTGGGATTACAGGTGCCTGCCACCACACCCGGCTAATTTTTCTATTTTTTTTTTTAGTAGAGATGGGGTTTCACTATGTTGGTCAGGCTGGTCTTGAACTCCTGACCTCGTGATCCACCCACCTCTGCCTCCCAAAGTTCTGGGATTACAGGCGTGAGCCACCGCGCCTGGCCCAGATGGTGTACTTTTATCTTAGAAATTTCATTTGGTTCTTTTTTGAAAATCTTCCATTTATTTCCTCATTAGCTTCATATTTTCCTTGAGATATGCATTCACAATCATAGTAGCTCTTTAAAAATATTCTTATCTACTAGTTCTATCATCTCTGGCTTTTATCCGTGATTGTCTTTATTGATTGATTTTTTCTCTCGATTATGGGTCATATTTTCTTACTTTTTGACATGTTTGGTAATTTTTTATTGGATTTTAGACATTGTGAATTTTACATTGTTGTGTGTCTGGATTTTTGTTTACTTGTTTTTTTATCTTACTTTCATAATATTTTGGTTTTGTTTAGGCAGGCAGTTATACTTGCAGATCAGTCATCCCTTGAGACCTGTTTTTTAGTTTTGCTCAGGCAAGACTAAAATAGCTTTCAGTCCAGAGATTGTTCAGCCTTACCAGAGAGACATGAATACCTTGGATAATCAGTAAGGCCTCTCCATTCTGGCTCTCAGGAGCTCGATCAATTCTAAGGCCCATGCGAGCTCTGGGAATATTTAGTTTAGCATGTTTTAGTCATTCTTTGTCCAGCAGAGTGGAATATTGTTGTCCACATACATGGCCCAATACTCAGCAAACGCTCAAGTAGACATACTCTGTATAATCACGGCCCAATACTCAGCAAATGCTCAAGTAGACATACTCTGTATAATCACGGCCCAATACTCAGCAAACGCTCAAGTAGACATACTCTATATAATCACTTCCCTTCCAGAACTCTGCTTCACAACTTCCAGCTGCCTCAGCCTATCTGATCTCTGATGTTTGTTTTCTCAACTCCCTTTCCTGGCTCTTTTTGAGTCCTCCCATCATTGCAACTGCAGTACAAAAATTGCCTCTGTCATAGATGATCACAGGGCTTACTTCGTTTGTTTCTTTCTTCTCAAGGATCATAGTCTTGTGCTGCTTATTACTTAATGCCTGAAAATAATTGCTTTATATGTTTTGTCCAGTTTTCTAGTTGTTTTCTCCAGGATTTCAAGTCCAGTGCTTTTACTCTCTCATGGCCAACGGTCCCTTTAGTTTTTATCGTGATGATGGTCTTAATCTCCACTTCTGATCTTCATTCTAATGTTGTGCTATACATTGGGATGCCTTTTAAATTTGGAAAATCATGCTCTTGGAAATTTTTTAGGAAACGTTCTTATGTCTTTGCTAACTTCCTGTCTATTGTCATCTAAATTTTCATTTTCTGGAATTTCCGTTGGATATTGGATCCCTTGGATTGAGCCTCCATTTTCCTTGGTTCTTTCTTTCATTTGTTTGTTTTGGATACTGCCCATTTCTTTATTATTTCCTTATATCTTATATGAGATTTACTTGACCTTACCTTCTGTATGAGTCCACTTTCACATTGCCATAAATAACTACCTGAGACTGGGTAATTTATGAATGAAAGAGGTTTATTTGACTCACAGTTATGCATGGCTGGGGAGACCTCAGGAAACTTACAATTATGGTGGAAGGTGAAGGGAAAGCAAGGCAGGCCTTACATGGCAGCAGGAGAGAGAGAGAACAAAGGGAGAAGTGCCATCCTTTTAAACCATCAGATCTTGTGAGAACTCCGTCACTAACACAAGTACAGCATGTGGGAAACCACCCCCATGATCTAATCACCTCCCACCAGGTCCCTCCCTCGACACGTGGGGATTACAATTTGAGATGAGATATGGGTGGGGACACAGAGTCAAATCATATCATCTTCCAATTATTCTATTGAATTTTAAATTTCTATCATATTTTTATTTCTAAGAGCTTTTCTTTGTTCTCTACTTATTCATTTTTATATTACTTTGCTCTTATTTCACAGATGCAATATGTTCTCTCATATCACTAACGAGGTTAATTAAAGTTTTTTTGCAGTCTTTTTCCTTGTATCGTCTTGCTTTTTTCTGGTTCTTCTATTCTGTTTGTTTTCATATTGGTCATGTAAGAGTTTTTCCTTGAGTGTCTCTTCACCCGGGGGTGGAGGGGTCACTTTTTAAAAGTAAGGCACCAAGGGCCAGTGCAGTGGCTCATGCCTGTAATCTCAGCAATTTGGGAGGCTGAGGTGGGAGGATCACTGGAGCCCAGGAGGTTGGGGCTGCAGTGAGCTGTGGTCATGCCACTGCACTCTAGCCTGGCTGACAGAGTAAGACCCTGTCTCAGTAATAATAATAATAAGAAGAAGAAATCAAAAAGGCTGACCAGAAAGCTCTGTGTACATGTGTTGGGCTTATGATGCTGGTGGCCTTCGTTGAGGAAAATTGAGGGACCAGCTCCACTGAGGAAAATTGAGGGTCTCCACATATCATGAGTTTGCAAGTATTTTCTCTGGCATAGCATCCTGCAATTTCTTTTCTGAGGATTTTACTTTGGTTGCTTTTCTGGGTCTGAGCAGTGGGAGGGGGATGGAGATATCTCACTATTTACTAAGCTGACTGTTCCTCAATTCTTTTGCCTGGAAAAAACTCCATTTTTGTCCTCTTCAGTATCTGCAGCAAGAGGAGTCAACCAGCCACTTGAGAACTGGATGGAGGTTGAGAATTGGAGAGACTTAACTGTTCCCTATTAGCTTAATCCTGCTGTCCTTCTGTTCAGTTTCCCCTGTTCCTGTGCCTTGCCTTTGAAGATTCTATGTGGAAAATTAGCTCACTTCCCATAGAAAGCCCCTCAACTCCCTTTGTGGGGAATGAGGTTTGACTTTCTTTCTCTCTGCTAAGTCATTTGTCATTCCTTTTTCCAAATTCTTTTTTCCTCATTGACACATAATAGATGTACATATTTTGGGGGGTACATGTGATAATTTGTTGCATTCATACATGTGCAAAGATCAAATCAGGGTAACTGGGATATCCATGACCTTAAATATTTATCCTTCTTCCAAAATTGTGTCTTCTCATTTCATGTTTACAGATATTTCTTAGTTTCCTAAGGATGGGGTGTATTTCCGTGACTTGTTCTCCTTGCTGTTTCTGAGTTATTTTTGAGACAGGGCAGCCGGTGAGTATGTCTTTACTCTGCCATTCTGAAACCAGGTCTCTTACATTTTTATAGCAGAAAACATGGCTCACCATATCATGGATTTCTGTAGTTCCTTTGTTTTTTAAAGTTTAAAACCTAAAGTTAGAGATAAACAAACTTTTAATCTACTTTGGGCTTTACATTGGCTAACTGGAAGAGATGAATTCTATAGAAAAAGGGCTATGGACACATACCACCAAGCATCTGGGTAGAATCCTACTTTAGTGCACAGGTGTTCTGCCTGTGTGACCACAAGGTAAACATCTGGATATTAGACATTGTCTTCGTTAGTTTTCACCAGATGTTTGGTGTTACGGAATAGGCATAGCCATGTAATTAAATTAACTCGCACGTGAAACACTGAGTTAACAAATAACCGGGCGCGGTGGCTCACGCCTGGAATCCCCGCACTTTGGGAGGCTGAGGCGGGCGGATCACGAGGTCAGGAGATCGAGACCATCCTGGCTAACACGGTGAAACCCCGTCTCTACTAAAAATACAAAAAATTAGCCAGTCGTGGTGGCGGGAGCCTGTAGTCCCAGCTACTCGGGAGGCTGAGGCAGGAGAATGGCATGAACCCGGGAGATGGAGCTTGCGGTGAGCCAAAATGGTGCCATTGCACTCCAGCCTGGGCGACAGAGTGAGACTCTGTCTCAAAAAAACAAAAAACCAAAAACAAAACAAATAACTTGAAGCTACTCTTCCGTACATCCTGCATGTGACCATGAATGAGTGAGCCTGTCATTACGTCAGCCCATCCACTGATGAATGCTATAAGAGGGGCCAAGGAATTCATGTCTGCGGGCACTGACATGAAAAGTTACTGACTGTAACTTTTCTCTTTCGTTCCTAAGGAATCTGTTAAAGTATCACAAGGAGATAGTTTTCCATCTATGCTTTCAGAGGCTGAAGAGCTGTCTTAGAGATTTGATTAAATGCACATATTTCTTCCACATGTTGGATCTAGGATTCCTCCTACCATCCCTAATTTAACTGGGAAACAACCCTTCTTTTATAACTCTACTGATATCTTGAATATATAATTCAGCAAAATCCCCTTGGCTTGAAAACTGAGCTGGATTGGACTAGAGGACCGAATGCGTTTGTCAGATTGGTGCTCTCGGTGGAGTGAGAAGATGTTTAAGTCTGAAGGCCACTGTCAAGGATTTTTAAGGCTGGATATTAGCAACAGATACATATACACACATAAATCTACTTTTGATTACTCTGCTCTTTATTTTCAACCTGTTCTGTAAGGTAGAGCTCAAATCCCACTCCCTGGCGGAAGCTTTCTGAGCCTTTCCTTGGGCGTCCTCACTGGCTTCCTTGTTTACGATTGGCAGTTGGTTAGCTCTGTGCTTGACTGATGCCAGTGTCACCTTGAAATGAGGGACCTCTATCTCCTGTACCTCAGAAGAGGTACAGTGGAAACTGGATGAAGGCACCTGCTCTTCCCAAAGCCTCTGAACTGGCGCTGTGGGCTTAGAGTAGTGTTGAGCAGAAATGTACACAGCACTTTGTTCTCCAAGCGCACTCAGTGCGACCGGCCCCACCAGCGGCTTCCTTCCTGGGGATGCATCCAGCCGGCCTGGAAGGTGCTGGGTCGGTTCTCCAAGGTGATGTAGGCGAACTCCATGGTACAAGGCAAAAGACCTCCAGAGTAGGTGCAGGATTCAGGCCAGCATGAGAGGAATGTCCCTCCACCCCTCACAGTTCTACACTTTAGGAAACTCTCATCCTTTAGGCAGCAGAGATACACAGGAAGGGCTAAGATGGGCTGCTGTCACAGGGAGAGCCGGCAGCCTCAGAGGGAACTGAGACGATTGCTGGTTAAAAGTCTCTGCGTGGGTCTGTTGGGTGGCTTTGGGTAAAAGGACTCCCGCGGTCAGATGTGGTGGCTCACGCCTGTAATCCCAGCACTTTGGGAAGCCGAGGTGGGTGATGGTTTGAGCTCAGGAGTTTGAGACCAGCCTGGGCAACATGGTGAAACTCTGTCTCTACAAAAAATACAAAAAATTAGCCAGGTGTGGTGGCACATGCCTGTGGTCTCAGCTGCTCGGGAGGCTGAAGTGGGAGGATCACTTGAGCCTGGGAAGTCGAGGCTGCAGTGACCTCCGACTGCACCACTGAACTCCAGCCTGAGCAACAGAGCCAGGCTCTGTCTCGAAAAAACAAACAAAAAAAGGGACTTCTGCCAGAAGGCCCTTGAAGTGATATAAACATAGTTGGCAGTAAAAAAAAAATTATAATTAATTGCCCAGGGCAGGTCACACACACACACACACACACACACACACACACCCTAATAAAACAGAAATCAGAAACTAATGATTTTATTTTCTCTTTAATTTTTTTCATTTTCACATTTTCATTTTGTTTTAAAAATTTTACTTTTTTCAATATAAGAAGAATTAATAACCGACCTGTCGTCAAGGTAACCAATATTAATAGCTTGGCATGTCCACCTTTCTATCTTTTTTTAATTCAAACTTTTTGGGGGGTGTCACTGTTGCCTTTGCAAAAAGGAGATTATAATATGAACATTTCTTTGCACCTTGACTTTCATTCTACAATACATCCTGTCCTCTTTCTAGATCGACAGATTTTTTTTTTCTTTTTGAGACAAGATCTCACTCTGTCGCATAAGCCGAAGTGCATTGGTGCACTCTTGGCTTACTGCAACCTCTGTTTCCCGGGTTCAAGTGATCCCCCCAGTTCAGCCTCCTAAATAGTTGGGACTACAGGTGCATGCCATCAACACAGCTAATTTTTTTTTTTTTTTTTTTTTTTTTGTATTTTTGTAGAGACGGGATTTCACCAAGTTGCCCAGGCTGGTCTCAAACTCCTGAGCTCAAGCCGTCCACCCAGCTTGGCCTCCCAAAGTGCTGGGATTACAGGTGTGAGCCACTGCACCCAGTCAACAGATATTCTCAATTTGTTCATTTTTGTTGGTACATAACATTCCAGAGAGTGGATCAACCACAGTTAATTCAATCACTTAGTTATAAACAGACATTCAAGTTTTTCCTAGTGATTTTGTCACTACAAATAAGTCTGTAGTGCTCTAATGTTCTACTATAATTATGTATTATTTATTTTAGAAAAACATTTAAAATATATTAATGAAAGAGATTAAAAGAAAGATAATTAAACTATGAAGCTGGGAAGCCCTATACTATATAATACTATACAGTCAATGATTTTGAATGAATACATAGATGAATGTACTAAAATGTTACCTGGGAATGTGGCTCCATGCCATTTGTCTCTTGCAATAATGATCTTTTCATTGCAGTCTATGTCTCCCAATGCACACTGCAAAGGCCTTAAGATCAGGAACTAGGCCTTTCTTCCTTGGCTCCTCCAAAGCTCGGAGCATAGCCGTGCCAAAGGCAAACAGTCCCAGGCCCACACATCCCAGGGTGCTCTAACAGTTTCTTCTAAAAAATAGCAGTTTAGACTTCAGAATGAAATTTTCCCAAGTATACAATGTTATAAACTGGTGTATTCTCATGCCAGCCCACAAACCCTTCTTTTAACCCATAATGAAGCTGAACTATGTACTTATAATATTACAGTTTCTTATTATTTCTGTGGGAAAAAATGTTCTGAATTCCAAATGAGGATCTGGGCAGAAGAGCCCTCCTCTACTCTGTGTGCGTGTGTGTCTGCGTGTGTGTCTGCGTGTGTGTGTCTGTGTGTCTCGTGTGTGTCTGTGTGTGTGTGTGTCTGCGTGTGTGTGAGAGACAGAGAAGGGGAGAGATCCTTTCCGTCATTGCCCTCAAACAAGATATTCTTGTCTTTCCTCTTCTGCCGATCTGGCTGGGTATGGACATTGAGCAAGTGAAGTAGGCAATATGATAAGTAAATATGAAAGTGCCGGAAAGAAAGCCGAAGAACAAATTTAACATAGATGTCTGATGTTTTTCTTTGAGTCCTCATTCATTTTTGAGATTTAAGAATTTGAATTTGATTGCTAAGAATATAGTAATTGAAATTTAATGTAAGCGAAATGAAATTTACAATTAGAGAAGACACTTTAGTTGTTACACATTTCTCAGAATTCTTAAGTATATTTAAAACATGATATTCATCAAAACAAAATGTTATTTAGATACTTATGATGAGCATGGGATGTATGATTTATTAATAGCTATTGAGCTGGTCACACATTAATTGATACATTATTTTTATACTTTGGGAGCACTGAATCCCAGAAAGTTTGTTCTTATATGTTATTATAAGTTCCTTTGGAGAGTCAGTATTTGAACTGCTAAGGTAAAAACAAATACTTCTAAAAAGGAAGTATTTTGATGAAATGAAAGACTGGGAGAAACTATACAGCATTTGTAGGAAAAAATTATCATCTATCTAGATTTAAAAATTCTTAAAAGACATGTTAATCAGTGCTTTCTGTTTTGAAGCATGGTAGAAAAAACAGCTAGGCATTACAGCCAGTGAATATAAAAAATCATAAGCATATCAGGAAATAGGTTCTGAAATCACCTATAAAATTATGTAATATTTTGTCTTTTTTTTTTTTGGAGACGAGTCTTTCACTGTTGCCCAGGCTGGAGTGCAGTGGTGCGATCTTGGCTCACTGCAACCTCCACCTCCCAGGTTCAAGTGATTCTCCTGCCTCAGCCTCCAAGTAGCTGGGATTACTTACAGGCACCCACCACTATGTCCAGCTAATTTTTTGTATTTTTGTGTTTTTAGTAGAGACGGGTTTTTTTTTTTTTTATTTTGTTTTTTGTGAGACGGAATCTCACTCTGTTGCCCAGGCTAGAGTGCAGTAGCGTTATCTTGGCTCACTGCAAGCTCTGCCTCCCGGGTTCATGCCATTCTCCTGCCTTAGCCTCCCAAGTAGCTGGGACTACAGGCGCCCGCCACCACGCCTGGCTAATTTTTTTTTGTATTTTTAGTAGAGACAGGATTTCACCGTGGTCTCGATCTCCTGACCTCATGATCCGCCCCCCTCAGCCTCCCAGAGTGCTGGGATTATAGGAGTGAGCCACCACGCCTGGCCGAGGCAGGCTTTCACTGTTGGCCAGGCTGGTCCTCAAACTCCTGACCTCGTGATCCACCCTCTTTGGCCTCCCAAAGTGCTGGGACTACAGGCATGAGCCACTGCGCCCGGCCAGCATTTTGTCTTAATAAAAGTCAAATCTCTTCTCAAAAATGTTAACTTTCCAATAGGAAAAAGAATCACCCATAGCCCATCACTCAGAGACACCCACTGTTAATGTTTTGATGTACTTCCCTGTGGTTTCATGTATGTGCCCATCTTTACGGTGGTCATACTCTGTTCCTTTTACTCTCAATGTATAGCAGAAATATTTCCAACTAACATGCTTAAGTTCATAATCGGCAAAAGTATCAACAAATGAAAAGATATCTGTGTGGTAAGATATTTCTAAGCATTGTGAGAGATGATAGAATGAGGGATAACATTCCTCCAATTTCTCCATCAGCAAAAAAGGTTTGTCAGAAACTGTCATAACAGTGTGACATCCACTGCACACATTGTGAAACAAGCGGCCATAATGCTGTTGGTTGTGTGGAGTCTGGATAAGTAAGTAACAAGGAGGAAGGGGCCCCATGTTGGGGAGGGCCCCAAGTGGAGAAGAACAATGAACAGTTGGGAGAGATGGCTAATCACAAACATCGGTGGGCACAACGACATCTGTTTTGTAGGTAGCCCTTCCAGCATGACCCTATTAGACTTCCCTCCAGCCTGTTTCTTTGCAGACAGCCCCTTCTCTGCTGTGCTGCCTGTTGCAACCTTGCAACATATTTTCATACTTTTTTCATACTTTCTCTAAAAAATCTGCCTTTTTTTTTTTTTTTACCTACAACTATCCTGGTAAATCCTTTACCAACTGTGAAGACTGCCCTGGCTAGTAGCACCCGTGGCACATTCTACATCATTGGAAAGACCAAAAGATCTTATCAAGATAGGAAATACAACTAAAGAAAAGTGGAGGCATTTTGAGCATAGTTTGACGATGATGGCCCTGTAATGTGGGTATCTCATAAGTGGCTGGCTCTGCCTGGCTGCCCAACACAATCTTGCTAACTAAGGTGATGCTGGCCAAGCCTTCTCCTGTTTGCAGTACTGTTTCTTCTCTCCTTCAGTCTTACAGCATTTCAGTCATGTTTGGCTGCATTTTCTTTCTTCTCTCCAATTATTTGAAATGAAGTGAAACTAATAGTTGATATTAAAGACTTTGATTTTTTTTCCTATATTTTTAAGCAACATAATCTTTTTCCTAAATGACATCCTACCCAGAACTTCAATATGTAAGACAGAAAAAAGCAGACCTTCTTTGTTTGGAAAGGAGCGGTGCCTAAAGCCAGAATCCACAGTTTCAGGTTGAGAAAATATATGACGGGCTGTTGAAACCAGTATTTTCTTTCAAATTACAGCACATTCAAATTTTACTTATGCTGATTGTTTTGCCAACAAAAATTCAGTTTCGCAGAAACCATTTATCACATAAGGAGTTTCTGATGGAAAAATCTGAAAATTTTTAGAAATCAAAAAAGTGCTGGCCAGGCGCAGTGGCTTACACCTGTAATCCCAGCACTTTGGGAGGCAGAGGTGGGCGGATCACGAGGTCAAGAGATCAAGACCATGGTGAAACCCTGTCTCTATTAAAAATACAAAAAATTAGCCGGGCATGGTGGCATGTGCCTGTAGTCCCAGCTACTCGGGAGGCTGAGGCAGGAGAATGGCATTAACCTGGCAGGCGGAGCTTGCAGCGAGCCGAGATAGTGCCACTGCACTCCAGCCTGGGCAACAGAGCGAGACTCCGTCTCAAAAAAAAAAAAAAGTGAATACATTTGAAACCATTACAAGTTTGAAATGAATGTTGGTTTTGTGGTGACACAATCTCTGAAAATTATTACTGTTCATTCAAGATGGAATGAGGAAAATAGTGTGTGCCTGAAATCCACAGTTGAATATACTTCTTCTTCTTTTTTTTGAGACAAGGTCTTGCTCTGTTGCCCAGGCTAGAGTACTGTGACACCACTGAAACCGACCCAATAGTTCCATAGACAGTTTTTTTCTTGGAAAACCGTATCAATTGATCCTTCTGGTCTTAAAGCTTGAAATTTACATTTGTTTTATCTGAGCTTCTTCCTCAGGAAAGGACCTCCAGGTCTGGCAAAAAGTACCTAAGAACTGAAACTTACCAGCTAATCATATCCAGACAATGAGATGCCAGGCCCTCATTCATCATGATTGCTTCCTTGCCCCTCCCTAGTTCCTGCTTTCTTACACATTATTACACATCTTCCCTGCTACATAAACCCCTAATTTTAGTGGCCAGGGAGATGGATTTAAGACTGATCTCCCATCTCCTTGGCTGCAACACCCGATGAAAGCCTTCTTCCTTGGCAATAATTGTTGCTTAGTGATTGGTGATTGGCTTTCTGTGAGGTGAGCAGCGGGACCTAGACTGAACCCCTGGCATTTTGGGGACATGGTCACGGCTCACTGCAGCTTTGAACTCCTGGGCTCAATAAATCCTCCCATCTAAGCCTCCCATGTAGCTGAGACCACAGGCTCGAGCCACCACGCCCAGCTGATTTTTGTAATTTTTTTGTAGAGACGGGGTCTATCTGTGTTGCTCAGGCTGGTCTCGAACTCCTGGTCTCAAGCAATCCTCTTGCCTTGGCCTCCCAAGTGCTGGGATTATACACGCGAACCATCACACACACCTGGCCTGGCCTAGCTTGTTTTTTTTTTTTCTTTTTAAAGTTGTTGTGTATTTGTGTGGGCGTGTTTGGTAAAAGAACATTAATTAATTTTATTTATTTGTGGAAATGGAAATTGGAGAGAAAGTTAAAGGGGAATAAATATTTTGACTTAGGAATTCAAAAATAGAATTAAAAAGACTGAATTGTTTTAGAGTGTTACAAATGTGTCATGCAATAGACTGAGAGGGCAATAAAGAACAGTTGAAAATTCCTCTAAGAAATCAACGACTTGGCAGGTGCAGTGGCTCACACCTGTAATCCCAACATCTTGGGAGGCTGAGGTAGGAGGATCATTTAAGGCCAGAAGTCTGAAACCAGCCTGGACAACATAGTGAGACTCTGTCCCTACAAAAAATAAGAAAATTATCCAGGCATGGTGGTGCACACCTCTGGTTCCATCTACTCAGGTGGTTGAGGCAGGAGGATTGCTTGAACCCAGAAGTTAAAGGCTGCAGTGAGCTGTGATTGTGCCATTGCACTCCAGCCTGGGTGACAGGGAAAGACCCTGACTCTAAAAAACTTTTAAAAAAATCAACAACTGAAGAAATTCTTGCATTTCATTGATGTTGCAGAGACAACTGGGAAATGTATAGTGTCAGTTTTTAAAACCACAAGTCGATCTTATTTAGAACCCTTTAAAGTCTTCCTATTGCTCTTAAAATAAAATGCAAACCCCTTATTCTGGTGTCTCCCACCTGTTCACCACATCCCTGTCCTCTTTCTGTCACACAACTCTGAAATCAGTCATTTCCTGTCTGTTCCCAGAATATTGCCAGACCCTCTTGCTTCCCAGACCTCTGGCCCCACTCTTTCCTCTGCTTCGGTGAAGTTGGTACCTGTGGAGGGTCGAATTGTGTTCTCCTCCTGCAAATTCATATGCTGAAGTCCCAACTCCCAGTACCTCAGAACATGGTCTTATTTGGACATAGGTTAGTTGGAGATATAATTAGTTAAAATGAGGTCCTATGGGAATAGGGTGGGCTCCTTATCCAATACGATCAATATAAGTGTCCTTATCAAAAAAGGAAATGTGGGCCGGGCGCGGTGGCTCACGCCTATAATTCTGGCACTCTGGGAGGCCGAGGTGGAGGGATCATGAGGTCAGGGGATCGAGACCATCCTTGCTAACACGGTGAAACCCCGTCTCTACTAAAAATAGAAAAAATTAGCTGGACGTGGTGGCGGGCTCCTGTAGTCCCAGCTACTTGGGAGGCTGAGGCAGGAGAATGGCGTGAACCTGGGAGGCAGAGCTTGCAGTGAGCCAAGATCGGGCCACTGCATTCCAGCCTGGGCGACAGAGCAAGATTCAGTCTCAAAAAAAAAAAAAAAAAAAAAAAAAAAAGGAAATGTGGACACAGACACATGTGCAGGGAGAACACCACATAACCATCAAGACAGAGATTGGGGTGATGCATTTACAAGCCAAAGAATGCCCAAGCATGCTGGCAAACCACCAGAAGCCAGGAGGTGTGGAAGTCTCCCCCACAGCCTTGAGAAGGAACCAACTCTGTAGATGCCTTGTTCTCAGACTTCCAGCCTCCATAACTATAAGACAATAAATTTTGGTTATTTAGGCCACTCAGTTGTGGGACTTTCTTATGGCAGCCTTGACAAACTAATACAGGACTACATCATTCTTCACGTCTTGGCTTAAATCTCATTTCCTCAGAGCAAGCTTCTTGACCACCTAGTTGACACAGCATTTTCTACCAAAGCGCCTGTTGATTTCCTTCAGAGCACTGAGACAAACCTGTGACTATTGTGTTGGTTTGCTTGTTTATTTGTCTGTTGCCTTCACCTTCACTAGAGCATCAGGGGCATGGGCGCAGGGGTCTTGTCTGGCTCTTGCTTTCTTCACAGCAGCTCTCAGAGTGCCTGGAGCATCCCAGTGCTCAATAAACATGGAGGGTAAATGACGCCAAGATGCATCAAAGGTTAAGGAGAATGCGCCAAGAGCTGTGTACGTGAATTGCCATGCACATTTGGTATTTAGCAGAGATAAAGTTTTTTAAGGAAGTGAGAACATTTCTAAATGTTCTCAATCCTTTGTTTTATGACACTCTGCTGTCTTTCTGACTGGCGAATTTCCAAACATTTTCAAATAGAATAAAGGTGTATTATTCAGAATGCTATGAAGTTTGGGAAGGAAGAGAACACACTGAACATCATCATGCTTCATACGCTGAGACCAAAGGCTTACAGAGAAATGGTGAAAGTTGCAGCAAATGAGCAAAGAACCTGAATAGACATTTTCCATACAAGACATACAAATGGCCAACAGGTGTATGCAAAAGTGCTCGACATCATGAATCATCAGAGAAATGCAAATCAAAATCACAATGAGATATATCTCCCTCCTGTTAGAAGGGCTATAAAAGGGAACCTTTGCACACTTGGTGGGAATATAGACTGTTGCAGCCATTATGGAAAACAGTATGGAGGTGCCTCCAAAAATTAAAATGGAATTACCATTAGAATGAGACTACCAAATGGAACCACCATGCGATCCAGCAATCCCACTTCTGGGTACATATCAAAAGGAAATAAAATCAATATCCTGAGGAGATGTCTGCTCCCTTATATTCACTGCGGCGTTATTTCCAATAGCCAAGACGTGGAAACAGCCCAAGTGTCCACCAATAGATGAACAGATAAAGAAACTGTGGTTCATATATACAATGGAATATTATTCAACCATAAAAAGAGAAAGAAATCCTATCTCATTGGCAACATGGATGAACTTGGGAGACATTATGCTAAGTAAAATAAGCCAGACACAGAAAGACAAATATTGTGTGGTTTCACTTACATGTGGAATCTATAAATGTTAAACTCAGAGAAGCAGAAAGTAAAATGGTGGTTGCCAGTGACTGGAAGTGGAATGGAGAGATGTTAGTCAAAAGATACAAAACGTTTAGTTATGTATAATATCAATATGTTGTGGGAGCTGATCATAGCAGGGCGAGTGGCGGATGTTTTAATTCATTTGTGGTAATTGTTACACAATATATGTGTATCAAATAATCATGTTGTTTACTTTGAATATGTTCAATCTTTATTTGACAATTACATATTTTATTTTTACTTACTTTAAATAAATTTCTTTATTTATTTATTTACAGATAGGGCCTCCTTCTGTCACCCAGTCTGGAGTTCAGTGGCATGATTATAGCTCACTGCAGACTTGAACACCTGGTCTCAAGGGAACCTCCTGCCTCAGCCTTTCAAGTAGCTAGGACTATAGGTGCACGCTACCACACCCTCTTAATTTTTTTTTTTTTTTTGTGTGTGTGTGTGTAGACAGTCTCGCTATATTTCCCAGGCTGGTTTTGAAATCCTGTCCTCAAGTGATCCTCCTGCCTTGACCTTCCAAAGCTCTGAGATTACAGGAATGAGCCACCATGCCTGGCTGACAATTAAATATTTTAAAATAAGAAAACAAATATAACAATATTAAAAATTTCTTCAAATATACAGATGACCAGTGAACCAAGTAGTCTCCTAAATTTAGGTTACAAATTTGAAATTTATTCTTTAAAATATCTTCAATACCTGAAACTATTATAGTAATTGCTCTGCAGAACGTCAAGGCAAAGCTATAGACACCATGTCCCTCTGTCTTTAAAGGTAAAAGGACTACTTTATAGTTTGTCACCATAGAGAAATAAGGAATATTTCACATATTCCACAGCCATTTGGGAAATTATGCCAAAAAACACTTCATGAAGTTTTCAAAGTTGAAAGCCTTCCTTTGGGAAAGGAAAAACACACGCACGCACGCACACACACACGCACACACACAGACACACAAACACACAGAGATGCACACACACACAGACATAGACACACACACACACACACACACACAGACACACACAGAAATCCAGGCAATTTTAGAGAATGTGTTTTCCCTTCAGAACAGGGCAGAATGAGTATCACCCAAAACTGAGCAATGTATTACTCAATGTAAACTCATGATTTTCAGAAAATAGTTGCAACAAAATGACCCCCACTTCCTAGTTTCTTGTAAAATGGAAGGAACCATTACATAAAGTAACAGTCAAACATGCTCAAGAATTTTTCAACTTGAGGCCAATGACCTTTGAACTTTGACTGATGGTTTTTTCAATCCCATTGCTGTTCTATTGCCGCAAAAAATTTAACTTGGCTGTGTGTTTATTCAACTTGGACTTCACAATAATGTTCTTTGCAACTCAGGACTGTTAATCTGTGGCTTTTGTATTGGCAACTGTTCTGGCAAGGGTGGAACCCTCGTTTTCCATGACTTTCTAACCTCCTGAATTGCAGCACCTTGGAGGGGAGCTCCAGTGGCCAAGACAGAAGTGGTCCCAGTGATTCTGGGGAGAAAACTGAGCATCTGCTTGCAGACCTGGGGCTCCTGATTAAATCATAGCTATAAATACTTAGGTTTTCATTTATATGCCTTCATGTTACACATTCCTAAGTTGCATGTACAGTTCTGAAGGCTGTGATTACAGGTGGAGATGATGTCGGTGCCATTACTGGGATGCCACAGTGGAAATCAACATGTCAACCTACAAGACTGTAAGAAAACGTCTTAGAAGGCTGGCACTTTCATTCATTTGGTTCACTGCTGTATCCCTAGTGCTGGGAAATGTTCCTGAGCACTCAACAGATTTTATTTGAATGATCATTTTATGAAACTTTGTTTCAATTTTAGGAAACTAAGTTAAAAACCCATTTGAAAGGGGTCAACTTTGAATGTGTCTTTACATTTCTTCCTTAGTTAAGATCCACTCAAGGAGAGATCCGGCACTATTGTGCTCAAGTAATATTGTCTGCACCCGACTCCCCTGAAAAGAAATGAGTCCTGAGGCAGCCAGGCAGATCTTTTAGGATATTCCATCCCACAGGTGAAATACAAACATGCTTCATCCAGGAGATGACTCTAGTTTCACTATAAAAGACCCTTCAACTTTTTTCACGTTAGACTGAAGTGTTTGGTCAGATTTCCTCAGTATGACAAAGGTTACTCTTTTTTTTTTTTTTTTTTTTTGAGATGGAGTCTCGCTCTGGCTCTGTCGCCCAGGCTGGAGTGCAGTGGTGTGATCTCGGCTCACTGCAAGCTCCACCTCCCGGGTTCATGTCGTTCTCCTGCCTCAGCTTCCCGAGTAGCTGGGACTACAGGCGCCCACCACCACGCCCGGCTAATTTTTGTATTTTTAGTAGAGACGGGTTTTCACCGTGTTAGCCAGGATGTTCTCGATCTCCTGACCTCATGATCCACCCGCTTCGGCCTCCCAAAGTGCTGGGATTACAGGCGTGAGCCACTGAGCCTACTTTCTTACCCAGGCTTCCAAAAAGGCTGGAGTTTCCACAGAGATTTATTACTATATGCATCTCATCAAAGGGCTAAGATACTTCTTGACTGTGTATATCAGTACCATGTGGCTGTTTTGGTTCATTTGTACATTTTTGGTTTGCAGTGACATGTCATCAAGGGCCTAAGAACAGAAATTCATTCTGTCTATGTTTTATGAGTTTAGGGGCCTGGAAAATTGCAAGCAACACCCATGCTTCAGGGAGGCCCCAGGACTCAGGAAAGGGGGCAGTCTGTGAGTCCTCCCAGTTTCCCAGCTAATCAATGAAGTGAACAGTGCAAGGCTGTGGAAAAGATGTTCTCTCTGACTTGGGACATGTATAATTTGTTGCACCTGAGACATGTGTAGGAGTTAATGTGGTCAGAGCTCAGAAGTTACAGATTTTGGAGTCATCAGCAAATAGTGATATCTGAAGCCCTGGGCGTGGAGGAGAACACCCAAAGATAAAGCATGTAGAATGAGAAAATAAGAGGGTTGAGGATAGAATGCCTGGAAACACCATAATTTAGGGGGCTGGCAGCAGACGAGGAACCGGCCAAGAACTAGAATAGGACAGCAGGCTGTCACATGGGCATCGTGGAGAGCAGCCTGCACAGTCAGCATTCTTAAATCCTACACACAGACAGAGGAGATGCGGATTGGAAACGGTCCCTTAGAAAGATCACTAGAAGGAAATACATAAAAATATCCACAGGTCTATTCCTGACTAGTGAGATGTCAGGTGGCTTATGTTCTTCTCTCACCATTCTTGCATCTTCCAAATTCTGTACAAGAAACATTAATTACATTTATATTAAAAAGCTATTAAAATATAAAACAAGGCTCTGATCAAGTCTAAAATATTTTATGAGAGCCTGATGAAAAGAGCAAGTAATTATTAATTCACAAGTATTTCAGTGCCTGTGTGCTGGGCACCATGCTAAAGATAAAACAATGAACAAGAGGACAGCTCTGTTGTTTGACAAAAAGGAGCGGAGGCTGGTTTGGCAAGGGAGGGATGTAGGGCTTGTGGGACACAATGGCAGGAGATGAGGCTGGAAAGGTCGTTTGGTGCCAGATTACAATGGACTTTATGTGTCTTGTCAAATAATATGGTCTTTATTCTGAAGGCTACAGAGAGGCTTTTGAGGGGGGCAGTGTTAGGTTTGGAATTGTGCTTTACCTGAAGTTAATTTTCGACTGGATTTTGGCAGTAGTGTGGCTGCTGGCCTGGGGGAGTCCAAGCAGGAGACCAGGAGCACAGGCAGCAGGCAAGTGCAGTAACTGAATGAAGGCAGTGCCCTGAGCACGGGCCAGGCCCAGAGATATTTAGGGGTAGCGTCAATAGGATATGACTGATTGGATGTATGTTGCACGAAGTAGGGCATTAAGAAAAAAAAGGAACAACAAACTTCTTCCTGCTTATCAAAGACCATAATGAGGGCAATGGCCTTTCCTGAAACACGTTCCTTGGGAAGTCAAGCATGAGCATCACAATAGTTTGGAAGCTATCTGCACCCAGCAAGTGAGTTTCCAGTTAGCCTCACGCATGGCAATAGGTGCTTAGGATGCAGGATGCAGGTTCGTGGCCCCGGCCCTGTCTGGCTCCCCTGAAATCACACCACAGAGGCAGCTGCCTTTCGTAAACACAAGGCAGGCAGTGTTAGCTGGTCCAACTAGACCTCATTCTTTCTTTCACCTGGGGCCTGTGCACGGAGGCTGCTGACATGAGTGGACTCCCACGTGTGTGGTGAACGAGAAGTTCAAAGTGACACTTTGCATTCTTCCCTTCTTCTCCACTCTCCTCTTCCCGCTCCAGGAAAAATAAAGGAAGATGATTGTTTTGGTACAGGAAAAAAAAAATGAATACTAGGTTTTTAACTTGTGTCCCGGGTTGGGTAAAGAATGACAACTATTCTATAGTTTGTATAGACTTTCCCTTAGTGGTCATTGCTATATGACATAAGAAAGTCAGTGCCTGGGCCAGGCACTGTCACAGGCCTGTAGTCCCAGCTACTTGGGAGGTTGAAGCAGGAGGATCGCTTAAGGCCAGGAGTTCAAGGTTACAGTAAGCTATGATAGCACAACCTGAGTGACAGAGCAAGACCCTCTCTTTTTTTTTTTTTTTTTTTTTTGAGACAGAGTTTCGCTCTTGTTGCCCAGGCTGGAGTGCAATGGCACAATCTCGGCTCACCACAACCTGCGCCTCCTGGGTTCAAGCAATTCTCCTGCCTCAGCCTCCCAAGTAGCTGGGATTAGAGGCATGCGCCACCAAACCTGGCTAATTTTGTATTTTTAGTAGAGATGGAGTTTCTCCATGTTGGTCAGGCTGGTCACAAACTCCCGACCTCAGGTGATCCTCCTGCCTTGGCCTCCCAAAATGCTGGGATTACAGGCATGAGCCACTGCACCCGGCCTACCCTGTCTCTTAAAAAAAAAAAAAAGTGAGTATTATAATAGAGGGGATAAGGAATAATGTGTATGTGAGGTCTATTTCTGAGACCAGAGCCACAAAACAGAATCCTGCACCTTAGCCATTTTCTTACCACACGCGTTTTCTTGGATACTTCCATTTTTCCAGTCTATATAATTCAATACTTCTGTGACAGAGAGGTGTTGGAGTTTTTTGTTTTGCTTTTGTTTTTTCGCAACTCTTTACATACAAACAGCTATGGTCTCCCAGGAAGGAACTTCCTCTGTTGAGTACAGAAGTCTGGGAAAAGACTGGTGAAATTGCATGCGAGGAAGAAACAGGTCTAACTAAATGTGAATCTATACTTTTAAAGCAAGGGACCACAAAGGGTAGGTCCCAAGGAAGTTGCATTGCTTGCTGCACTTGTCACACGGGCTGTACTTTCTTCTCTCATTTATTTCCATTTACAGCGTTGAAAACTGAGGCCTTAGGCTTTGGTTGAAAACCGAGGCCAAGGGTGACCAGCCAGTGAGTTAAGGAGGCCCCAGCCGAACTTTGCTGGAAGTGCTCCAGCATAAAGCCTCTCTCCAGAACCAGCCGCCACTGAGACGTCTTGAAGTCAAAGTAACTCACACCCTTGTCCACCTCGCCCTGCGGTGAAGAAACTTCGGTCGCACAGGCTCCAGAACTCATCTTGGCGTGGGCTGTGACTTACTGGGGGATGGGCCTCCTTTTCGTTCTAGCTCCTAAATGGAGCGGAGCGCCAGGTGGTGTCAGAGGGGGCGGCGGCCCCTCCAATGGTGGCACCCTCAGCCACGGATAAGGTTCCAATTAGGTAAGGACGCAAGTAATGCTGTCGTTTCGGCTGACTGCTCCTTTCATTCCTTGGAGGTGGTCGGTGTCACAAAACGAATTTTCATTTACTCTCAACAGTCACACCAGCCCTGCTAACTGGATGGTCGCAGCCCCGTGCCTTCGCCGGACGCCCTCCTGGAACCTTCAGGCCACCCTGAGGATGGAGACTCGGGTGCCCGCTCTCCTCCCCTACCGCCGCGGGCCTGCGCCCCCCGCCCCGGACCCCGACTCGGACGTTCTAGCCGCACGTGCGGGCGCCCCTGGGTGCGAGCCGCGGACTCACGAGCCGCTGCTTGTTGCTCCCGCCGCCGCGACCTGGGGAAGCGAAAATGAAATTGACTTTTCCGAGAAATGATGAAAGCGGCGCTGCCCGCCAATGAGCTGCTGCGGCGAACTTCCGCACCTCCCGGCCGGGCCGCTCGCGCCCTCCCTCCGCCTCCACCTCCCGGTTGCACAAGCTTGAAACAAACACTGGGGAGGAAGGGCGGAGGGAGGAGGGCGGAGAGGGGAGGCGAGGGAGGGAGCGCGGCCGGAGGAGGGCGGGGGGTGGGGGGATTTCCAGCCGCGGCTCTTCGCAGTTTCCTCTCCTTGTTTTGCTTTCGATCTGGACTGTTCTCAGGCAAGCCGGGGAGTAACTTTTAGTTTTGCTCCTGCGATTATTCAACTGACGGGCTTTCATTTCCATTTCACATACCCTAGCAACACTTATACCTTGCGGAATTGTATTGGTAGCGTGAAAAAAGCACACTGAGAGGTAACATTTTTCAAATAATAGTTGTGACTGTGTGTGTTTCTCTCGAGGGCATGTTTCTGGGGACTGTGGGGGGCCGTGTGTGTATGCGTGTCCTGATGCCTTGACACGATGTTTTGCAGACGGAAAATGCCGGGGTTCATAAATATTAATACTGATTTTTGGAGGAACAGTCGGCGCAATTATGGATCATCTGATTTTAGGGGAAGCAGGTTCTGCTGCTGTTGCTGCTGCTACTGGGGCTGCTGAGGCTGCGAGGAGGAGGAGGAGGAGGAGGTAGAGAGGGAGGAGGAGGAGGAGGTTGGTGGAGGTTTAATTTCACTTTTGGATTTGCAGATGCGGAGAGGTGGCTCCATGGACACAGACCTGCTGTGTGTGCTTCTGCGCCCCAGGTGTTGTGTGTGGGGGTGCAGGTCAGCTGGAGTCGGGCCTCATTTAAAACAAAATTGTGTGTATGTGCGTGTTTGTGTGTGCGCGCGTGTGTGTGTGTGCAGCCACCGCCGCCACCGGATCCGAAGGAGGGGAGCGGGTCCTTCTCGGTGCCCGCGGCGGCGCCTCTCCAGGCTGCCTCCAGCGTAAATAAGCAGGCACCGCTCCCCGGCCGGGAGGAGCGCCTCCAGCCACGGCCAGAGGAAACTTGCTGGGGCGCCCCGCGGCGGTCCAGGGGCTCGCCTGCCTGCCGGGCTCGGGGTCGGGTCGCGGGCGTCGGGTGCCAGCGGCCGGGGCGGGAGGGCGGGCTCGGAGCCGGGCCGGGCGCCGGGCCTGGCCGACGCGCCCTGCTTCCTGGGGGCTGGGCCGCCGCCGCCGCCGCTCAGAAGGGACGCCGCGTCCTCCTTCCCGCCGGCCAGCGCCCGGTCGGGCCCTGGGGCTTTGTCATTGCACTTGTCCCAGCGCGCCAGGGGCTCGGGCGGCGCGTCCCAGGAAGGCACCGTGCCGAGGGGTCAGCCGCCCGGGCCGCGGCCTAGCGCCGTGCGCCCCCGGGTCCCCGCAGGCGCCCCCGGCCGGCCTCGCGCGCTGGGCCTGACCCGCCTCGGCTACGGAGCGGGCGAGGTGGGGGCGGGGAGCCTCCGGGGACCGAGCGGCGCAGTGGGGGCCGGCGTCCCCTCGGGGTCCCGGGGCGCGGGCCGCGGCGGGGTGGGGACGCGAGTGCCCGCCCCGTGCCCTCCGACCCGGCTCCGGGCGCCGGGTGACATTCGCCCGCTGGCCGAACATGGTTGGTGCAAAGCCGCGGCGGCCGCCACTTCCTTTCCGCCTCGCCGGTAGGGCTCGCCCACCGAGTGAAGCCGGCCGCGGCCAATCGCGGCGCCCGCCTGCTCCCAGTGGCACGGCCTGGGGGCCGGCGTCCGCCGGGGCTGGGGAAGCCGTTCCAAGTTCCAAGGGTCGCGGGTGTAACTCATGCCCCTCCCAGCACGCGCCGGCGTCTCCCCTTGGCCCCCGGTCTGGGTGCGTTTGCCACCCTCTCCTCCTTGTTCCCTAAGAAGCGGGGGAGGGGAAGGAGGCGGGCAGCCTGGGCAGGGCGCCAGAGCCGTGGTCGGGCACCAGGTGAAACGCCCGGGTCAGTCTGTGTAGGCCGGACCCTTGGCGCTCGGCTGCGGATGTGATCCCGGGGACTGGCGGCCGAGGTAGCTCAGAAGAGCGAGGTGGCTTTCGCTCGTTTCTGACCCGCTACTGTCTGAAACTTGGGGACATATTGCCCGCCCCCTCCCTCTTCAACCTCCTCCCTCCGGTTGCTCCTTGTCCTTGGTTATGGAAGGAAAAAACTCAGTTGTTCTAAATGAGGAAAAGTGGTGCTGGCATTCGTCTTCAGCCACCGGCCTCCTTATGGCTGTGACTCGGTCTGCTTTTGATGAATGGCCAGGAGGTATGGAGGATAGTTAGATTTCCTGTTGTGGATTTTCAGGCATCACCGAGACTGCTGTCAAGCCTGCAGTCATTTACTAGTTTTCATATCGACTGCAGGTTCTCTTTGAGCAGTTCAGTTTTTGGTGCTTAAGGGCAGGTGCACAACGGGGTCTGGGGTTAGACCAGGCGGTGGATAGTCTTGATGCTAGGCAGATGCAGTTATCCCTACCAGGCCCAGAGGGTGACTCTGTTTAACTTCACCACGCACGCAGATTCAGGATTCTCTGATTTCCCCAACTTTCCTTTATTCTTCTTTTAGTGGGAGAAGGGGCAAAAGTAGAAACCTAAAAAATCCTGGGAAAAGGAGCCTTTTCTGAGGAAACTTCAGCAGATGAAATATTTAAGACTTGAACTGGGATCTCTAGGGGGAACGTTGGAACATCTATTGATTGATGTGTCAAAGTCCGGAATTTCACTGTAATTAGTGAACGATTATAACTTGTAACTTTGTCTGTTATGTAAGAAATTACATTTTGGTCTCTTAGATCCAAGAGTTCTTGTCTGTTACGATTTGTAACTGCTTGTTAAAATTAAACATTTACATATTTCATTCTCAGTGAGTTGTCATTTTTTTGTTAGAGAAAGTTCCAGTTATTTCAGATTTACTTACCTGTAAAAATGTCAGCATAATCAAAAGTAAGGATCTGTAGTCAAACTGGAAGCAAATTATGGCAAACACATGCGTGCCATGAAGTTCTGACAGCCTTATGAACAATGGTCCCACTTTTATCCCACTTTCTGAAACACTTTATTAGGCAAATAGTGCACCAGAGCAAAAGATGTTTAAACTTACTGGAAAAATAGACACTTTGGATGCTCCACATTTGATGTGCATCAATTTTCTCATGTTACCAACGATGTTATATTTTTATTCTTAACATCATCTCGTACAAAACTGTTGTTTTTAGAGCATTTTCACATAATATCCTTTTGATAGTGAAAAACCACTGTACTCTATCTAAATGGAGTATCTGGGTTATAGTTCCCTTATCTGCCTTATACCAAAAAGGGCTTAACGCAGACAAGAGAATTTATGTACACACTCAATAAATATCCTTAGAACATCTATTATAAGCCAGACACAGTGCTAGCCTCTGTATACTCAACTGACAGCGAGAAAGACAGCATCTTTACACTAGGTTGTGTTCTGGTGAGTGAGCTGACCATTAACAACAAAAAATATAGTTATTACCTTTTGGGGTTAGCTGTAAGGAGGATAATAATAATTTTTAACTATATCTCGTAAGTGTTGCTTTCATGAACAATTGAGATACTGTATATGAAAGAACATTGCATAAATTATGGCAGTCTACAAATGTGTAAGGCATTAACTTTCAAAATTATATCAGATTATTCTTAGTGTAAAAAGGCCAGATAATCATGACTGGATTAGACACTATCTTTCTCATAGAATTTCCAGCAAGGAGGGATTTTACTTCTGAGCATATATAAATAATGATAAAAGATTAAACATGGAATAACTTTTATATAAAGTATCAAAAAAATTTCACAGTGGAATCCGATATTGTCAGTGAATTTTTTCCTGTCAGAAGGAAAGTTAGGTGGTATCCATGGAGACCAAATGATATGGAAATAACAGTGATTGGACCAATGTATTTTCCCTCTTTATGTCAGATAAGAAAATCTTCCCAAGCCTCTCTGTGCTTTAGTCTGAATCTTCTTCACTCTCGTGTCAACTTCTTCATTATCTGTCATTGCAGGTGTGCACTGGGCTGATTGTAGTATTTTGCTTTTACCACCTTTTTTTTCTTTTCTTTTTTTTTTTTTTTGAGGCAGAGTCTTGCTCTGTTGCCCAGACTGGTGTACAGTGGCACACTTTCAGCTCACCGCAACCTCTGCTTCCAGGTTCAAGCAATTCCTGTGCTTCAGCTTCCCGAGTAGTTGGGACTACAGGTGTGCGCAGGCGTGCGCTACCATGCCTGGCTAATTTTTGTATTTTTAGTAGAGACGGGGTTTCAGCATGCTGGCCAGGCTTGTCTCGAACTCCTGACCTCAGGTGATCTGCCCACCTCAGCCTTCTGAAGTTCTGGGATTACAGGCATGAGCCACTGCGCCGGCCTGCTTTACCATCTTGGCTCATGTGCATTTATTGAATGCTTACTGTGTGCCCAACACTGTATATGTGACAACATACATGAAAGTAAATATTAACTGATAGCATATATTTATAACATATATTACAATACGTAATATATGCAAATAAACGAAACTGCGGTGAAATGTCAGTTATTATTAGTAAAAATTAGTTCTTCTTTTCATCTGTATGAGACATGATGTTCCTTCCTGCACAGGGGTAGGAGGTCAGGACCTTCGGTCTCTGCCTGCCCCGTCGGCCCCCTGTGTTTGGCCTGAGTGTAATCAGTGGTCGGTGCACGATGCCAGCTTCATGCACAGTGTGCTGAATTGAGGAGTGGCTCTGGTGGCGGGAGTGACTGATGGAAAAGTGGGTGAGGAAGTTCCATCAAACTTTAATTTATCAACAAAGAACAAAGAATGATGAATAACATATAGGGTCCAGATTTGAACATGAAGACAGTATTTTTTATAGAGTACCAAGGAAAACACACAAGCAGGAAACACAGCTCACAGGTCCCCTTTGTCCCTGGGACTCCGTCTGAGGCTCGTTGGATTCAGAGCAAGCAGCAGGCCTGAAGTCTTGGCATTGACCTTCAAAGATCCCCTAAAAATAATTTTCCCCCTCAGAAGCTCCATCTTATGACAAACTGTCTCTGAAACAAATTGTGTTTATTTAAGTAGACTTCATGTATCCTTTTTCTTTTATTAGAGTCAAAGTCTCACTCTGTCCACCAGGCTGGAGTGCGGTGGCTCGATCATAGCTCACTACAGGCTCAAACTCCTGGGCACAAGTGATCCTCCTGCCTCAGTCTCCTGAGTAGCTGGGACAACAGGCATGTGCCACCCCAAAGCCCGACATACATTTTTGTGTAGAGACGGGGTCTCGCTATGTTGCCCAGACTGGTCTCAAACCCTTGGCCTCAAATGATCCTCCCTCCTCAGCATCCCAAAGTGCTGGGATTATAGGCGTGAGCCACTGCACCCGGCCCTAGTGCCCATTTTTATTCCTCAGAAACACATATGACTTCCAGTCAGAACTCCTGATTGCCTTGAGAAAACTGGTATCATCAAATCTCACTGAACTCATTATAGCCAAAGGTAGAGACCCGTGGTGTGTTGGACAGGCTGGCCGGCTCCGTGTGAGAGAAACTCACCATCCCGTTAGGCTTTCTGAGGCACTGAAACTAGCCGGGACCCTCCATCAATAACTTGGTCTGCTTGGGGATCCAGGGACCCCATGCAATTATTTTAAATGAATAATTGATTTTGTTAAATGTAGTAACACATGCAATGGTTTTCTTAAATGCACACATTGTGTTATTATTTCATTTGTTTATTAAATATTTCTTGACAGCCAGCTGTGTACAAGGCTCTGCGGTGGAAGGTGCATGAACTCAGATGCCTAGAGTGGCCTTTTAGTTCTCCAATCACTTCCTCCTTTGGAAGTTTTCACTGTAAAATGTGGCTGGATAATTCTGTCATCCTCAGGAGACAGAACCTGTGTGTGTTGTGAAAATCACCTGGGGAGGGGACTTTTAGAAATTACACGGGACCTTTTAGATTTGAGACTATCTGTAGCCCCCTTTCCCTTCCTTCCCCTTCCTGCCTTGATAGCGAGCCTCTTATTCACCATTGGATCCCTGCTCCCCAGCCTCCCTCAGGTGTGTGGCCAGAGTAGAAATGGAAAGCCACTGAATCGAGGATCTCTTCCCAGGGCCAAATAGTTGATCTTTTCCTTGGCTCAGATGAAACCTCTTTCCACATTTTAAAAAGCACTTCGGACAGGGGCCTGTGGTCACTCTGTTGGCTCTGCCCACTTGCCCTTGCTTGCCATACAGAAATGGGACTCATGTTAAGTTTGTGATACATTGAATTTTCCTTTTTTTTTCTTTTTTGAGAAAGAGTCTCGATCTTGTCTCCTGGGCTGGAGGGCAGTGGTGTGATCTCGGCTCACTGCAACCTCCGCCTCCTGGGTTAAAGTGATTCTTCTGCCTCAGCCTCCCGAGTAGCTGGGATTACAGGCATATGCCACCACGCCGGGCTAATTTTTGTATTTTTAGTAGAGATGAGGTTTCGCCATGTTGGCCGGCTGGTCTCGAACTCCTGACCTCAGGTGATCTGCCCGCCTCAGCCTCCCAAAGTATTCGGATTACAGGTGTGAGCCACCGCGCCCAGCCCAGTTTTCCATTTTGAAGAGGCAAGAAGGACTTTATTTTATTTTATGTATTTGTCTCTTTGTCCAGGAAGGCCATGGAGAATTAGGCGTTTGGTTTTGTTTTGTTTCTATTTTGGTTTATAACTCCTTTATCAGTTTAGTATTCCCTTCTGATAAGCAAGAAAGAGCGGAGTTGACAAAGAATGGCTGCAGATGAGAAGCAGGTGTGTGAGGTTCCTTCTGATGATGGATTCTAAGTATTTTTATCCCAAAGGCAAGACTAATTTAGTTCAGCAAAATACCTTAATTTAGGATTTTGTGTGATAAAAGCCTGTCCTGTTTTCATTAAATGACGATTTTTGAGAATTAACTACTTGCTGTGTGATTTTCATAAATAATTTCATTTGGGCATACTTAACACTGTTGCTATCTGCTGAAGGCATTTGATACTCGCACACCTAATGCCATCAAAGGAGAGATGAGTATACACTTTAATTTGTTCTTATTGAGTGTACATTTTAATTGTTCTTATGAATGTCAGATTTTGGGAAGATCCAAAGAAGTACTCTGTAGACAGAATACGCTGTCCTGGCCCCCTAAGCTTAGAATCCTACCAATTTTCCCATTTCATGAGATTGACCTTTCAGATGAGGAGGGACTGCATACAAATTGCTTTATTTCAAGTAATATCTACCATGTTATTTTTGAAAGAATTCTTTTGTCCTTTTTACCCTAGATCTATTGGAAAAGATGAGAAAAATTACAGTGGTGATAAGAGTGTCTTAACACCTAGATATGATGGGTGTGTCGGGTGAAAGGATAGCAATGGGAGGCTGGTGGAAAGTGAGAGTTGGGGGATGGGGTGATGAGAAGGAAAATAGGTGACTAGTGACTCCTGGATTCTTGAATGGGAGAGAGTGAAGAGACAATCAGGCAGGGAGATTTTCTGTCTTTGCATAAATGTCACTGAAAGAGTTTTAGAGATCGGAGGGGTGAGGTGAAGTTGGTTAGGCAATTAGTGATAACTCAAGGACCAGTTGAAAGACTGGAGGACCCTCCACTGCTGACTGTGGGATCAGATCCTTTTATCCTGGGGATGAGAAAGGCTGATGGGAAAACTGCTAGGCAGCTGCTGACATTATACCACCAGGAAACATGAAGTTGTGAGTAGTTGTCACTTGGACATGGCTGAAGTCACCTTAGGGTACAGTGATGTTGCTGCATCACAACGTTTAGGTCATCAATGGGCCATACACATGACTGTGGCCCCATAAGATGATAATATCATACTTTTACCTTTTGCTATGTTTAGATACACAGATACTTGCCATTGTGCTACAGTGGCCTACGGTCCTCAGTACAGTAACCTGCAGTACATGTTTGCAGCCTGGAAGCCATAGGCCATACCATAAACCTGGGTGTGTAGGAGGTTATACCATGTAGGTTTGTGTAAGTACACTCTGTGATGTTCACACAATGACAAAATTGCTTAATGGTGCATTTCTCAGAATGTATAAGTGTGCTGATGTTGATGCATTGTTTGGGGATGGGGAAACTGATACTCACTATGTGAGGCCCCAAACTCAATCTAAAATTGCCTTTGGAGGCAACCACGGAAATACGGTAATAGCTCTCTTAGGCCTTCTCCCCCCGTACTGATCTTCCTTGGTACTGTTTTATTTTATTTTTAAACTCTTGAAATAATACATAATAGATGTATGTATTTTCAGGGCACATGTAATAATTTAATGCATTCATATTTGTAATTTGTAATGATAAATCAATGTAATTGTGCTATTGAGATTGTGGGAGGTAAATATGGAATCAGGGAAATAGAATGGGCTGATAATGTGTTTTCCTAAAGAACAGATGGGATTGGCCGTGCGCGGTGGCTCACGCCTGTAATCCCAGCACTTTGGGAGGCCGAGGCGGGCGGATTTCCTGAGGTCAGGAGTTCAAGATCAGCCTGGCCAACATGGTGAAACCCCGTCTCTACTAAAAATACAAAAATTAGCTGGGCATGGTGGCGGGCACCTGTAGTCCCAGCTACTCGGGAGGCTGAGGCAGGAGAATCGCTTGAACCCAGGCGGCGGAGGTTGCAGTGAGCCGAGATCGCACCAGCTTGGGTGACAAGCGTGAGACTTCATCTCAAAAAAAAAACAAAAAACAAAAAACAACCAGATGGGACAAGTTAAAACTGAACTATGAATTCCATAAGTGGGTAGTGTGGGTCACTGAGTGGGGCACTGAGTACTCCACAGTGACTGTAGTCAGGATTCTACATTGAAATAAACTTTCTGGAATTTACCTTGGTGCTATATACTTAAAGTCTTAAAAATGTTAAGCTCTCTGTTCCAGAAATTCTGCTTCTTGGAACCTACTTACGTGAAGTAACCAGAGATGGGAACAAAGATGTATGTACACGGATGTTTATTGAATTAGCTTTTGTTATGTAAAAACTTGGAAACAAGCTAAATATCCAACAATAGAGACACATTTGAACGAATTACGGCACATCCAGACAGACTATAGGTAGCTTATAAAGCTCGTGTTTTCGAGCAGCGTTTAGTGATGGGAAAATATTTATGATCTATGCTGATTGGGTGGGGAAAAAAGGATATGAAATTGTGCTTCTAGTTTTATTTTTAAAACATATGTGTATATTGGGGTATTTTTAAAAACCTGGAAGAAAACATATCTTTTTGATGGTGAAATTGTGGGTGTTTGGCTTTTTTTTTCCTTCTTGAAACATTTTTGTATTTTCCAAATTTAAAACAGCAAGCACAATTACCAATTACCCTTTTAACCAGAAAAATATTCTCAAGAGAGTGCTAATATGTCATCTCTGCCCTCACCTCTGGTCCACGTAAGGTTAGGAAAAACACACTGGGTGCTGCCGAGGAGGAGGCTGTGCATGGACGGGGCCATTCTCGAGCCTTTCTGCCTCCATGTGTGGAGCAGGCTCTAGAGCCAGGGCTTTCCTGGCCAGGCTCTTGGAAGCCTTTGTCCTCAGACAGCTGTGGCTACTTGGAGACACTTAGATTGGTGGCTTTTTGGTGAGGTTGGGACATAATGTTTTGTCAGTAACTGTGAAGGGCTTGAGATATGATTTCACTTCACAGTTAACATTCTTTATACATATGAATACTGCAGAAACACAAAACCCCTGGGTAGGAGAAAAGAGTTCCTTGTTGATATTTACAACTGGGGCAACAGCCTGAGTGACACTATTGTGTCAGGCCCCTAAACCTTGACCCTTAGGTGACACTGAAAACTAATGGAATGTACATGTGGGCTACACTTTGTTGACAGGGACAGAGCAGCTGTCCCTCTCCCGTCCCAAAAGGAGAGAGAGAGAAAAAAAAAAGAAGAAGAAAAAGGAAAACCAAACAGACAAACACCTTAGCTCCCCTGACATGGGATGAAAAGGTTCCAGGGGTCTTATCCTAACCTTTCAGAATGTGAGACACTTGTAACCTGGGGATGTCTCCAAGGTCTGTTTTTCATGCTTTTTGAAATACACATGCCTAGGGAGATACGTCTTCCCAGCACCTTGGGAACCAAGGTGAAATTATTTGGTCCTCTTGAGGAGATTAGAGGTTTTATTATCCTTTTGGAAAAGAGCATTTAATGTACACAAATGGCTACAGATCTAATTCTCATGGTAAGTGAAGTATAAAATGTTTGTAGGGGAAGTGAGAGTGAACATTCCCTGTCTTCATGTCCTGTATAGTCCCTATCTTCATGTCCTGTACATTCCCTATCTTCATATGCTATACAGTCGCTATTTTCATATCCTATATGGCTCCTATATTCATATCCCATACATTCCCTATCCTATACATTCCCTACCTTCATGTCATATATGGTCCTATCTTCAGACCTTTTATGGTCCCCATCTTCATACCCTATACATTCCTTATCTTCATGTCCTGAACAGTCTCCATCTTCATATCCTATACATTCCCTATCTTCATTTCTTAACAGTCCCCATCTTCATATCCTATATAGTCCCCATCTTCATGTCCTGTACATTCCCTATCTTCATATCTTCCTATCCTATACATTCCCTATCATCATGTCCTAAATGGTCGCTGTCTTCATATGCTGTACATTGTCTATCTTCATGTCCAATACATTCCCTATCTTCATGTCCTATACGGTCCCTATCTTCATGTCATAAACGGTCCCTATCTTCGCATCATATGCATTCCCTATCTTCGTGTCCTATACATTTTTTCCCTTTATATTCTATTCATTTCTGTGTGTTAGGAGGTGAAGGCATTTTATAGGAGTCTGGAAAGAAGCCTGAGAAGTTGTATTTTCCCCTCACACCTGCCTTTACCAGACCCCTGTTGGAGAATGACAGTAGAGCTTAATCAGAGTGTGACCTCTGACTTTTCAAACTGAAGACCTCAAATCTCCAATTTTTATCTGAAAAAATATTAGAATAGTTTCACTCTCTTTATGAACATGGAGACGTTTTTGGATTGCTACGGAAGTAGGATTGGGCATGACCATTATGAGTTCAGAGGCTGAATGCCGTACCACAGCCCATCAAAAAAAAAATATATATATATGCACGATATTGTCCAATACAAATATAATGTGAGCCACATGTATAGTTTTAATTTTCTAGTAGCCACTTAGAAAAGTAAAAAGAAGTAGGTAAAATTAATTGTAATAATATATCTCATTTAACTAATTTTATCTAAAATATTTCAGTATGTCGTTAATGTAAAAATACTAATGAGATATTTTGTATCCATTTTTCATACTGAGTATTTAAAATCCAATGTGTCCTTTGCACCTATAGCACGTCTTAATTCAGCCCAGCCACATTCCAAGGGCATGGTAGACCCATGTGGCTGGTGGCTACCATCTTGGTTGGTGCAGCATAAGGAAATCAATCAAGGTGTGAAGACAATACAGGGGAAAGTTGTAGTACAGTCCTGAAAGGACTGAAGGAAAGTAGAGTTGGAGTGGTTATTTTGGTCATAACTGTATGAATCTCCCTGTGGCTCTCCCCACAAACCATACCTGATCTCTTCAGCCTAAAACAATGAAATGCTCTGAATTTCTATAGAAGCAGCATACTCTACATCCCATTCCTAGGGTAGTTAGCTATCTGCATCTTGATGAGATGAATGTTTCATTCTAGACTCTTGAACTGTTATGAAAATCTTAGATTATTTGAATTTTTCCATTTGTATCACCTATGTGGTAAGTTATTTGAGAGCCAGGATCCAGTCCGATTTATTTGCATTCCTCACCGGTGTTTGACACCTTTAAGACCTAGATAAATATTAGTTTATTTGATTTTCAGCTGTAAAGCAAAGGTTAGCTTGAAAGGCTGAATTCCAGCTCAGGAAGGGTGGCACAGATCTAGTTTGTACTAGAAACCTAATGGTATATGAATTGAACACATAAACATTAGGATTTGTCACTTTGCATTAGGATTTGTTACTTTGTATTAGGGGTTCCACACCCAGAAGGTGAAAAATTGTTCGGTTTTTCTCCTTTGTATCCAGACCTTTAAAAAATATTATCAGTTTCTTCTTTTGATGTTTAAGTTCCAATGATGATCCTAATACTTTCTTGTAGGGATAAATAAGCTATATTTGGTGATGACCTGAAGATAAACATTTGGAAGCTGCTACTTTTTCCATGGGTTCTTTGTTAACAATAACTTTGTTATTAACAAACACAGCCCACAACATCTAGGCGATGAAATTCTTTTGAAATCAAGTATAGTATTTTACAGTTGCCTTCATTTGTTCTCTTTGACTGTAATTGTTGGGTTGAAGCAACAGACTTATCCAGAGAGCCAAGGCAATTTATTTTTACTGAAGACTACCTAAGAACTGCTTAGGTAGCTTTTCTCTGCAAGATTAAATGCGACCTTCATGGAATCATGTTAGCAGGGCCAGCAGCTAGAAAAATAAAGACTAAACCAAACCTTCAGCAGCGAAATTCCCAGCTGCTCAGTGGCTCAGAGCTTTCCTGATTGCTTTCTTCCAATGAAAACACTGTAGATTAGTTTTAAGTGAATTCTAGTAGGTTTGGGGATTTGCAACTGACAGAAGAACAGCAAAGTGTAATCTCACTTTAAAATAATAGTCCTGAAGGTAAATCTCTATTGGCTCTTTCTTAGGATGCTGGGATTTTTGTTCATATGGGAAAACTTAACTCATACACACTGTTTAGCTGACCTTTGAAGGTAAGGCCCTAGAAGGCAGACGGAGGCTGGACACCTGGGGATGTGGGGCAGGACTGCTGCTCCTCTTTCTTCTCTCCATTGTAGGCGGGTGGAAACTTGGGAAGCCTGCGAGGAAGGTCCCTGTAGGGAATGTAGCTGACCCATTTTTTCCACTTTTGGGTGTGGTCATCCTGACTATTGGTGAAGTCAGGGTGAATTGAAAATGTTACAGGAGAGGATTTACTTAACTTACAGGTGCTTTTAATGCATTGCGATTTTTGTTTTTCTTGAAAGTCCTCGCAGTTTGGGAGATGGGGGTTGGGGGTTGGGGGGCGGTGGGGGGGCGGGTAGAGGAGAGTGCTCAGCTGAAACCGTTGACTATTTTGATCATTCATCCATTCAGTCATTTATTTAGCAGGTGTTTATTCAGTGCTAACGATATGTAGAGGGAGGTATAAAACGAAAGAAAATTATCTTCGATTTGAGGTAGCCAGGTAGGTAGATGGTCTGCATTCCTTACAGTTAGGAGCCTAATTCTTCCAGATAGAGAAAACACAATTAGGCAAGTAAGATGACAGTTCCAGAAACGATTTTACTTATCTGTGAATCCCTTTTATAGTTCTTCCATGGGCCCTGTGGGGTTGTTTCAGATTGTAGGGGAAGCCGCAGTGCTAATGTGACAGATTTTTTTGCCAAGTGTATACATTTTATTTTTTTTAAAACAGACTCTTAATAGATTGTAAAATAGGCATAGAACAACATATTGTTTTGTTGTTCTTTCTGTTTTTCCACAATTCTCCCACATTTAGTTTGGAACATGGAACTATGGTCTGGTGTCATTAAGGAAAACTGATGGGGTTAAATCCTGATAATTATCTCCCCTCTCTACTTACCCTTCCCTTGTGGGGAGACACTGTAACCAGCAGAGCTGCAGAATCAGTACTCCTGCCCCCCGCGGTAAAGTGAAGGAAGCTGATGAAAGATATCCAGGAACTCTTGGCACTATTTTTGAAATTTTTATGTGGATTGGAAATAATTTCAAAATAAAAAGGTTTTTTTAAGGCTTCCCATTAGTGCTCTAGAGTTACTGTTGCTTATTTAAAATAACAGCCTAATAGAGTGTATTTGTAAGTTCCTTTGTTTGCTTCCCCACGTCGATCTAAAAGGGATTTTATGTAGCTCTTTTTCTACGTAGGTCCTACTTTAGATATCATTTAGTACCCTCTCCTCACAGGGCTTGAGAAGACATTGCCTTGAAGGGGAAACTGGTCCTTACTTCATTTTGAAAATGCTTCCTTTTCTCTCTTCGCGTGTGTGTGTGTGCGTGTGCATGTGTGTGTGTGCGTGCATGTGTGTGTGTGTGCGCGTGCATGTGTGTGTGTGTGTGCGTGCATGCGTGTGTGTGTGTTTGGCTATAGTGAATACTTTAAGTTGCCTGAAATTAAGGAATAATTATCATCCATAAAAGCACTGAAGGAAACAGTGGCAGCAAGTAGGGAATTCATAAATGCATGTTGAAGCATTCTTTTTAAAACTGTGGTAAAATTTACAAAACAAAATTTACCATTACAATCATCTTAAAGTGTATAATTTGGTGACGTTAATTACATTCACAAGGTTGCCTAAGCATCACCACCATCCATCTCCAGAACTTTTTCAGTATCTGGATCAGAATCTCTATACCCATTAAACAATAACTGCTTCCCGCAGCCCCTGGCAGCCAGCATTCTACTTTCTGTCTGTGAATCTGACCACTCGAGATGTCTCATGTAAGTGGAATCATACAGTCTTTGTCTTTTTGTGTCTGGCTTATTTTGCTTAGCAGAATGTTTTCCAGGTCCACCCATGTTGTAGCATGCATCAGAGCTTCATTCCTCTGTAAGACTGAGTAATATTCCTAGATTGTGTTCGTCCATTCATCTGTTGGTAGATACTGGGATTCTTATTAATTTGGCTATTGTGAATAAGGCTGCTGTGATCATTGGTATAAAAGTATCTGTTTGAGTCCCTGCTTTCAGTTATTTCAATTCTGTAGAATGGCTGGGTCATACGGTAATCCTATGTTTAACATTTGAAGAACCACCAAATTGTTTTCCATAGCTGTACCATTTTGCATCCCCATCAGCAATGCACACCGGTTCCAGCTTCTCCACACCTTTTACCAACATTTGTTATTATTATCTTTTTGTTTTGATAGGGCCACCCTAATAGGTATGAAGTGGTAGCTCACGATGGTTTTGATTTGCATTTCCCTGGTAATTAATGATGCTGAGCATCACTTCATGTGCTCCTAGCCATTTGTATATCTTCTTAGGAGGAATGTCTATTCAAGGGCTTTCTTCATTTTTGATTTTGTTGTTGTTGAGCTGTAGGTTTGAGTCATTCATTTTGTGGTTTTGAAAATGACACACTAGTAAGTCTGAAAAACTAAGCTTCTCCCCATTACAGTATATGTAGCATGTGGCAAAAAGTTCTGTTTTAGAATTTTGAGATGCTGTGAAGCTGATGAAGCACACTTTGAGGAATTAACTTAGGCTGGAGTGAAGTAAATCAGAGCGCATGGGTAAGTGAGAATCAGATAGAATCTCGCACCATGCTGGAATTGGGAGTTTCTGTAGCAACGATTGCCTGCCCCTTCCCTTCATTTTTTCAGCTGGAGAAATCAAGTAACCTGCTCAGTGTATTGTAGCCAGGTTAAGTACTTAGTATGTTTTGTTGAACTGTGCAGTAAATAATTATTTTTTTTCTGTTGTATTTTGAATCCAGAAATGTCTTGTGAGAGGAGAAATAGCAGTGCTTGAATATGGTAGTGGATTTATCCTCGCGGCTGCCCTTGTGGTAGCCTCTCTGCTTGGGACTCGGATATGGTAGTGAATTTATCATTGCGGCTGCTCTGTCTGCTTGGGACTCATGAAAAAAGCCTTAGAGTTCTTCACTTCTGTGGTATTTCAGGATAAAGATTAGTAAAAACAGCCTCAGAGTAACATTTGGGGACTTAAGAATTTAAATATAATCCATTCAATCATGGTTCAATAGTATTACTGAGTGGATGAAAAAAAAATATTGCCGTAATAACAGATCTGTTAAGTAAAATGGATAAAAGCATTTGTGTATTTATTGTGAATTGTTGACAGCAGGAGAAGCCATTCATTTGTTCTTACAAGAGCCATAGTAGATAAAGAAATTCAGTGAAATATCACAACTGTATGGAAGCAAATTCATTGTTGGTTTAGTTTTATGTCCTGCGGAAATTTTTCGTTTTGCTGAATCCTTTTGAAGAGTTGAACTTTATTGAAAACTATAGCCTGGCAAGGTCATGTGTGGATTATAACTGAGTTGTAAATAATTGGAAGAAGATGCATAATATATGTGAGAAACAGAGAAATAATATATGTGTTGTGAAGCAGAGTGGTAAGAGGAGTTGCAAAAATTTTTATTCTCTTCAGGCTTGGGGCAACGATTTTAAAAATCCTTAAAATTAGTTTTAAGTACTGTGAAAACAAACATGATAATGATGAAATTAAATTGAAGACTCTCTTCTACAAACAAATATCTTAAATAAAACCCTCAGAGGAAGTCATTCCTTCAGCAGACAATTTTGAACAGCTGTGTGTGAAGCCCTATGCTGCGAAGATGTAAGGTTGAAAATTTCAGATCCATGCTCTCAAAGAGCTTATCATTTGGTTAGAGAGACAAGCAGGTAAATAACCATTCCTGGTCATGAAAAGAACGAAAGATGGGCTTCATGGAAGCACAGCAAGCCAAAGGCTAAGGGAGAGAAGAGGAAGAAGCAGTATCTTCTTTTTATTCTTTTTAATTTACTGGAGCTACCCATCATGAACTAAGAATTACGTCTTTGACCAGAGAAACTGGGGCGTGCCTCACCACTGACTTCTGACTGGCCGGAAGGAGGGAGGCAATGTCATCTGGTGGCCAGTGGGTGAGCAGGGCATTTTTGGTTGAAAGAACAGCAAGAGCAAAGACATGAAGGGTTGACAGTTTCTTCCGTTCCTGGTGCATGGACCACTCTCCAGGGTGGCTGGAACAAACAGATGAAGGAGGGAGTGTCAGAGCCAGTTCCTGGTGGCCACAAATATCTCACTCAGTGCATGTGTTCCTGTTTCCCAGTAAGGAAGGGTTTTGTTCCGAGGATACAGCCAGCTTTTTTCTTTTTTTTTTGGAAGGTTTTTGAGGATTTGGAACATTTTCCCCTGTGCATTTCAGAAAATGATAGCTAATGACTGTTAGCAGCAGGGCGTGTCGCAGCTGTGCACCTGCAGCGTTGGAGAGGAGCTCTGAGGCGTGTGCATTTGTAGTCTGCGGTCCATTGCGGGAAGGACTGGGTTGTGCCTTTGATAATAGCCAGGCCTGTCTTTGAGGTGCTTTTATATAAGTTTCTAAGAGGAAATGATGAATAGGTACAAAAATATTTTTTGTACTCTCTTTTGTTTGTTTTGAATTGGTTTGTAAAGAGAGTGATTATAGTAAGTTTATAATCCTCAAGTGAGGAGGAATTAAAGACAGTTGGCTCAAATTCAGGTAAGAAACCCAAGTTAGAGAATCAAGGATAATGGCAAGACCCCCAGAAACAATGCCTTCATAGGGCAGAAGTTAGGACAGGGCTTCCTATCCGCCCAGAGTGTCCCCAGGTCTTCCGAGTGACGTCACGCCGGGCCACAGAAGGGCTGGGCGAACACCTCAGGTGCAAACCTTAGCCAGTGGGACTCAGGAACTGGAGGGAGCCCCAGAGCTGCCCGTGCCATATTGAGGCTTCTTCCCTGCATTGGGACCACATGGATGATCCAGGAAAATTCCCCTCTGTCAAGGTCAACAGACAACCTTTAAATCACCTGCCTCCTTAATTCCCATTTGTCACATAACACAGTCTATTCACAGGTCGCAGAGGCTAGCGTGTGGGATACTTGGGAGGCATTATTCCACCTGTATCATGTGTTAACCAAACCACCTCACACTCTTCATCCGACGCAGCTACAGAGTGTTTGGGGAGATGTGGCCATCAGGTGCCGAGGCCCTCACAGCTGGGGTGACCGGCTGCCTTGATGGCATTGACTGGATGTTTGCCGGACTCTTCACTTCCCTGGGGCGATAAATTGGAAGATGTTATTCAAAGGCCTAGATATTCCTGTGGTTTATTTCAGTATTTCACCGTCTCCACTGTATTATCACTAACTGCCGTGTTTGAACCGGTTGTATGTTGTGGAGGGCCGAGCCACAGGACTCGCGTAGACTCGGTACCCTCAGTACGTGTTGGCTGAATTCAGTTGCAGTGACTGACTTGGTCCTCCAATTGTTATTTGCTGTCCAGACACAGAGGCGCCTGCAGGACATTGGTGCCCCTGGGCTCAGGCACCCGGTTTCCCGGTAGGGAGGGCGGACCGGGCCGCAGGAAAGCGCGTCAGCCGGGTGTGTGCCCTGGCTGGACCGAGGGGTTTCCTCCGCTCAGTCGGCAGGGACCCTCGCTGAGGTGCGAGGACACATGGCTGACTCTGAACTCGCAGCTTCAGGGAAACCTTCCAGCAGTTTCTCCACCGCGGCTCTCACGTTCCCCGTGGCGCAGCTTCTTCGTATCACCAATGGCTCGGACACGCGGGCGCCACCCCTCTCTTGCCCTTGTCGTTGTTCTTCCTTTTGTTGGGAATGTTCTTTCTTCCCTTCCACCTGAGGATCCCTTGGCTTCCAGGCCCAGTTCAGATGCCCCCTCTTCTAGGAAGCCTTCCAGAGTCCTCTCTTCTGGGTTTTTACATAAAATATTAAAACTTCCCCATAGGCCTTTGAAAAAAATTCATCTATTTGAAGTGCAGAGTCACATTTTTGTGAGGCGAATGAACTAATGGGGGTGAGTCTGATGCAGAGAGGGAACTCGAACCCAGTGTGTCAGACGCCCGTGATCAGTGTGATCAGTGATGGTGGGTGTGCGGCCGCAGGGCAGGCACCCACTCCGGTGTGCTCTTCCTGGCAGGCTTCGAGTCTCACCTCCGGGACACCACGTCTTGCTTGAAAGCTTGCTTTAACACTGACGTGCCCACCTTCGTCTTTGCAGGGTAAGTCCTTTGAGGCCAGAGATCATGTCTTCATCATCTTTGTATACTCCACAGAGCTTTAGATAATGCTTGGCACACAGCGATTTTCATGCGGTTGGCTCGGGGTAAGGTTTTTGGAATGAAAAGTTGAACCAACGTAATTCAAAAGTGTATTAACATCCTTAGCCGGATTCACCCGGAAAATGGCATGTAAATAGTAAAATTTTTTTTTAGGTTGCATGCTTTTTGTAGTCATTTTATTTCCTTTGCTTATCATTTGTTCATAAGTTTATCCATCACAACGTATAGTTAATATCATCCGCCTTATCCTCCTCAGCCCTTGCCCTCAGTGAGTTTTCCAGGAGGGATTCATCCACTTTCTTATCAATGAGTGATTACTACATGTCATTATGTGCAAGCTACTGTGCTCGGTATTTTGGGATGAGTGAGATGGGACTCCTCCTCACAGGACTTTATACAGAGATAAGCCCGTTGCCAAGTACCTGAAGCTGTAAGCTTTGGTTGCATCAGAAGGTGGAAGGAGGCTGAGTGCGGTGGCTCATGCCTGTAATCCCAGCGCTTTGGGAGGCTGAGATGGGAGGATCACTTGAGGCCAGGAGGTTGAGACCAGCCTGGGCAACATGGGGAGACGCCTTTCTCTACAAAAAAAAAAAAAAAAAAAAAAAGAAGAAGAAGGAAGGGAGGGGGAGGGGAGGGAGAGGGAGGGAAGGGGGAGGGGAGGGGAGGAAGAAGAAAGGAATCAGTGGGATAAGAGGTTAGAAGAAGAAGGTGGAGGGAATCAGTGGGAACAAGAGGTTAGAAAGGTGGGATGGGGATGAATTATGGTGGCCAGGAGTCCAGATTTTATTCAATGGGCGTTGTGGAACCATGGAAGGATTTTCTGCAAGGTCAGGAGCCATTTGGGGAGATTAATCTGGCCAAGAATGTGCAGGGTGGAGAATATGCTTCTATTACAGAAGGTGGACCCTGGACATCGTCTTGCTCCTTGTGGAACACTGACTTAGTCACTGCAGTTAGGTGGAGCACGGGCCCTACTGTTTGGAATTTCTTTGGGGAAGTCTTAGGGGAGACCAAGGAAATCTCACCTCATACTTTTCCTCCTAACATAAACTAGCCTTTATCTGTTTCTTCTCACGGTAGCTCTGCTAAGTTGCTATTAAGATCTCTGTTTAGTGATGAGGAAACTATGGCTTGGCGAAGTTGAAGGTTGTGAGTGGTGAGGTTCCAGTTCAGGTGTGCTTGACGCCAAATCTGAGCTCCCACTACCATATTATGCTTTAACAAGGAGAGGGAAAGAAAAGAAATCATTGTGGTCCTGGGAGGGGTTGGCAGAGAGGGGAAATAGTGACCATCCAATGGATGCCAGATCCGACCCTCCCACCTCTGGCTACCATTCGGAAACTGGTGAGAGGCAGTAGGTATCTTCCAAAAATATTTGAAGACAGTTCTGCAGCTTGCAGAGGAGACATGGATTCTTGCTTCGGAGGTATTCCTGTACTTAGAGTGGTAGCAATTTTGGCTCTTTTTCCAGTTGGAATTCATTGGTAATTGGGATGGTTTATCCCAGGAATAGAATCAAACTAGCGGAAACTGTAGTGCGTAAGTTTATAGTTTGTGTGCTGGAGCTTGACCAGATTTGAACATAAAGAGTTAAATTGGATGTCTCCATAATAATTAATAATAATAACACCAAGAATAGCTGGTAACCTTTATGGAGAGCTCCCTGGCAGAGGGGACAGCTTAAAGGAAATCCTCAAAGGAAAAGTGGCAGCAAGAAGCAGATCCTGAGGGCCAGCCTGTGGATGTGGAGTGTGGGAGGAAATCATTTACTCTCATCCAGGGGAAAAGATAGTGCCCTTCAAATCAACCTTTCAGAACAGGTTATTTTCAGGCAACTGGTTTTTGGGAAGGCGTTGGTTTTCAAGGTAGTCTGCTAGTGATGTGATTGAAGTCAGAAAGCAGCAATTTTGTTGCTCTATGCAAATAGGTTTTCTTAGGTTCCAGTTCCAGTATGCTGGCTCTTTGAGTTTCTGTTATTTGACTTTTCACAAATACTGACCACATTGACATCTCCTCTCTCTTGTCCCCTTGTCTTTTCTGTGTTCCTGAAGGGGCAAAACACACCTTTTGAGGTCTGTGGAGCTCAAAAATGAAGTCAAAGGTGACTGGGTGACACAAACAGCTCAGGTAATTCAGGTCCTGCCGTTTCTGCCACGCTCCTCCTCCTCAAGCCAGCATGGCTCAGTTATCCACTCTGATGTCTACCCTTTTCCCACGTGCCTCCTCTTATTGAACTTGTTCTCTATACTGTTACGTCTCCAGTGTCTGCATCAGAGGACTGAGAGGTCTTTTCCGGCTTGCATACTGCAGGCTGACACAGTCTTAAAGGAACTTCCTACTGCACTCTGAGGAGGAGGAGCTGTGCCTTCTCGAGGTCATGTTACTTCTCCTGTACTGCAAAGGCAGTGCTCAGAGGACGTGCTGATTAAGGGAAATATAGGATCACTTCTTTTCCCGTTTTCCATATGGAAAGAAGCTTTGAAAATGCAGTATGTGCTCGAGTCCATATGCTTTGAAATCTGTGCATGATTCTTGCTTTGCTGAATTGCAGAGGCTGATGCCATCTAGATGCTGCGACCCAGGGCCAAACACACCTAAGGGTCCCAGCATGAGTTTCAATTTATAAAATACTTTTAAAAGTCAGTCTACCCTTTTAGGTCTTAATGGCCTTGCATAAATTTTTCTAGAAAATGCTCTTTAAAAAAATGATGGAGTAAAAAATACTCTTAGATTTTCATAATTTAAATGTATCTGGAAGGTAATTTATCTGCAATTCACAGTTTTCTCATGTTGTCTGTTTTTTACAGAAAAGAATATTACATGTGTATCTGCATCAGATTTCAAGATCATTGTAGTTTTTTCTTTTTTTAATTTTAAGACAGCATGTTTCACACATGATTAGATTACTTGGGAAGCATTCCTAGAAGTGACATGGCTGGGTCCAAGGGTGTAGTTTTAAAATTTTTAATACCTTGGCCAAGCTGCTGTTTGGAAATTTTGTACCTATTTTATACTCCCATAGTGCATGTAAGATGCAAAACACTATTCTAGATATTTTACATGTTTATTTGCTTTTTTCTTCTCTCTCTATTTCTTCTTTCTTTCTTTCCCTTTTTTTTTTTTTTTTTTTTTTTTTGAGACAGGGTCCTGCTCTGTTGCTCATGCTGGGGTGTAGTGGCATGATCATAGCTCACTGCAGCCTCTACCTCCTGGGCTCAAATGAACCTCCTGCTTCGGCCTCCCAAAGTGCTGGGATTACAGGTGTGAGCCACCGCATTGCCTTATTTTACATGCTTCTTCATTTAATCCTCACAAAGCCTGATGAGAACAGAGAAGGTCAGTAACCTGCCCAAAGTCACAGCTAAATGATAGAGCTGGGGGCGAAAGCAGGCAGTGCCGCAGAGCTCCACGGTCCATGTTGTTGCTGCGCCCGGTCTGCACTTCCATGGCAGCCGGCATGAGAACATGAGCAAAGAGAGGCTGTGATGAGACTCCTTCCTTCTGGGAGCCTCTGGATATGGCTATGGCCTCGTCTTTCACTCTGCTTCTTGATTCATCAGGTAGGACAGGTGCAGAATGCTTTTCCTGGGCCGAAGCCTATGGTCTTCGCATTCTTTGTGCAGCGGTATAATTTGGAAAGAAGCAATGGTCACTTTGGAGAGCCAGCCCCTTTGCTCAGCTCTCCTGTGCCCCTGTGCTGCTGTCGTTGCCCCTGTCACCTCTGCCAGCATCATTTCCCATGACTGCAGTGCTGGGGGGACTTGGGCCTGGCCTGGGTCCCTACATCACCTGAGGAGGGTCTCCAAATAGAGGTGTGAAGGTTTTACAGAGATTGTGTAGGGATTTCAGGCTTTAAACCCTTGCTTGTCTTTGCTGCTGCATTTGGTGTGAGAGATTGCAAAAAATGTGTATGTTTTTATTGGTGCAACCCTAGGGTCATACAGGGTCAAAAGGCTTCCTCTTTTAGGAAGAGTCCCAGACAGCTGCTAACTTATCTTCTTGTTCCATCCCTGTTTATGGGGGATTTGTATTTTTAATTGCCTTTCACTCTGAACAAAGACTGAGCAAGCAGAAAGTGTTGGGAAGGGCCCCAGGGAACATTCTGGCTTGTGTTTTCTTTCTGATCTGTGGGCCTGGGGGACTTCAATGTTCACTTTCCTGACAGGAGGAGACAACCATAGGAACTAGTGTGGTGTCCAGTGCCAGCTGGGGAAGGAAACCAGTTTCCTAGCATTTATGTTTCAGGATCAATGGCACATGTAGAAAAATACTATATCCCAGGGGTTCTATATTACCAAGAATACCCCTGAAGATGAAGCCCATTTTTGGATCCTCAGTTCTCATGATAATGGAGTTTGATGACCTAGAGTCAGCTTTGGCATGGGCTAAGCCAGAGCACCCTTTTAAAATGAGGATAGTAATGAGAACGACCCCATGGGGTTACTGTGAGGGTTAAATGAGATAATGTATAGAGTTTAATGCTGAGTGCATCATGGGTGCCCAGTGAATAGTCATTGCTCTCACAATCCCCACCACCACTATTATCTCCCTAGACATCAGGAGAACAATTTTGTGAAGCAACTTTGGACTTTTGCATGTATATATTTATAAACAATTCAGTGCCTGCAAATGTAGAAGCTGATTTAAGTACCTTGGCCCTTATGGTAGGAAGGTCTCTGGGGCCCCTTCACCTTGACCCTCTTTACCTTTAGAGTTTCTTCTTTCTTCACACTTTCATGAGGAAGTATGTGCCTCTTTGAACTGAATTTCTACCCAAGTACCATGGAATCTAAACAGTTCAGTGCTTTTCAACTTCTCACGTTGCATAATATTTGCCATTTGATTCAAAATTACGTGATAAAAGAAATGGAGGAGGTAAACTTGCCAGACAATTCCTGTGTCTGTTTTTGCATTTGTGCTTCTGGGTATTTAGTCTTTTCGGTTTGCACCAGGGCTTCCGTGGAGGAGGAGGGCATGTGAAATGGAGCAGTTGCTTACGTACTGGTCTCAGTGGACGGTGTGGATGTCATTCATAGGGCATGCACAGCAACAAACAAACAAACAAACAAATGCCATTTAACGTGATCCTTGGAAAGGTATTTTTATAATAACTTTAGTTTTTAAATCAAATATTTAGAATGTCATGGAGAAAGAACAATGATATTACAAATGCCATCATAAAGGAACCTTAGGGAGACTATTTTAAAGAAATTTTGAATCTAAATATTTAAAGCTTTTCTTATTTTATAAGTATTTTATGTATTTGATTGGTAAGGTAAAGCACATACGTATTGTTAGGTAAACTCGACTTAAAGGAAATAATACTTTTAAATGGCTACTTAAGATTTCAAATTTTATAAAAATATTTAGGAAAAGTATTTTTCCACTTTCTAATAAGCAGAAATAGTTTGCATTACATTTTTTCATTTCAGAACTAAACAGTGCTATTATTCACTACATTAAGCCTAGTGTGTGCCAGATTAATGTGTAATATAAATACAGTTTAAGGAAAATGATGCTGATTTTTCGTGTAGCGTGATAACAATAATATATTCCAAAGATTGAAATAACTTGAAATCTACTGCAAGCCCCAAATCCCTTATTTGCAATCCAAAATGCTCTGAAACTGAAAGTTATTATCATGACTCATTTGGCAGGATAGTCTGCCCTGAATTGACATGAAGCTATTCATAGCTTTTATTTATCCCAATCAGTGTGAATGTTCGTGTTTCACTGCAGAAATATTAACTGTGTTGGATTAAGGGGTTCTGCCCTAATTACTTTCCGGGGTGTTTTGTTCCTTGTGGTATATGGTATGTGTACCGCATTATCTTGCTAACATCCACACACTTTTGAATTCTGAAGACTTTATCTGGCCCCAAGATTTTGAATAGAAGACGGTGAGCCTGCGTCAGTATACCTAGCCCCTACAACCAGAGGCTTCTCACATCCTGGTGTTTCCAGGAACAGTCGCTCTTTATATCTGTTTCAGGTGTCAGTATTAATGAGACCCCATTCACATTCAGAAGTGCTCCATTTTGGCTTGGTCACCATACTAACCACATACCATAGTTCTTGGTAACGGCCAGCGCAGTGTTGGTGAACATCAGTACATTTCTAGTGAATTCCCATGTATAAAATAAACAAGATCTACATAAACAACATTCCAGATTGTATCTTGAAAACCTAAAGTCATTTAAAGCATTATTGGTAAGGTATCCCCGACTGCCTGTCTAGATGGCATTTCCCACGCATTGGTGCACGCTTCTTTTGATGGCAGTTCATCCTTCTCCTCACTGTGATTGCCTGTGTCCCTGTCTTCTCTTTCTAGGCTGCAAGCTCCTTCCGTCATTGCGTATCACTGTGCTGGGCGTATATAGCAAGTTCATTATTTAGTCAACTAATATTTATTGAGCGTTGGCCTCTGCCGTACTCTGGGCCCTGGGAATAGCATGGTGAACAAAACAGAATTGACTTTGGTCCTCATGGAGATTCTTGTCTACAGATTTGGGGGCCTGGCCTGGTGAAATGGAGAAGGTTTGCTGTCAAGTGACTTTGAAGCCAAATCTGAAAAATGAGTAAGAGTTAGCTTGGGAGAGGGGATGCTCTTGAGGCTGAGGGGTGACAGACGCAGAGACTTGGGACGGACCCCTCGCTGGAGGCTTGTGGGGTAAGGACAGGCTTTAGGCAGTGGAATGATGAGAGTCTGTTTGTGCTTTTGGAAGGGTGTTCTGGCTGTAGGGCAGAGCTGGGTTGGGGTTGGGGGCCGAGGAGAGCAGTCTGAATGGCTGCCTGGTCCAGGCTTTGTGGAAGGAAGGATCGGTTCTTCACCCCTGGTTTCGGTTTCTGTTCTCAGTGTGGGAGCTGTTCTTGGACAGTGCTGTGTGCTCTTCTCCGGAGTCCGAGGCCAGGGGAGTAACTGCAGTGTTCAGCCAAGTACGAGCAAGTGGAACTGACAGTTGTTCAGGCTTCCGTCTTGCACACGTCGAGGAAACGTTGTAAACAAGAAACAAAAAGCAAAGCCCTTACTCCTAGTGGGTCTTCCCTGAGCCAAGTGCTTGAAAAGCTGTGGGAGTGGGAACTGTTGTCATGATCGAAAATGAAACTATTCTGGGAATGCCAGATTTGGGGCGCTGGGAACCCTGAAGTGTCCTGCAGAGAACTGGTGGTGGAGGGGCCTCTGGAGGACAAACATCTACAATTTGCAAATCTATCAGTGACCCAGCGATGGCACTTCTGGCGGTTTTTCTTCCACCTTAACTTTGAGGTGAGGCAGAGTGACTTGGAAACCAATTCTGTGCTTTAAAATATAAAACATAAATAACTTCTATTGAATTAGCACAGAAGTTTGGCTGGAGGTAAATCTTTGGCGCCTAAATCTGAGCGCTTTTCTCTCAAATACGCACGAGAGCTCTTTGGCCGTCTTATTTCTCCTCTTCTACACAACTGAACAATTTAAATGAATTATGGACCATCACTCCTCATCTCCCCCAGGAAATGAAGCTTAGAGCCTCCTTGTTCAGCTAATTGTTGCTTGATTAAGCTGCCCCTTATGGATGGATAGATAAAGTGATTGATGCATGTGCTTATTAATACCATCCTGGTGCACGGAGGACGAATAAACCGCCAGCAGCTTCATTTAAGCACCACAAAGGGGGTTTCCTAGAGTTTGTTGTATTTGCAGAAAGGCTGTCGTCGTCTTTCCCTCTGTACTGGAAATTACTTACCTACTTGGTATTGTCTTTCTGGCCAAGTCGTTTTCTTTTGAGCTAATTTCAGACTTCCACCACAGTTTAACAATAGTACAAAGAATTATTTTTCTACATCTTTGGAGAGTAACTTGCCAATACTGATATCCCATCACTCCTGAGTACTTGAATGTGTCTTTGCTGTAACGAAGATAGTCTCCATTGAGACCCTGGCACGGCCATCAGAATCAGGAAACTAGCACCGCTGTGTGAGTCGCCTCCCACCCGCAGACCCTGTTCCTGTTGGAATGTCTCAGTCATGTCCCTTGCAGCAGGAGAATCTGATGCAGGGCTAGGTGTTGAATTTCGGTGCCCTGCCTCCTTCATTATTCCTTGACTTCCATGAACTTGACACTTTTGACAATGACAAGGCAATTTTCTTAGAGAATGTGTATCCGTTTGGGCTTGTTGACGTTTCTGGTTATGCATTTCTTACAAGAATATCACGGCGGTGAGACTTTCTTCTTCTTGCATCCTTACAGGTGATACATGCTTTTGATTTGCCCCTTAATTCGTAACGTTCATTTGATCTTTTAATTAAGGAGCCATCAGTCAGCCTTCTCCATGATAAAGTTAGTCTTTTTCCCTTTGTCATAAAAAATATTTTGTGGGAGGTATTTTTGAGGCTATGTAAGTATCCCATTTTTCACCAGCCTTTTACTCACTGGTTAGCATCCATTGGTATTTCTTGGCTGAGTACTACTTTGATAGCTACCAAATGTTGATCTTCTAAGTCCATCATTCTTCCTACATTTATTTGTTTGCATTCTACATTATGGGAAAGCTTTTTCATTCCCCTATTTATTTATTCGTAGATTCCAATTTTGTTCAATGACAGAAATACATTTCAGTCATGTATTTGGGTGCTCAGATTGTCTTAGATGTGGCCAGTGGGAGCTCCATCAGGTTGGGTTCTGTGACTTTTTTTTGACATGTTGCTATTATCTTTTGAGCCCTTCCTTATTTCCTTTCCCAGGCTTATCTTTTGCTTTCCCTGCCCCAGCTCTGGAGTCAGCCATTTCTCCAAGGAGCCCTGATTCCTTTTGGTGGAGGATGGTGTTTGGAAACCAAGATTTGTGCACTGCCTGTGCTCATTGCTGTTGGGGTCTTGCTGTTCCCAGGCCCTTTTAGTGTCAAGGTTAGAGAATATGTGTATTAGTTGCATATATACTTACACATATGCATGCTTTTTTTGTTTTTTTTGAGACGGAGTCTTGCTCTGTCGCCCAGGCTGGAGTGCAATGGCGCGATCTTGGCTCACTGCAAGCTCCACTTCCTGGGTTCAAGCAATTCTCCCTGCCTCAGCCTCCCGAGTAGCTGGGACTACAGGTGCCCGTCACCACGCCTGGCTAATTTTTTTTTTATTTTTAGTAGAGACGGGGTTTCACCGTGTTAGCCGGGGTGGTCTCGATCTCCTGACCTCGTGATCCGTCCGCCTCCTATGCATGCTTTTTTACCTCTGTATTTATTTCTGTGTTTATTGAGATATATGAAAAAGCACAAATTCAAATCAAGTCCTCCTATTCTAGTGCCACAGCCTGGGTTATTGTAGTTTTCTTTCTTTCTGTATCTGTAACTTCCTTCTCCAGTAGTCAAAAGCCTCACTTCCATTACCCTGGTATATAATATAATTTACTCAGTTGCCTGTGTGTATGTGGTCTTATGTCCCCACGGTTGCCCCACCACAATGACGATGCCCTCCTCACCTCCCTGTTCTGGCTCCCAGCCCCTGCACAGGGCTGTGGTCTCCCTCCTGTGTCTATCCTCACTGCCCACATGGGCTTTTGTATTCTGTGTGCCAGGTGGCTGCTGCCCCAGCCACCCTAACAGGTGCTCTCTTTCTGCCAATACCTACCCTGGCTGCACCTGCCCCTCTACCCCTAGTGTCTACTCTATTAGTTTCCTGTGGCTGCCATAACAAATTACCGCAAACTGGGAAGCATGAAACAACAGAAATTTATTCCCTCACAGTTTTGAAGGCCAAAAGTTGGCAATTAAGGTATGGGCAGGGTTGGTTCCTATTGGGGACCCTGAGCGGGAATCTGCACCATGCCTCTCTCCTACCTTCTGGTGGCTGCTAGCAATCCTTGGCTTTCTTTGGCTTATGGAGGAGTCACTCTAATGCCTGCCTCTGTCTTCATACAACATTCTCCTTTCTTCTATGTGTGTCTGTGTCCAAGTTTCCCTCTTCTTAAAAGGACACCAGTCATATTGGATTTAGGGCCCATTCTAATCTGGTATGACCTCGTTTAACTTGATTATATCTGCACAGACTCCATATGCAGAAAAGGTCACATTCACAGGCTCCAGGTGGACACGAATGTTGGGGGGCCACTGTTCAACCCAGTACATCTTCTTTGCTGCGTTGCATCAAATGGGCTTTTGGAGTAAATCATTCATAAAGGAAGGGTGGAGGAAGGAAGGGAAGAAGGAAACTCAGTTGTTTTGAGAAGAATGTTCTCTATTACTGTATTGTTCTTCTTCTTCTTCTTTTTTTTTTTTTTGTGATGGAGTCTCACTCTGTCGCCCAGGTTGGAGTGCAGTGGCATGATCTCAATTCACTGTAACCTCTGCCTCCAGGGTTCAAGCGATTCTCCTGACTCAGCCTCTTGAGTAGCTGAGATTACAGGCACACACCACCATGCCCAGCTAATTTATATAAATTTTAGTAGAGATGGGCTTTCACCATGTTGACCAGGCTGGTGTTGATCTCTTGAGCTCACGTAATCCGCCTGCCTTGGCCTCCCAAAGTGCTGGGATTACAGGTGTGAGCCACTGTGCCTGGCCTATTGTTCTTATTTTCTCATCTAAAATTAGGGCACCCTGCTGACATCAGGACAGTCTTGGAAAACTCAGGACTTAAGAGTGAGCACAGGATGGCACTTAGTGTGATGACACTGGGCTGTTCAGGAAACACGTTCACCTTCTGTTCTGTGCCAACCCGGGGTTGGGGCACACCCCCGCCCCCCAGAGGCCCAGTTCCAGGTCAAACAACTGTCTCTTGGTGCATGTTGTCAGCCCGGCGCATGCTCTGAGTTCTGTAAGGGTGAGTGAACGGGGAACTCTGACTGTCATTGGTGCTGTGGGGGAAGAGAGCAGCGTGTCAGCACGTGGACTCAGCTGGGGACTCATGGGGAAGCCACCATGGTACGGCAGGGCCTGGAAGTTTGCGCGTGGTCCTTGATTGCCCTGATGGTTAAAACCACCTGCTCCCCGACTTTTTTCACATTATGCTCTGTGCATTCCTGCACAAATTAAATATTCTAGACAGTAGTTCTCCCTTATCTGTGGTTTTGCTTTTAGTGGTTACAGTTACCCATGGTCAACTGAGGTCTGAAAATATTAAATGGGAAATTCCAGAAATAAACAATTCATAAGTTTTAAATTGTGCACTGTTGCAAGTAGCATGATGGAATGTAACATCCCACCTCTTCCTGCCCAGGACATAAATCATCCCTTTGTTGAGATGAGGGAATCTGCTGTAGTCCCAATACTCTATTATTTGACTCTATTACATTTTCTTTAAACATCTTCCCACTGTCTGGTATTTGGGTTAGTTTTGCTATATAAATAATGCTCTTTGAACAATGTTGACCATAAATTTGTGTCTGCAGAAACTATTATTTGTTAAATATCAACTATTGATGGATCAGGTACTAGGCTAGGCATGTTACACATCTTATTTAATCCTTACCGCAAACCATGCGGAAGTTATCCCATTTTACAGAGGAGAAAACTGAGGCATAGGGTCTTGGGTTCTGTTACCTTCTGCGTTTGGTTCCTGAAGCAGTGCCCTGGGAAGTGGCTATAGTTGCCGGATGGAGACCTGAATGGCTTCTACAGTTGTGGAGATGGTGACCAGCACCAGGGGATTTCTGAATTTTTGGGGCAATGGCTTGTTGATTTCTCATTTAAGGTCTCATTTTTATCACTATACTGTATATGAGATAAGGTTCCTCTCCTCATCTCATATACAGTATAGTGATAAAAAAGCGTCACTAGCCAAGGCTGGCTCCTGCCCACTTGTCATGGATATGGGAGCCGCCGAGGTCTTCCCTGGTCTCTGCCCTGCCCTTAGGGGGCTGTGCTGTCCTGGAGTCATGTGGCTGTCAGACCTCGGGTGTCATCCTGAGTCCTGCATTGCAGCTGCCATCCTACTCCATGATGAATAAGGGTAGGCCTATGAAGGGCCTAATCACTTATTAGGAATTTGCATGTTGCCAAATTAATAAGCTAAGGGTCAGACATGATTGATCACCATTAATACCCAAACCATTTCCTAGGGCTGTCATCTCAGCAGGAGTTGTGGTCATAGATGAGCTTACACTGGCTAGGGAAAGCTTTCTGGGATGGGTGGATTTAAAACTGTCTCCTGGATTTCTCAAAGAACTAAAAATAGAACTGCCATTCAACCCAGCAATTCCATTACTGGGTATATACTGAAAGGAAAAGAAATCATTCTAGCAAAAGATACCTGTACTTTTATGTTTATTGCAACACTATTCACAATAGCAAAGATATGGACTTAACCTAGGTCCTCATCAGCAGTGGACCGGATAAAGAAAATATGGTATATATACACTATGGAATACTATGCAGCCATAAAAACAATGAAATCATTCACAATAAGAAGCATGGAGCTGGAGGTCATTATCTTAAATGAATTAACACAGAATCAGAAAACCAAATACTACCACATGTTCTCACTTATAAGACGGAGCTAAACACTGAGTACACATGGACATGAGGATGGGAACAAGAAACAGTGAGGATTCCAGAAGGGGAGAGAGAGGAAGTAGGGCAAGGGTTGAAAAACTACCTATTGGGTACTATGTTCACTACTTGGACAGCAGGATCATTAGGAGCCCAAACCCCAGTATCATTGCAATATACCCATGTAACAAACCTGCACAGGTACCCCTGAATTTAAAACTGAAAGCAAAAACAAAAACAACCTGTAATCCCAGCACTTTGAGAAGCTGAGGTGGGTGGATCAGCTGAGGTCAGGAGTTTGAGACCAGCCTGGCCAACATGGTGAAACCCCATCTCTACTAAAAATGCAAAAATTCACCGGGCAAGGTGGCACGTGCCTGTAATCCCAGCTACACAGGAGGCTGAGGCAGGAGAATCGCTTGAACCTGGGAGGCGGAGGGTGCAGTGAGCAGAGATCGTGCCATTGCACTCCAGCCTGGGTGACAAGAGTGAGACTCTGTCTCAAACAAAACAAAACAACCCCTCCCACCCCGCTGCCCCCACCACCCCCACCCCCACCCCCACAAAGTTATCTTCTGAAGACCAAGAGAGAAGTACTTGGTATCAAGTGGTAAAAAACAAACAGGGCTGAGAGATTTAAGTAGGTTGGAGAAAGGAGTTTTGGGGCACAGGGTTTTTGTACTTCTTGGAGGTCCTGATACTAAAAATGAGGTCATTTTTAGAGTGGGAAGCAAAACGGCCCCATAACGAAGTGTTTGCTCTTCATATGCACTGAAACGGCAGGAGGTGGAAATTGACAAATATTGAGGATGCTTACTAGTTCACTGGTTTTCAGCACCTTAAATAAATGTTAATGTGAAATTAACATTAAGATAGTGGCGCGTTTGTCTTCTATGGGACTTACTTGTGCTTCTGAAATAGTTCTTCAGGTTAATCGGTTATGGGCTGGGCAGGGCACACTTTCCTCCCCTTCTGCCTTCAAAAGACCCTGGAAGCACCCAGGTGGCCCTGCTTTATGGCAGAAGCAGCAACTAAAATGAAACAACTGATTCATCTGCATCCAGGTGATGCAAAGCCAGGAAAAAGCCCCTCTGGTTCTCTCTTGTTTCCTTAAAGAGAGCATGGAGGTGAAGGGGTGGAGAGAGGGCGAGTATCTTTATTTTGGAGTATGGGAGTGTTTTCCTAGTCCGGACTACAAAAGGAAAGCTCGGGTTGGCCAGGAAACGCAGCATGTTTTGTTGATGCCCACTCGCTGGGAAAGTATTAAATGGGGCAGGAAGTGTGACTTTGGAAGGGGCTGCATAAAGGAGGCTGGGAAACTGCTTCCTGTGCACCCGGGCCAGCTCAGGAGCTGGAACGATGTTTGGCAGGCTGTGGGGATCTTGCTGCCCTGGCTGTGTCCCCTTCCACACAGGCTCCCAGTGCAGATGCCAGGTCAGACGGAGGTGTGGGGCCCTCTCTACCTCTTGATGTGAACCCCAGTTTGGCCTGCCTGTGCGAGCCTCATATCCAAATGCTAAGTCAGGGCCTAAGACTCCAGTTCAAATATGAGTTCTACCACTCAGTAGCTCTGTGACCTTGGGAAGTTACTTAACCTTACGTGCCTCAGTTTCTTCATCTATAAAATGGGGACCACAGTAGTACCCACGTTCTTGGGATGCTGTGAATCAGGTGAGCTTATCCTCTTAACGTGCTTAGAACTTGCCTAACACTGCTAAGCGCTTAATACTCCTTAGCTATTGTTAATACCCTCATGGTGGAGGATATTGACAACATCCTGGTAAGTGGGACACTCCCTGCTGGCCAGCTGGTATCATTTTCAAGGGTTTGCAGGTCTAGATCTGGATGAGGCAGTTACTCACAGAAAAGCTCCCTTGCTTACCAACAGGTTGTGTTCCAAAGGTGATTAAGTTTGCAGAGTGTGCATCAGGCTTTTTAAAACTAAGCTTTTCCCAAAACAAAGCTGTTTCAGTAGCAGGAACATTACAGGGGTGTCACGAGCAGGTATTTTCTTTCCACCAGACACCTGACCACTCACTGTGATTTGGAAAGATTAGAACCGGCCGGGAAACGATGTTTCCATCTTTGATGACAAAGCTTTCCTCATTCATGGTAGCCACATTTCAGGTATTCAGGAGCCACCTTGTTGACTGCCCTGATAAATAACAAGTTAATAGTTGCAAAATGTCTACTGGATAGTGCTGGTCTACATTCATTGGGTGTTTGCTGGGTGCAGAGTACAAGGCCTATTTAGGCCTAAGGAGCGTTGGTCTCAGTGGATTAAAGCACATCACAATGAACCAGTGACTTTAGGACAGTGTAAGATGCGTGCTAACTCACTGTTAGAGGCAGTGAGTTTTATGACTTCAAGGGAAGGGGGCATGTATGTGTCTTGTGTTGGCCAGGCCAAGTATTGTGGAAAAGAGACATTTGAACAATCTTTCAAGGTATGGCGAGACGTTTCCAGGCTAGGCCTTTCTCCTGAGCTCCAGCCTCGCACAGCTAGTAGCCCAGCCATCACCTCTTTTTGGGTATCCCAGAGATCTCCAACCCTGTAGGCCCCAAACCACTCTCAGTATCTCTCCTCAAACATCCCACATCTTCTGTTGCAGAGTGGCACTCCCACCCATCTAGTCTAAGAAAGGGAAAAAGGTCACACCCAAGTGAGTATGAAGAGGGAGGCGAGGTAGACATTCAGAAAGAAGAGCCTCGCAGATCTCTTTTCTCTGTGAAGCTGGAGGCAGGGAGGGATCTGAAATTGCACCTGTGGAAAATGGGAACAGGACCTGGGGAGAAGAAAGCAAAAAAGATCTGCAGAGGCAGAGACTCTGAGAGCTCAGATGAGGCGATCAGCCGCCCATCTGCTGCGAGGTTCTCCAGCCTCTCACAAATGTTTGCAGTGTGAGCAAACAAGACGGAGGCATGAAGGCCCGTTTGTAGTGGGAAAGTGGCCAGGCCACTGTGTGGGAAGGAGAATGGGGCCGGGGAGGCCCCTGGAGCTGGAATCCCATGTTAACGTTGCTGCCCACGTTAATATATAAGCCTACGTAGTCTTGTACTCTCACCCAGCAGACACGCAGTAAGTATAGGCCTCCGCTGTGTGGAATGTGGAAGTGGATTGAAGGGAGGGTGGCCGGGACAGGGACGCTGCAGCAGCTCGGGGCAGAGCGGAGAGCCCCTGAACAGGCTGCCGCGGGAGCATGGAAGGAGGCCGTGGGTAATGGGGATGGTCTGACAGATGGAGACTGCACCCCTTGGTGGCTGACATGGCAATGGGTGGGAGGGCCAGGGAAGTGGCTACTGAGCCAGGGAAAGTCAAGAAAATGTCAGCAGAGAGGTCTAGCTGCTTTCCCATTCGTGTTCTTGCACTGTGTTTCTTACATCTGCCTAGGGAACTGCCCTTTGAGAGTTTGTGGGGACCTTTCTCAGAAAAGTACACATCTGGGTGAACGTTAACACACTGCATGTATTTTTAAGGCTTGATCTCTGGACGAAGAGCTGCTGTTCTTGTTAGGCTGCATTGAGAACTGTTTTCTAGAGTGACCACTGGGTCATCTGCAGAACCAAGAACCAGTGATAGACAGGTGACTTTTGTGCACACACACATAGGGGCCCCAAGTCAGTTTGCTCGATTATGGTTCGGATGCAGCACACATTTCAGGTACCAGAGGAGTCTGTGGTCAGAGACAAGGTAAATTTTATAAAGCAGCTATGGGAATAGCTTCCGAAAGGATATAGAAAACGTGCCTAATAGGAAAATTGTGCATAGAATGGCAAATATGTAAAACTGTAATCTGGATGATTTTCAGCCTGGAAAACTAGTTTTGTGGTATTTGAAAGCATTTTAGACTTTTGATTTCATATACGTTTCTATTCCATTAATGATGAAATCTATTCACCACTGGCCTCCTGTTTTCCCATGACTCAACTGGAGATGTTTATTAAACATCTGGAATCTGGAAGTCCATTGGGTTAATGGATACTAAATAACAGTGATTTTCATACTTAATTGCTTATCAAAATTATTCTAGGATAATAAAAAAAATTCCCGGTTCTTATTAGAGTGGGGCCAGGGACCTTTTTTTTTTTTTTAAGTACCCCCGCTCCGCCCCGCTTTTTTTTTTTTTTTTTTAAAGTTTTAAGGTAATAGCATTGCAAGGCAGTTTTGGGATAGTGGCATGAACAGAACAGAAAAGAATAAAGGTGGGTTATGATGTATTTGGAGTAGCAGTCCTGCCTCATCATTCATCCTGAAAAATCTACGTAGTAGGAGAATTGGTGGTTGAATTGCTTGAAACCTTATGAGGAAGACTGGCTGGAGACTCCCATTCTTAAATGAACCTATGACTTTCTAAAGTTCAACAAAACATAAAAATCAGTTTTGCATTGGTGCAGATAATATGTACACTGAGAGGCATGGTTTTTTCCGTATCTAGCCCTCCATCCAAACGTTAAACGTCTTTCTGATTTCAGGACTGGCAATGGCTGACTTCAGCCGTCAGGGTCCCATGAGAGTCTGGAGAGTGATTTGAATGTCGCAGGCAGAGCAGGAGGAAGCGTGGCCGCATAGGAAGGTCTCAGGCCATGCTTCCTCTCTCATATAGGGGGTCCTGTTATCTTTGCTCCGAACATACTATTTTCATGCCATGAAGTTCTTGTACATTTTATTTCTACCTCTTAGCAGTCAGTACAGCTCTTAGGGTATGCTTCTCCTTGTTTCCCTGTTTCTACAAAAATGTTAAAAATATTAGGCCAGGCGCGGGGCTCACGCCTGTGATCCCAGGACTTTGGGAGGCCAAGGCAGGCGAATCACATATCCTCTTCTGCATTCTACTTCCCACAGTGCCCCCTCCCTCTCTCTGCCGTCCACATGCTCGCACACACCTGCACACACACTGTCGGGAGGCAGTCCAGCCTAGTGCAATGTTTTTATACCCCTTCAACCCCAGGACCAGTATAATATAATGTGACATTAAATGGAAGCAAACGTTTCATAAAACAATGCTTACCTCACTTTGTTCGGGGTGCTCCCTCATTTTCCATTCTATCATATTGTAAATTAAAATTAAGTTAAAAGTGCTGATCTTAATGCAACAAATGATCCCACGACCCTCTGGTGGGTTGTTAGCAGAGACTTGCAAAACACAGGTCTAGAGGTTTCTGGCATATTCTTTGGAGTCAGACGGATGTAGATTTGAATGTTTGCTTTACCACTTAATGGCTGTAAGTGGAGCTTTGTAAGTAGCTTCATTTCCTCATCTGTAGAATGGAGAGTAGCTACTCTGCCTCATGTGGCTTGTTGGAAGATTAAGTGAAATAACGCATGAAAGGCATTTGGGCTGAGGGTCAGGCTCTAGTTAGGGCTGGAATGGTATTAATGATGGGGATGATGATGATGATGTTCAACTTCTAACTCCAGCTTTCAATTTACATAACTTTCATGGAAATTCTTACTTTTGCTGAAAAAGCACACAGAAGTCGTTGTGAGGAACTTGCAGGAGGAACTTGCATTTGGGAAAAGACTATTGTGTGCCCAGGAAAAATTACTACTAAACACTGCTGTTAGATTCCTATACGCGTGTCATCGTGTGTGTGGGTTTTTTTTTTTTTTTTTGTACGTTCCAATAGCCACTGTCCTGACCCAGAGCAGTAGTTCTAGCTCACCTCCTTCCCTCCATTTGGCTCTGTATAGAGTGCTGCATGACTCGTGAAACTGAAGCATGGCTTTTCCCAAGTCGTGCACTCAGAAGTCATTATAGCAGCCTGCGTAAACAAGCTCAGACTCTAGCTGGGCATCTGAGACCCTCCTGAGGTTCAAGTCCTGCCTCCTCATCTAGAGGCGTGGGTGACTTAGACATTTTCTTTTCTTTCTTATTTCTTCTTCTTATTTTTTGTGGGGGCTGCCTTTTTGGCTATGCTTTTCCTAATCTCTAAAATGATGATAATAGGCTGGGCACGGTGACTTATGCCTCTAACCTTAGCAGTTTGGGAGGTTGAAGTAGGAGGATCACTTGAGGCCAGGAGTTCAAACCAACCCGGGCAACATAGGTAGTGAAACCCCTGTTTCTACAAAAATATTTTAAAAAATTAGGCCAGGCGCGGTGGCTCATGCCTGTAATCCCAGGACTTTGGGAGGCCAAAGCAGGTGGATCATCAGGTCAAGAGTTCAAGACCAGCCTGACCAACATGGTGAAACCCCGTCTCGACTAAAAATACAAAAAAATTAGCTGGGCGTGGTGGCGCATGCCTGTAATCTCAGCTACTCAGGAGACTGAGGCAGGAGAATTGCTTGAACCCGGGAGGCAGAGGTTGCAGTGAGCCAAGATTGCACGACTATACTCTAGCCTGGGTGACAGAGCGAGACTCCATCTCAAAAAACCCGAAAAACAAAAAATTAGCTGGGTGTAGTGGATGCACCTGTAGTCCTGGGTACTTGAGAGGCTGAGGTGAGAGGCTCTCTTGAACCCAGGAAGTCAGGACTGTAGTGAGCTAGGATTGCACCACTGCACTCTAGTCTGGGTGACAGAGTGAGACCTGTCTCAAAAATAAAATGAAAAAATAAAATGGGGATACTAGTATTTAACTGGTTAGAGCTGTTATGAGAGTTAAAGATGATTGATGTGAAATACCCAGTGCTTGCTTCTCACACACCAGTGACTCTTATGAAGACACCCCTGTTGGTGCATAAGACAGTTGCTCTGCTCACATCAGCAAACACATCTTCAGTCCTGCTTTGGCCGCCGATACCAACCTTTTACCTCCCCTGGCTTGCCTGCCACCTTCTCCCTGCCTAGACAGCACCTCCCCATCCATTAAGGTCTTCCTTTACCATAAAGCTTTCCTTTGCCATAAAGCTTTCTCTTATATGCCCATTTAACAATGATTTATGTATTCCTTATGAACTACCTAACTTAGTTGGCAATTAATAATACACTACCTTCTGATCTTTATTGCATAGTCTTTTATTATTATAATTATAGGATTATTAGTTAGCTTTATGTGATTTATCTCTCACATCCTCAGTTAACTTATTTGTTCCTTGAGGGTAGTGATCATGTCTTACCGTCTTTGAATCCCCCACAGCACTCAGCACAGTTCCTTGTAACAATGTGTGTTTAATGAATTTTTGCTGATCCATTGGGTGACTGGGTAATAAGAAAAGGCGTTCCATGGCCGGGCGCAGTGGCTCACGCCTGTAATCCCAGCACTTTGGGAGGCCAAAGTGGGCGGATCACGAGGTCAAGAGATTGAGATCATCCTGGCCAACATGATGAAACCCTGTCTCTACTGAGAATACAAAAATTAGCTGGGCATGGTGGTGGGCACCTGTAGTCCCAGCTACTCCGGAGGCTGAGGCAGGAGAATTGCTTGAACCTGGGAGGCAGAGGTTGCAGTGAGTCGAGTTCGAGCCACTGCACTCCAGCCCAACGACAGAGCGAGACTCTGTCTCAAAAAAAAAAAGAAAAAAGAAAAAGAAAAAGAAAAAAGAAAAGCTCCAGAGATAATATGAATCCTAGGGTAATGTTATGTTCCTCAAGATCTGATTTCTATTTACTTTTGGTAGTTCCAGGTCATTTTCATTAGATCAGGGATTGAGATGATTCAAAGCTGGGCTTCAGCCTTTGATATTAGTTTATTTCTACTTAGTTGTATTACTTACAAAGCTTGTGAGGGTGTTTCCAGGAACCCCTTTTCCTAGCTGCATCCTGATGTTCAATTTTTGTCTCCTCAGTCACCTGAGTGTGTCAAAAGCTCTGCTTTCAAAGCCCCACAGCCTCCTCTTCAGAAAGGAGCAGCTGTCCCTGCGCTAGGACGACAGCAGCCCTAAATGTCAGGTTCACCTTCCTGGGTTTCTTTTTCTCCTAGATCTTGCCCCCCTAATTTTTAACTACCTTGTTAGCTCTCTGATGCATTTAAATGGATTTTAAAAATATATTTTGTCCATGTTTCTTAGTTATTCAGCCTGGGAGTCAGGTCTGAATTACCTACTGTACCATTACCAGAAGCACCACCCCCCTCTCAGCTAAGGAATTTATTACCTTAAATCCAGCAGGCACATTTAGAAGTCTCTGGAACAGAGAATTAACATGATTAAATGGTATTTTAGGAAGATGACTGTCAGTGGTTTGCAAGACGGAGAGGAGTTTGGAAAGTCTCAGTAAGTAGAACAATTAAGAGGTCTTCATAACTCAGTGCTTTCTAAAGTACGATGAAGGCAGAGGTTAGAGTGGATAAGCCTGGGTGTTTCACGTTAGATAGGCCTGAATTTAAATGAGAGTCTTGGCTCTCCACTTACTAGCAGGTAATAAAGGATAATAAAGTCCCTATGTCCTAGGGTTGTAAGGGTTAAATGGCAAAACTTGTAGAAAACCCTAGGTTTTTTATTTTCTATTTTTAGAGAGGGGCTGTCTTTCTGCCACCCAGGCTGGAATGCAGTGGTGTGATCATGGCTCACTGCAGCCTCGAACTCCTGGCTTCAAGTGATTGTCCCACCTCAGCCTCCCAAGGAGCTGAAAAGACAGGTGTGTCCCACCACACCTAGCAAGAAAACCCTAGTTTTAATGCCCAGCACATAGTAGGTGCTCTGTAAATGGTAACCGTTGCTCTTACTATTCCAAGAACCAAAATTCAGTTATTTGGGTGAAAATTCAACCTCACTGTTAATAGCACTAATCATGGATAGTACTGTCAACTTCATGGGGGATCATTCGTGACTTACGAATCACAATGAATAGCTTGCATGCCTTATATAGCAGGCTTGGCACCAGTGATATTCTCAGTACCCACCATGGGCTGAATTGACTTATGGCCAGATGCCACAGTTTTGAAGCCAGTCCCAGCCTCAAATCTCAAAGGTGTAAAGGTAGATGATTTTACAACGTGCCTTTCGTCAGGCTCCAGGGTAGATGCTTCAACTCTTTTACTTACTTTGAAGTACAGGTTGCTCATATATTAGGTTTGCAGAACCATAAAATTTTAGCATTTTACTTCTAAAAACAACCTGATGTGCAAGAAGAGAAGCTTACAGAAAAAAAAACATCAGATTATGATTCATCGTATCATGGATAACCCCAGGAATCATCTGTTTAAAACGTCCCATTTTTCTAGATGATCAAAGTGTGGGCCGGGAAGATGGAGGGATTAGCCCAAGGACACACACCAGCAATGGCAGAGTCAAGGTCGCGACACAATGTCCTGATTTCTGTGCATTTTGGTTCTTAGACAAACATAGCCGCTCTGTGTCATCTCCACTGAGCTACCTGCCTTCTCTAACTCTGTTCGAGGTTCACGTGGCCTGACTGTTAGCGCCTGTGGGAGGCTTGCCTTACAGAAAGACCAGCGTGTCACCTTGACTTTCGATAATGGAAGCTAGACGATACATACCGAGTAAGCATCTTTCTTTCCAGTCCTCAGTCCTCTGACCCTCTGTGCCTGTCATCTCAGTCTTTTAATCTCCGGAAACATAATTAATCTGTTTATAGTGTCCAACTAAATGATCCGTTTCTGGTGCTAGGCTTGAGGTAGATTCTGCCTTTGCTGTTTTTCACAGAAGTAAAGATGTACGCTCACCCTCGGCTAGTCGTGAGAAACCTGTGTCAAATGGCAAACTTTGTACCGTGTCGCGAGGCAAGCGCACTGGTAATGCACTACCTGCCCAGGGCGTGGGAGATGGGTCAGGGGAGAAAAATCAAGTCACAAAGGAGAAGGGCCTTCATGTGACTGGGTTAGCTTTTCATTGAGTCTCATTGGAGATGTCCTAGCTACAAACAAACCAACCAACCAACCAACCCAAGCAAACAAAACCTGAAATAAGTGTAGCCCTTTTTAAGTTTATTTTTTACTCTGATGAAATACTTGTTCGATTTTTTGCTTTTTCTAAAAGTTACCTATAATTAGTAACAGTCCTGATTGAAGATTGTGAACTTTTCTAATAAGTTTGCGGTTTGGCTGAGCTGCATCCTTACTAGACAGGCATGTTGCGTAAGTGAGGAATGCACCCAGCCGGTGGATGACAAGCCCGGCACGCCGACCAGTGGAGGAGTCTATCAGAATGGCCAAAATGACCACACGGCAGGAGCATGGGAGAGCCAGGCCATTGAGCATGAACAATAAGGGGACTCTAGAGCTTTGCTTCTCAGAGTGTGACCCAAGGACCTAGGGGCTTGTCAGAGATGCAGACCACAGCGGTCGCCTGGAATCCACTGACTTGGGATTCCTGTGCACGTTCAAGTTGGCGAAGCGCTGGATTTCAGGATTTCACACTCAGCTCTTCCCTTTACGTTGGCCAAACTGACCCTATCATTCTTTTGCTAAAATCCTTCGGTTTCCTCTTCAGTCTTAGATCGTGGTCATGACCAAAATCCTAGGCATGGTCTTCTGGGTGAGCCGGGTCTCTGGGCCCTCCCTGTCACTGACTGCTGTCCACAGGGGCCACCTTGCCTCAGGGCCTTTGCAGCTCTCCCTTCTCTGTTGGTTGCTCAGGGCTGCCGTAACAGATGGCTCTCACACAACAGAAATGTATTCCATCACAATTCTGGAGGTCAGAAGTCTCAGATCAAGGCATCAGTAGGGCCCTGCTCTGCCTCAAGGGTCTTGGGGAGAATCCTTCCTTGCCTCTTCCAGCTTCTGGTGGCTCCAGGCATGGTTAGCTGCAGCAGCCTCACTGCAGTCTCTGCCTTTGGCTTCACGTGCCCATCCTCCCTCTGTGTCTGTGTCTTCACGCGGCATTCTTCTCTGTGTCTGTGTCCACACTTCCCTCTTCTTATAAGGACATCGGGTTCCTGCGAGCTACTGGTCACAATATTTTGTCAGCTGATCATTGTATAACCTTGTCTTATGTGTTTCTGTTTGAAGACACCCTCTGTAATATTTATTGTTGATTGATGAGCATTGAACTCACAGCACTATAATGCATGCCTGAGCAAAGCTTATCTAATATACGTATTTTCCCTGTAAGGCGCATCATAGCCTTCTGGTTCTTAGGAACCCGGGAAGGCACTTCAGCACAATGCCTGGGGGCCATTTTAAACAGCAAAGTCACCAAAAAAAGCACAACGATGTGACAAATGTCGCACTCTGTAGCCTGTGAAAAGAACACTTGTCTGCCATAGGAGAGCAAGAGCGGGAAGGCAGAGTGTGGCCTTGTCCAGCCTCAGCTGGGAACACGTGCATCAGATGACTTGAATTCAGCACATGTCCCCGAGTGACCACCAACGCATCTGAGTATTGATTTGGGGGTTGTGGATATATTTCAGTGAGTAGGCAAATTCACAGATACAGAATCTGCGAACAGTGTGGATCGAATGTGTCTTCACACACAGGCTTTAGTTTTAAAGACAGAAAGTTGGGTTTTTTGTCTTGGTGCTTTGCTTTACCTGACAATTGACTTTTTCAACTACTGTTTCCGTTTAAAACTGATCTTCGCTGTCTTTCAGAGAGATGCCTGTCTGTGAGAACTTTAAAAGCCATCACTAATATAAGAACGGGAACCACTGTGGGCTGGAGGGGGTCACCTGAATAGGAACCATACCATATGGCTTTTTGAACTATTTCAGATGTGACCATTGTTTTTTTTTTTTTTTCCCCCAACTGGTTATTTGTGAGAAACATAATGGAGGAAATATTATATTCTGAGTACTAGCTGGAGGCAGGGCCACTTCCACACGCCTCTCGTGTTTCCATATTGCCAGGCTCAGGCTCAGCTGCAGCGCCAGGGACCACGCACAGCACTTCTGCACGTCAGGCTGTCAGGAGAACTGGCGTCTGTTGCTCTCTACTCGTGACCACTATACCTACCCCTATCCTGTAACTACTCTTCCCTCGCTCTTCCCTCTATTTTCTTGACCGCTCTGGATTTAGTGGTCTCCAATCTGTGTCTTGAGGTCTTTTCCAGAGGGAAGATCAGGCTGGGCTGGTGGTCACCACCCTGGCGGGCAGAGCTCTTGCAGGGTGAGCCTTTGAGGGGTCACCAGTGCACTCCTCTGTGCACAGCTTTTCCCAGCACTCCCTAGTCTTTTCTGAAACTCTTTATCATCTTCATGGGGCATGGTACCTCCCTTCTTTCCAGTGTCCTGTTAGGTTGGGAGTTCCTAGATGGCAGGGAATGTCATCTTTCCCTGTTCCTGGAGCATCATTCTCAATACATGACCTTTGAATGGGTGGATGAACAAATGAATGAATGGAACAAATGAATGAATGAGACCAAGAGCAGCAGTATCTGCAACTCCTTGTGGCCATTCCGTGTTCTTGTGAAATATCTCTAAGGTTCCCGTTTGTGTCTCAAAGAATGGTGGCTGGAGCCTCCATATGAGTGGAGGAGGCCAACCTCTGACGGCACCCCACCTAGGCCCTCAGAGCCGTCTTCAGAGCTGGCCTGGGCCTGGCAGTGAGTGTTTCCTATGTGGAAGGCAACATTTGCGCTTTGTAGGACTAGCAAAAGACCTAGAAGAGGGCGGAGCATGGGAGCTCATGTCTGTAATCTCAGCACTTTGGGAGGTCAAGGTGGGAGGACTGCTTGAGCCCAGGAATTTGAGACCAGCCTGGGTAGCATAGGGAGACCCCAGCTCTACAAAAAATAAAAAAAAATAGCTGGGCGTGGTGGCTCACACCTGTGGTCCCAGCTACTGGGAGGCTGAGGTGGGAAAATCGCTTGAGCCCAGGAGGTTGAGGCTGCAGTGAGCTGTGATCATGTCACTGCACTCCCGTCTGGGTGACAGAGTGAGACCCTGCCTCCAGAAAAAAAAGGTGATGCTCTTCCTGCGGTAGAACTTAAATTTGGTTAGGAAAAGAGAGTGGACTATACACAGCTGAGAGGTGTATAGGTAAGGCAAGGGATAAGATGAAAGACTTTACTTAAAACAACTGCCCTAAAGCAATGTTTGGTTTTTCAAAGGAGCAGTGTAAGATCAGTGAGTAACATAGGAGCTGGAGGCAGAGGGACTACTTTAGGCGGGAGTGGTCTGGGAAGCCCTTGTGGAGGAGGAGGCTAGGTCTTAGAGGGCGGATAAGGACCTGCAAGGCCAGGGAATGAAGAGCAGAGGGCACGGGATGAGCACGGAGCAGGAGGTGTCTGCAGCAGTCAGTGGGCCAGACTGCAGGAGGCATACAAGGAAAAGGCTGGGCCAGACTGCAGGAGGCATACAAGGAAAAGGCTGGGCCAGACAGCAGGAGGCATACAGGCCCAGGGTGAGGCCCAGGGGCTGGGGGTCACGGAAGGATGCTTGTAACTCTGGCATGTTCTGGGCGCAGGGAATAGAGGAGAGAGGAAGTCCATGGCAAGCTGGGAAGGAGAGTTATTGAGACATCAGCCCAAATGCCAAGGAATAGAATTTTCAGAGCTCAATTTTGGAGGAAATGAACAAAAGAAGGAAGGGACCAATCAGGATTGAGAAGAGGATTACAGTGTCACACTGTCTGTGAGGTCCTATAGAATGGAGGCTTGCACCTGACCCATCTTTGCTTTTGGAGCCCAGATTAGATGTGAATGCAGGCATAGATAGGGTGAAGATGAGTGGGGGACAGTGTGGAAGGTACTTTGTTAGTGATTCCCCTCTGGATCTATTCCGATGGACCAGGAGAAGTCTATCTTAGAAAGGAATCTGGAAGCAGCAGGGAGGCATTGTGTGGACTGGCGGAGGAAGGGTGGTCAGACTATGAAAATGATTTTCAAAGGGAAAGTAAGTTAAAGGAAAAGGGGGTGATGTCAGGTCAGCGGGGAGGCTGGCATTGAAGAAAGACACTTGGGTGAGAGACTGCATTCGGGTAAAAGCAAAAGCAAAGGAGATACCTGTGCAGGCTTCCAGGGGCTCTGGAAGTAAAGTCAGGAGGGACGGGTAGTTGGTGGAAAACTTTGGGAAAGCCAAATTAACTGATTCCTTTCGAGCTTTAAATGTTAATATTGGGGGTTGAAAGCGTTTGTATAACCCAGATTCTCAAAAGGAATGGCTTGGCTATCATAATTTTTTCCCACAACTGCTTTGCTCTGCCCACCCCTTGGCTCTTGGAAGGATCATCCCCAAAGGCGTTGGGGCCTCTGAGCAACGGAAGCCTCAAAACACGGCCAGTGCAGTGGGGATAAAGCCTCCCTCTAGGCAAATTCCTGGGGAGGAGTGTGGGTCCTGGTCTCCAATGTCCATAGGACCCTCCCAGCGGAGGGCAGGCCTGGACCATCCTGTGTCTCCAGATAGCCCCCTGGCCGGTGCGAGGGCTGGGCTTGCACAGGTGGCACAGCCCCTGAGTACACCGACCCCCCAGCCCCCTGGTCCCCAGCCCCAGGAAAGGAGAGAAGGAAAGAGTCAGGCGGGGTGTAGAACTCTGCAGTGCAGACACCACACTGAGTGGCACCAACGCCTGACGCTGTGTTTCTCTCCCTCAAGGGCACCATGCCGGTGGAAAGGATGCGCATGCGCCCGTGGCTGGAGGAGCAGATAAACTCCAACACGATCCCGGGGCTCAAGTGGCTTAACAAGGTGAGTGGGTCAGGGTGGGTGTATGTGTGAGAGAGGTCCTGGCTGAAACACGCCCATGCGGACTGCTGAAAGTAAAATCGTGTGTATTCAAAATCTTAGGCTTATTCATGACAAAAACCAGCCAACCCAAAATGATCATAAAACATCAAGTTATCATCTCAAAGGCTTTTTTTCTTTTAGAGACAGGGTCTCACTATATGGCCCACGCTGGAGTGCAGTGGTGCAGTCATAACTCACTGCAGCCTCGACCTCTTGGGTTCAAGTGATCCTCCCACCTCAGCCTCCAGAGTAGCTGGAACTACAGGTAAACGTCACCACACCTGGCCAATTTTTGTATTTTTTTGTAGAGCTGGGATCTCGCCATGTTGCCCAGGCTGGTCTTGAACTCCTGGGCTGAAGTGATCCTCCCACCTCAGCCTCCCAAAGTGTGGGGATTACAGGCATGAGCCACTGAACCCGGTCACAAAAGGATTTGTATCCTGTACGACTGTAGCCTCAGCCTGGAGTCTCCAATGTCTGCTCACCTTTGGTGTTTTGGCTGACTGCCTCTCGAAAGCTCCTTGCTTTTTTTGGAAAGCTCCTTGCTTCTTTGAGGATTCTTACCCTCTTCCTTCTCCAAATTCCTTTTTTTTGCTTCTCCTGGCCTTTTAGGACTAGAGGACATGGAAACTCCAGGGTTTTATATTAGGAATGGAGCATTTCCTTTTCCATGTTCTCTGTTTAAAGAAAGCTTGTTTTTGTCTTTAAAAAAAGCCTTCTTTTTACCTCTGTAATGAAGCCCTATCTGTGTGTCCACCTTTCCTAAGAAAGCAGCCAGTCATTTACAACCTGCCCCTTCCAGGCACAAACACTCCCTTACTTTGTTAACCTAAAAACTCTTAATTTAATTGATCCTAGCTGTTAGGGGTGAATCAGAAAGAGATAATGTCGGCAAAAATGAAAAACTTCTAGAACTATATAATCTAGAAAAGCAACTAAATATATATCATGCCTTCTTTAAGGAGGCCCAGGAGAGAAGTTCCTCTCCTACCAGAACAGTTCTGAGTCAATGCCTTTTTCCTCTTCTCCACTCCCTCCCCTTTTCTTTTTTAATCTTAAGGACACAATGAATAATTTAGCTGGCCAGGCTTTATCTTTGTATCAGGTACAAGAGCTTAGAGCCAGATTGCAGATTGTAGCCTGCTTCCAACAAGGGAACAGGATATTGCAGTATAATTTTTTTTAACTAATATCATTCCTGGCCTTATTGGGTCTTTTCAGATATCTTTCAAATCTTATTTCTTTTTACTATTTTCCTTTTATCCACTTATTTTGATTTTTTTTTTGTTTTCTTTAGACAAGGTCTCCCTCTGTCACCCAGGCTGGAGTGCAGTGGCACGATCTCAGCTCACTGTAACCTCTGCCTCTGTGCTGAAGCGATCCTCCCACCTTTGTCTCCCAAGTAGCTGGGACCACAGGTGCGCTCCTGGATAATTTTTATATTTTTTGTAGAGATGGGGTTTCACTATGTTGCCCAGACTGGTCTGGAACTTCAGGACTCAAGTGCTGCCCGCCTTGGCCTTCCAAAGTGCTGGGATTACAGGCATGAGCCGCAGTGCCCAGCCTGATTTTGAATTTAATGTTACTGTGTTGAATATGTCTGTCTGAGCCTTTCTGAAACAAGGTGAGGCACTAAGTAAATAGAAATGAAGAAACCATCTGCTTATTTCCTGTGACCTGTCCCATATCTCAAGGTCTTACCACAATGTATTTTTCTAGGGTTGCTCTATCTATAGTGTTTTAGATTTACATATGTAATCAGCTTCTTCCAAAGAAACAAACAAGAAATGGAGTTGCTCCTTGGTCAGCTCAGTTAGCAGGGGTGCCGTGGAGGTATAAGGAAGGGGGGACCAGAGTAAAGGGGAGCTGGAGAGCCAGGGTAGCAAATGACACTGAATGAAAGCTGACTTGTACTCAGCACTTACTGTGTGCCAGGCACCCTTCTAAGCAAGGTACATGCATTAGCTCACGTTCCGCCACCATGGGGTAGGTACAGTTAATATTTTCCATTTTACAGACAAGGAAACCAAGGCACAGAGAGGTTAAGTAAGATTCTGTTTTGAGGAACAAGGTAGCATTACTGTTTGATGTGGAGTGGGAGAGGAAAGCAAATGCTCCTGTGTTCTAAAGAGAAGCAAGTGGTCTGCTTCTGCTTTTCCTTTTTCAAAAATACCTCCACTAGTTTTGGTTGGCAGGATGCAGTGGAGAAGAGACAGTGTCTCACACCTCTCCTGTTGAGCAGGTGCCTGATATGTTGACCGCTGTGGTTGGTTTAGACTAACCATTAGTCCCTTCTTGGTGCTGTAGTAGATGGAACTGTGGCTCCCGGAGAAGATATGTCCACATCCTAACCTCCAGAACCTGTGGATGTCACCTCATTTGGAAAAAGGGTTTTTGCAGATATAGTGAAGGACCTTGAGATGAAATCATCCTGGATTTTCTGGGTGGGCCCTGATGCCAATGAGGAGTGTCTTTATAAGAGACAGAAGAGGAGAAGGCACACACAGAGGAGAGGGGCATGTGAGGACTGAGGCAGAGACTGGAAATAGGCAGCCGCAGCCGAGGGACTCCAAGAAGAGGCGAGGAAGGATCCTTCCCAGAGCCTTGGAAAGGAGTGAGCCCTGGCTGGGCGCAGTGGCTCACGCCTGTAATCCCCGCACTTTGGGAGGCTGAGTTGGGCAGATCACCTGAGGTCAGGAGTTTGAGACCAGCCTGGCCAACATGGTGAAACTCCATCTCCACTAAAAACACAAAAATTAGCTGGGTGTGGTGGCAGGTGCCTGTAATCCCAGCTACTTGGGAGGCTGAGGCAAGAGAATCACTTGAACCTGGGAGGTTGAGGTTGCAGTGGTGGAGGTTGCGTGAGCTGAGATTGCACCACTGCACTCCAGCCTGGGTGACAGAGCAAGACTCCATCTCAAAAACAAACAAACAAACAAACAAACAAACAAACAAACAAAAACCGGAGTGAGCCCTGCAGAGACCTTGATTTTGGACTTCTGGCCTTCAGGACTGTGATGGAATACATTTCTGTTGCTGTGAGCCACCCAGTTTGTGTAATTTTTCATGACAGTCTTAGGAGATTGATGCACCCTCTAAGGGTCACTTCCTTTCTGGGACTCTCAGTTGAGATGCCTTTTCTTCCATCTATTTTGTCCATGTTTTTCTGATACAGGACCAGAAGGCAAATGGATTTCCCTTTGTGCAAATGAACACTTGGCCCCTTTCAGGCAGTCCTTACCTGCTGAGCGTCACTCATCTGGCTCTTGGCTCGAGAGTTCTCTTCCCGAGGCATGGAAGGAAAGGAGACCTCTGTGTCATCTCACAGGGCTCCTCCGCTACAGCTGGACCTGAGCCAGGCTGATGAAGGAGAGCGTGCCCGTGGCTGCCGGCCCGTGCCGCCTCTCAGCACCGCCCTGGAACAGAGGCCGAGGCCTGCACTGTGGCCCCGAGGCCCTGTCAAGCTGCATCCTGCTGAGGCCTAGCCAGAGTGGGCACGTGGCATTGCTCGTGCACATGGGCACTGCCATCACTGTCACTGCAGGCCTCGGCTGGGGTCAGGATCTCTTCTCTCCATACCTACACTCCCACAGGGCATTTTTTTATAGGTTTCCGTTAACTTAGGCTTGTTGGCATTCATCTGTCCATATAAATACTTAACTGAGAGCCTAATGTTCTTCCCTCCCATTCACAAGCATTCTGCCTGGGAATCCTTGTTTATATTTTGAGTGGTTTGAGGTCATTCCAAGATCTCTTTTGCCACTGAAGATTGTTGTAACTCTTAGAATACACTGTCCATGGGGCTGTGGGACTCACTTCTGCTTCAGTCGGCATTCAGGATGTGTTCATGTTTATTGTGAAGTGCTCCAGGCTGGGAGCCCCATGCACCAGTGCCTTGGCTATCTTCTTCATGTCTGCATGCTCAGGGCCAGGCCTAGTGCCTGGTAAGTGGGAGGCCCTCTGTCAAAATTGTTCTGGGAATACACAGATGAATGTCATGGATTTGAAGGGGAGCAACATTGGTGGTGTTTTTGTTCTGTTAAGATAATCAGATTTATGGACACTGGCTTGGCAGTTGTCACATGGCTCTCAGAAAGTCCATTCAACCTACTCCATTCTTAGTAAGAGAGAAAGAGTTGGTTAATTAATGCCTTAAATTTGTTTCCATCCTCTATTGTCTTAGTCTGTTCCCTGTTGCTTCTAACAGAATACCTGACTCTGGATAATTTGTAAAGAAGAGGAATTTATTTCTTACAGTTATGGAGGCTGAGAAGTCCAAGGTTGAGGGGCTGCATCTGGTGAGGGCCTTCTTGCTGGTGGGGACCCTCTGCAAAGTCCTGAGGCAGTGCAGGATATCACCCGGTGCGGGGAAAGAGCATGCTCACGTGCTAGCACAGGTCTCTCTTCCTCTTAAAAAGCCACAATCCTACCCCTCATGACAACTCATTAATCCATTAATCCCTGAATGGATTAATCCATTCATGAGGGCAGGGCCCTCATGACTCAATCACCTCTTAAAGGCCTCACCTCTCAGTACTGCCACATTGGGGATTAAATGTCAATATAAGTGTCATAGGGGGCAAATATTCAAACCATAGCACCTACTTTTAATAAGTTTGAAGGAGGGTGGGAATGGAATGGGTCCCTTGGATTCCTCTGAAGGAACAGCGAGGAAGTTTGGAAAAGTGCATTATAACCAGCTCATGAATGAGACCTTGGCTGGGGCAATTTACCTTTGGTTATGGGTATTTGCAAATGTGCATAGCATGTTTGAGTAGCCCAATGACAAAAAGAAATAGGATAGCAAATTTTCATATGCCTGTATCTAGATGTATGAATATTTTGCCTTATCTTTGTGTGTGTGTGTGTGTGTGTATCTGTGTGTATCTGGTATATTAAAGCAGCTCCCTGACAGCATACATTGTAAGACATAAGGGCATTTTCTTATATATCCACAATATACCATTGTTAATTGGACAAAATTAGTACTGTTTAATATCATCACTGCTCCATTCATATTAAGAATGCCTTGAGTATTCCCAAATAATCTTTTTACAGTTGATTTGTTCAAATCAGAATTCAAAGACTGTCCACAGGTTGTGTTTGGTGTTTATGACTCTAAGTCTCTGCTGACTGTGGGCCTCTGTTTTTTTCCTTCTCGCCATTGACTTGTTGAGACCAGGTTAGTTTTGGGTTTGTCCACATGCTTGCTTGTGGTTCCCTGGGCCATTTCTTGAGGAAGGAAGGAGGCAGTCACATCCGGGGTCCTGGTTTCTCTCGTGGCTCCATGTGACCCCCAACTCTGGTGGGGTTATTGATGTTCTTAGTTCTTCCTGGATCCATGCACTAAGGCAGGGGAATCATCAGATCTTTCCCTTTTTTTCACTTTGAGAGTAGACTTGTGTTTGTGTAAACATCAGGCTATCTCTGACCACGGTAAGGAGTCCAGACAAAAATAGCACACTAATTGGAACGTCTTGCAAATGTTGGGGGGAAGAAGAGGCAGAGGAGATAACAGAACTAGTTTCCATGTGGGGCCAAGGAACATTGTTCTACATTGCTCAAAATAATGTCAGATGCTTTTCTGAAGTCAAGCAGCGCTCATCTCTCCTGCCTTCCTTCAGATGGGCAGAGTTGTGCACACACGTACAAATGGTGGGCCCTGGCATGGCGCGTCTGTCTATACACAGCATGTACCACCACCACGTGTGCAGGACTGGTCACTCGGGGATGAGACACCTGGCACATACTGACGTCACGGGGTCTACACACACATAGCAACACCGTCATGTCCCATGGAACACACAACTTGTGACCAGAATGTTTACTGGTCAGAATCTCTTTCAGTTTTAAAATGAATCTTGCTTTCTCTTACCTTTTCATATGGTCTTCTTCAAAAAAAGAATCTGTGATACAATTTTAAAGATATTTCTGATAAGTTTATTAGTCTTTTCTTTTTTTTCCTGAAGTATGAAAAACTAGGTAAAGGTGACATGTAGTTTAAAAAATATTTACCATTTTAAAGTGACATTCACGATGTCATGCAGCCATCACCACTGTCCAGTTCCAGAACTTTTTATCCCTCCAAAAGGAAATGCTGTACCCATTAATCAGTCACTTCCCATTTCCCTCCCCCCTAGCTTGTGGCAACCAGTAATCTGCTCTCTGTCTCTATGGATCTCTGCTCTCTGTCTGCTCTCTGCTCTCTGTCTTTTCTGGAATATTTCATGTAAATGGAATCATTCAATTTTTGGCCTTTTGTGTCTGGCTTCTTTCATCCAGCATAATGTTTTCAAGGTTCGTCCACATGGTAGCATGTGTCAATACTCTATTCCTTTTTGTGGCTGAATAATATTCCATTGTATGGATATACCACATTTTGTTTACCCATTCATCAGCTGATGGACACTCGGGTTGTTTCCATCTTTTGGCTTTTGAAAGTAGTGCTGCTATGAACGTTTATGTTTTGGTTTGAATGTTGGCTTAGAATTCTTTGGGTATATATCCAGGTGTAAAATTCCTGGATCATCAGGTAATTCTGTGTTTCACTTTCTTGAGGAATGGCCAAACTTTTTCTCCAGAGTGGCTGTACCATTTTGCATTTCCACAGCGATGTGTGAGGATTCCAGTTTCTCCACATCCTCACCAACGTTTGTTATTTGTGTATCTTTTTTTGGAGACATGTCTGTGGGTTAGTCTGTTTCATGTTGCTACAAAGGACTACCTGGGGCTGGGTAATTTATAAAAAAACGAGGCTTCTTTGGGTCAGGGTTCTAGGCTGTACAAGAAGCATGACCTTGGCATCTGCCTCTGTTAAGGCCTCAGGATGGGAGGCAAAGGGCATTACATGGCAAGAGAGGGAGGAAGAGAGAATGGTGCAGGCGACAGGCTGTTTTGAATAATCAGCTCTCACCGGAGCTAATGGAGTGAGAGCTTACTCATTACCACGAGAACGACACCAAGCCATTCTTGAGGGATCCTGCCCCATGACCCAAACACCGTCCACCAGACCCCACCTGCAACACTAGCGATCAAATTTTAACACGAGATTTTGAGGGGACAAACACCTGAACTATTCCAGTCTACTCAGGCCTGTTGCACATTTCAAGAGGGTCCATAGTGTATGTTGCTGGGTTTGGTCAGCGCTTTTGTAGTTGCATGGCTTTTGCGGTTTCTGTGGGACTAGGTTTGGTTGTGTGTGTGTGTATGTGTATGCATGCATGCGTGCAGATGCTTAAAAAGATCTACTTTATCTGTATCAATTTTGTGTCTTGCAAGTTAGATTTCAGATTGTGTCACCCTAGAACTCCTTTGATCTAGAAAAAAGTGCAACAGCAAATTCTTAAGAATCTCGGTGTTTAAGCATAAAGCTTTAGATTCTGGGCATGCACTTCAGGAAAAGCTCTTTCACGAAATGAATTTTCACTTGTATTCATTTTCATGTGAACATCAATAAATGGCATTAAGTGATTTTGCTGTCGATTTTCATCTACATTAAAGCATAAAATGTCACTCAGCCCCTTTCTGATCACTGTCCTTTTGAAATTGGCTAACCCGAAGCCCTCTCTGTGGATGATACAGAATGAACACCGAGGAATTTATGAAAAAGTCTCTCACTTTCAGTTCTCCTTTAATAACTGACTTTTTAGAAGATGGTAGAATTTTCCTTTTAACAGGTTTTGGGAAACTCTCCAATGTTCTGAAATAGTCTTTGTTCTGGCTTTGTGATTGGTTCTGTGGAGAGGCGCTGAATCTCTTTGGGGACAGCTGGGACCCTTTCTGTGTTTCACTATGTGAGACTGAAGTGGTGGAAACTCCCTGCTGACATTTCCTCTCCTTCCTCAGCATCTAGTGCAGGGATCCGCATACCTAGCAATTACCAGAACTGCCTTGAGAGCTTTGAAAGAGTACAACCTCCTGGGCTTTAATCTCCACAGAATCCAGGTCTCAACTGGTCTGTCATAGGACAGGGACTCTTCCAAATCTAAAAGCTGGGAGACAATGAGTGGGTGATTAAGTAATAGCATATGGAGTCGCATGACCTGGGTTTTGAACTTAGACACTTATTATCCTGCAAGTTCCTTGACTAAATAGTTAAAATCTGCTTCTTGGTTTCCTCAGCTATAAAATGGAAATCGTAACATATACCTCACTCAGTAGGCTGTGGGAGGAAGACAAAACTGAGGTCCCTGTGGATGTGGGTAGTCAGATGCACAGTGCCAATGGGACCTTAGTACCTGCCGGTACCGCCACAAGAGCTGCTTGGGCCAGGTTCCTCATCTGTAGCTTTACTAAGAGTACGGCTTTGTTACTAAACCATGGGTTTCCAATCATGTGTTTTTCAGGGTTGCTTGAGGCGGTTTTGAGTTACAGACCTCAACACTGAGAGAGATGTAGAGATAGTCTGATATAAGGATTGTATTGAGGGATGTTTCTCCAGAAAAATGTGTCATTTCATAACCTCTACCTCTTTGTTTGCACTTCTTGCTATTTCTTGCAGGCAGTAGACCCACAGGGATTCGAACATTACTTTCTATTTCTGTTGGATGCACAAGCAAATGGAGATATTTGGTTTCTGTGACAGTGGCCTCAGATGTACCCGACTTTTCTTTAGTAGCATCAAGGGTTTTGGAAACTTGTCTAATTTTTAATTTACCTAAGATAGCTGGAGTTACTATTTACCAAACGACGAGAATAAATTATAAGAGTAAGCATTAGAAGTTTCGGTAGGTGGCCATTTTTCTGTGGTTTTATAAAAAAAAGAGGCACAGGGCCGGGTGTGGTGGCTCACACCTGTAATCTCAGCAGTTTGGAAGCCTGAGGTGGGCAGATCACTTGAGGTCAGGAGTTCGAGACCAGCCTGGCCAGCATGGCAAAACCCCATCTCTACCAAAAATACAAAACTTGGCCAGGCGTGGTGGCACATGCCAGTAATCCTAGCTACTCAGGAGGCTGAGGTGGGAGAATCTCTTGAACCCAGGAGGTGGAGGTTGTAGTGAGCCGATATCGCGCCACTACACTGCAGCCTGGGCAACAGAGCGAGACTCTGTCTCCAAAAAAATATATTGAAAACTAGAAAAGAGGCACAAATAATGGAACACACAAGGTCAAATCATCACCTTTGACCTTGGAAAACATTCCTGCTCTGCAAGACTTCACGAGACTGACTGTCACTCGGGGTAGTCTATCAAGATTTGGGATCCAGCGGGGGAAGTGGGTTTGGTTTACAGTAGATTTTCTTGTCAGCAGTCAACACATTCAGCGATGCTTGCTGGGGAATCTTGCTGGCTAGACCTTCACAACCTTTTGCAATGGTGGGCCAAAACCCATGACTCCAGTTCTTTACCTTTTTTTTTTTTTTTTTTTTCAGGAAAAGAAGATTTTTCAGATCCCCTGGATGCATGCGGCTAGACATGGGTGGGATGTGGAAAAAGATGCACCACTCTTTAGAAACTGGGCAATCCATACAGGTACTAAAACTCCCTGCGGCGTTTATAGAGGAAGGCACTCTTGCTTAGTTTTGTTTTTATTACACATAAAATAGCCTGGCTTATGACCTCATGAAGATGGCTCTGAAAAACCTGTGACTTGTCCCTAGGCACATCCAGGACACATGGGGTACAAACTGCAGCCCTCAGAAGTAATGCTCCCCTCATCCCATACACTCTTAGTCCTTCAATTTCCTATAAATGTGGTATTCTAAGAAGTTCCCTAGGTGTTACCGGGGAATAGAAACTCAGTTGTTCTGATGCTATAAACTTTGGTCAAATTTATCTCCCCCCCAAAAAGGTAGTCAGAAATACCTGTATTTATTACAACCTTTACGTAGGGAGCTGTTTACAGGAATGGACTTTGTTGGAGCGTCAGATGAAAAAGAGGCACTCAGCTTCCCTCTGCCTGTTGACTTTGCAGCCTCTCAGTCTTCTATATTTTTCTTACGCTGATGCTCCATTCTTCCAGCATTTATAGTTTCCTCAAGCTGTTCAGTAGAACCAGGGTGACCAACTTGTCCCAGTTTGACTGGAACTGTTCAGGTTTTAAAAACAAAATTCCCACATCCCAAGAACTTTCTCACCCCCAGGTACACCAGGACGATTGGTCACTGGAGGTATAGCATGGAGTGAAAAGGTTTCCTTATACTGCCTGACCAGCAATACTGTGTTTCCAGAAATTCCTTCCTCTGTATCTAATGTTTTCTCTCTTTTTCTTAATCTTTGTCTCTTTTGTTAGGAAAGCATCAACCAGGAGTAGATAAACCTGATCCCAAAACATGGAAGGCGAATTTCAGATGCGCCATGAATTCCTTGCCTGATATTGAAGAAGTCAAGGATAAAAGCATAAAGAAAGGAAATAATGCCTTCAGGGTCTACCGAATGCTGCCCCTATCAGAACGGCCTTCTAAGAAAGGTAAAGGCATTTACAGACTAAAATAAGGTAAATCAATTTGTGTCATCGTGCCTTCGTGATCTCTTCATTTCTACATCTGCAGTCAGTTTGCAGGTAGAATAGCCTGTTCATGCTGTAGGGGATCATTCCGCCCCTACCTGGCTTGGAAACAAGACTTTCGATTCACCAGAGGCAGTGAAAGATACATGTGGAATTTTGACCATGTACAGATTAAAGCAACAGGTTCATTGAGAGTTTCAGAAAGAATTTAATTTGAGGGAAATGTTTCTCTGGAGGCCCTTCGTGAATTAATCCAAAACTACATTTTTGTTGCCACAGGAAAGAAACCAAAGACAGAAAAAGAAGACAAAGTTAAGCACATCAAGGTAATCTTGGGTGATTCAGAGAGAAAGCCAAAGTTGGGATCCTATTAATGACTCATATTCTGCCTTGTAAAGATGAGTCACAGGACCTCAGTGTGTCCTCTTTCTTCCTTTGCTTGTGTCTTCTGTGCTTTACATGTTTGCTCTTCAGCATGTATCCACTTGCAGACATGGAGGTACACAGGGCCCTGCCTCATCCCGTTTCTCTGGGAAATTTATGAATGAAGTCACAGATTCTCACTGTGCTCGGCAGGCTGAGGCCTCCATCTGGCCACCACAGCCGTTGCCAGTGGTCATTTTGTGCCAGCTAAACTCCACAACAGCTTATTCTCATACTATTAAGTATATTTTCAGGCTATTAAGTATACTTTAATATGTATTAAATGTTATAGACCTCTATACAATGTATGAACTCTATGTTACAGACATTCCGTCACAGGCCCTTTGGTGGGGGACAGAGTGGTCAATGTCAGCACTCTATCAGAACAGCTCTCAATGGCTGCCTTCTGTCCACTGTAGAATCATCTCTCACACCCCACAAGGGTTTTCCATGGGATGTGCATGTGTGTGTCAGCTTCTCACTAGGCTGTGTCGTCTGAACTCCCCTACAGTCTGAGGATCTTTATGCATAGATTAGGTGGCCCTTGTTAAATAGTAAGAGAAGAGCCGAATATGCCCTGCAAAACTGGGGACGAGCTTCAGTGGCTGAGCAGAGAGCATACACTGCGGTCACAGACCCAGGGATCTCAGAGAGATTGTCGAGCTCCCTGGCCTCCCTTTGCAGATGAAGAAATTTAGGCGGAGGGTGTTTTTGCAGTGATGCTTTCAGTTTCACTTTTACTAGTTTTTATTTTTAACTAAATTTAAATATTGTACTGTATTAAAGGCCTAATTTTGTTTTAACTTTTCATTGTGGAAAGATTTTATGCACATAGGAAGGAGACAGTTGAGTAAAATTTACCCCATAGGCCATCATTCAGATTAATTTTAACCTTAATCAGCTCCTGGCCAGTTTTGCTTCATCAATAGCCCCTCCCATTTCCTGACTTCTAACATGAAATTGCAGCCCTTCAACCATTTTTGACTTACAGAAGTAATTTATTTATTTAATTTTTTTTAAACTGAGATGGAGTTTTGCTCTATTGGCACAGGCTGGAGTGCAATGGCGCGATCTTGGCTCATTGCAACCTCCGCCTCCTGGGTTCAAGCGATTCTCCTGCCTCAACCTCCCGAGTAGCTGAGACTACAAACACGTGCCACCATGCCCAGCTAATTTTTGTATTTTTAGTAGAGATGGGGTTTCACCATGTTGGACAGGCTGGTCTTGAACTCCTGACCTTAAGTGATTCGCCCACCTCAGTCTCCCAAAGTGCTGGGAATACAGGCGTGAGCCACGGCACTCGGCCCCAAAACAATTTTTTATAGTTCAGCTTTTTTTTGAACTATTTTTTGGAATTTGAAGCAAATTCCAAACCTCATAGCATTTCTTCCATAATAGTTCAGTATATATATTTAAAAGATAAGTGCTCTGTAAAAATACCATGATGTCATTACTGTACCTGAAAAAGTTCACAGTAATTTCTCAATATCAGTGAATATCCAGCCAGTGGTCAGAGTTTCAGTTGTTTCATACATGTTATAACATTCGTGTAGTTTGTTACTTAAATTAAGACCCATATAAAATCCACATGTGATTTTTGAATGTCTTTTAAGTATTTTTTAAGGATATATGTTTCTCCTATATTACCTCTTAAAACATTTTTTTTTTTTTACAATTGAACAAACCTAGTTGTTAGCCATATCGTTTCTCACAGTTTTTTTTTTCGTTTTTTTTTTTTTTTGTTTTTTTTTTGAGACAAGGTCTTACTCTGTCACCCAGGCTGGAGTGAAGTGACGCGATCATAGCTCACTGCAGCCCCAACCTCCCGGGCTCAGGTGATCCTCCCGCCTCAGCCTCCCTCTAGTAGTTGGGTCTACAGGTGTGTGCCACCAAGCATGGATAATTTAAAAAAATTTTCTTTTATAGAGGTGAGGTTTCATTCTGTTGCCCAGGCTGGTCTCAAACTCCTGGCCTCAAGTAATCCTCTTGCCTCGGCTTCCCAAAATGTTGGAATTACAAGTGTGAGCCTGGCTGAGTTTGTATTTTTAAGGCCTACGTTTTGATTCATGTTATTTAGTCAGAAAAGCACAGCTTTCTCACACATGTGTGAGAATTTGCTACAATTTCAAGTGTGACTGAATCGTATTTACTACTCTTTTCCCATTATCTAGCTCAGTGCCTGGCCCAGAACAGATCACTAATACGTATTTGATAACTGAATAGATGCATCCGCATTTGTTGACTAAATAGATGTATAAATAAGTAGGATATGTGGGGTGGGAGTGAGGGGTTTTCCATTAGGATGCAGATTTAATTTCATAATCGCAGTTAATGGAGAAATAAGAACGGAGTAACAGATGTTGCCTTTTCAACACACTTTGCTCACATGTACCCACTGTATTCCATCGAACGCCAGATGCCAATGATGCTAAGATGCACTGTTATTTTATGTATCTCTTAGAAAAACTGCTTGCAATGAAACCATGACACGTAATGGATTGAAAGGCATGTCCTCTTTCAGGGATGTGGCAATGCGAGGAAATGTACATCTTAGTAGTTCATGCCATGTGGTGGTCCCGTTTGTCTGGGATCTCTACAGCCACATGGGCACTGGTGGTGTCTTCACATGGCCCTGAAATGAGCAAGTTGTGGAAGGCACGGTCCTGGGTGGGCTTGACCATCCTGGCCCAGGGAAGTAAGTGAGAGATCCCGTTAGGTGCAGCCGTGTGGGTCAAGAGCCACCTCAGCCAAGTGTGTTTTATGAAATCCTTGTGCCGTGAAGATATGATTCATACCTGAAACTTTTTTCTTGAAAGGACCTGATTCCTTCAGCGGAAGGCAGGTGATTCATTAGGCCTAAACACAGCCTTACTTTTGAATTTAGATCTACTTGCATTGTGCTTTCCAGTGTAGCAGGGAAGCTCAGAAGAGGCCAGTGGGCTTCCCGAGTTCTGTGCTTCCTGGCTGTTCAAGCTATTGTGTGGACTCAGTGTCTCTGTAGAGTGTTTGAAAAGTGAACTCCCTAGGGCGTCTGGAATTGGAAAGTCAGAGGACAATTACTAGCTATTAATATATTACTTTTTAATTGTGTATCAAAACACCCAAGCACTGAGTTAATATATCCTGTGCAAATATACTAAACCTACTTAGTCTATCCAAATATGTAACTGGATACACTACGTAGGTTTCTTCTACTGAGGAAATTTGTCTTTCATATGGTAACTAGGTATGAATATTTGCTGTTGAAGCAAGCTTTTCCCAATCTTCAAGTTGAAGTTTTAATTAGCAAACAATGTTTACAACATGTAGGCCAAGTATTAGAATTTTCTTGGGGTCACTCATGATTTATCTCCATGCTATATGTCCCCCAACAAATAGTCTCCCCAAGACTGGAACACCCAAGGCCCATTGGCCATGTGGCAGGTGCAGAAACGGCCTCAGCATCCTCTGACATTTCGCTTTGTGAGCATATCCCTACAAACTCAGTCAGCCATGTTTTCCTTGAGCTAAGCCCCACCTGTGCGGCGGTAACTGGTTATCTAAGGAAATAAGAACAAGAAAAACAGCTGGGTACAGTGGTACATGCCTGTCCCAGCTACTCAGGAGGCTGAGGTGTAGGAGGATGGCTTGAGCCCAGGAGTTTGAGGCTGCAGTGAGCCGTGATTGCACCACTGCGCTCCAGCCTGGGCAACAGAGCAGGACCCCTTCCCCACCTCAAAAAAGAAAGAAAAACAATAATGAGAAATCCTGGATTCTACATCATCAGTGCATGTATATGTTTCAGAAAATATCATGGAACGGTTTGCTCTGAGACTTCAGACAAGGCCAAGAACAGTAAGAATAGAAGTAGTTAAAACAGAGGGGTGCTAGTTGATATTTTTGAGCTGATTCCAAGTTCCCAGCTATGATTTTTGTCTCACTGAGTTCTCCCTGTGATGGGCAGGTCATTTCCCTTTTATACATTTAGGAAATGGGTGCACAGAGAAGCTGATTCATTTTCCCAAGGCTGCATTGCTTTACAGAGCTGAGATTTGAATCCAAGTTTGTCCACCGGGTGCCTCGTAGCCTTTGGGGCCTAAGCCAGGCCTTGAGGGGTGGACAGGGTCAAACTGGTCCTTCCGCAGCACTAGGGGCATCAGGAATGAAGGCCTGGAGATTACAGTTGGTTTGTCTTTCCTGGATGAGACAGGAAACTGGCTTAATTAGAGCAGGAGTTTGTGTGAGAGGGCAATGGGAAATACAGGCATGTAGGTGGGGCGAATAGAAATGGGTACTTCCTGCTTCGGAGGGTTGTTTGCAGCTGAAACATACATGCTTGAAACTGTAAAGTGCTTCCGGATCAAAGTGTTAGTGTTATGAAGGAGACAGAATTGGGAAGGGCTGCCAAAGTCGCTTGGAAAAGATTAGGCCTGGTCTGTATTCGTTCTGAGCACAGACCTATGGGTAGAAGTTACAGAAAAGCAGATAGGGGTTCGGCTGCTCTTTCTCATAGAGCTGTTGGCTCTAACAGTGACCTGAGCTGGATTAAAACACAGCACACTCCCTGGCAGGGCTGCTACTGGAGTGATCCCTTCACTAGTTGGAAGAGGTCTTCAGTTTTTAAACTTTAATCAAATGAAAGCACACACCAGCAACTCACTTGAAAAACAGATAAGATGAGAGATGCCCTGGGTGAAGCAGGTTATCAGGCTTATTCTGCCTGCCCGGGATCCTCCCTTCCCATGTGGTAGCTCAGAACGGGAGCTCCGAACCCAGTTGGAAGAGCTTGAGGGACAGTTTTACGGAATGAGACACAGTTGAACTCCTTGTAGCACACTTAGAGCAGGCGGGAATTGATATGTAAGGGAGGCCTTTCTCACCGGGATGGGAAGGAGTGGGAGGCAGGAGAGACTGCTGTGGAAAGGCAGTAGCTGGTGCCACTGGCATGGAGGGAGGAGACATTTCTCCAGAAAGTGGAAGAGGGTACGGAGGATGCAGATAAGAGCGGCCTAAAGAGGAGGCCCCGGCGTTTTGCACCTTCAGAAGCGAGTGTTGGGAATGCAGGTCGTTTTGTGGAGAGGGTGTTTCGCTTTGGACATGCTGCCTTTGAAGTGACAGAGAGCCCTGAAGGTAAATGCCAGCTAGAAAGTTGGAGGGTACAGCACTTGAGTGAGTGCCCAACGGGCAGATGTGTGGTCATTTACTTGAGAATGGCGTTGGTAGCTTTGGAAACTGATGCCTTCTCTAAGAGATGCAGACAAAGGCCCGCAGAGAAGATGCAGAGAAAAGTGAGCTAAGGGAAAAAGTCAAGAGGGAAGCTGCAGTGAGAGAAGGGAGGAAGAGAATGACGATGGCCTCATTCCAAGCAAGGAGCAGAAGGAAGGTGGTTCTGGGACCGGGCAGGAGGCCCCAGCCTGTCTTACGAGAGCTTCTGTTGTCAGTGGCATTGCGCCTCTGTGCTGGGTGTGTGCACTCGCCAAGGTCCAGTTCCCTGACCTGCTTGTGAAGTCCAGCTGTCAGCCTACACGTTCTGTTAGCAGAGACTTAGAGATGTCCTTAAATTTGATGTCCTTAAATCTGGCTTCAAAGAGACTGGCTTTGCACAGATGAGTTAGAGCATTTTGGAAGGTGGGAGGTGGGCTGGAGGCCCATTAAATGGGACTTCAGGGACAAGGGGCATTAGCACAGGGTTGAGACAGCATGGGCTCGGAGCAGAGGGGAGTCCCTCTGCTGTCCTCTAACTCTGGTCTGTCCCCAAGCCCATTCAGCAAGTGTAGCTTCAAGACCAGCTAAAGGTGTATTATTTTACAGGTCTAAAGAAGTGTGCTCCTGCCCCTGAACTCTCTCTTGTGCCAGTTTGCTTTTGCTTAAAATCCCTTAAACCAGAGACCAAACCTTGGATTCTGTAATTATAGCAAAGGTTCTTGAGCGTCAATGTTTGGCGGAGTTCATGCACCCACGTAGATCAATCCTTGGATTCTACAATTAGAGCAAAGATTTTTGAACATAAATGTTTGCTGGAGTTCATGCACCGTGGAGAAGTCTGGACCCAAGCAGAGTCTTTTTTTTTTTTTTTTTTTTTTTTAATCTTTGGAGCAAGGGGAGAAAATTAAAAGCCAAGAAAGCTATGGGTTACTTGATTTACAGAAGAGTCTCTATCTAAAGTGAGAAAGGGAGCAGACAGAGGGGATGTGAATCCTGACCAGGATTAACCGGGCCAGGTTATGGTGCAGCAAAGCAGGAGTTGAGCCAGGGCAGGAGTGGGGCATCGGGGGTCCAGGAGAGGCTTCGGGCGAAGAGTGTTCAGGGCCTGCAGGATCTCTGTGTTTATTTTACATAGAGAACTCCACACCCCTTTTCTTCATTTGAGATCCTTGGATTTTTAATATACCTTAGATTTAGATATTCCTACTTCTAATCATTTCAAAAATTGTGACCCAGTTTAGTGAAGATCCTTCTCTCCTGGGCCTGTTCTGCACCCTGGATGGAGGTGTTTCGGGAGGTGCTGGCTCCGTTTTACTGTGCCATTGACTGTACTGTCTGTCCAGAGTGACGGTGTCAGTGAGATGATTGGCACTGATGGCTCTGAAATGACAGGGTTTCTTTTGAAGTGGGGTGAGGGGAGTAACACAGTGTTTGGAATAGTCTCTCCTAGCCTCCATCGGTGGAATATATGATGCCATTATAGAAGTGGTCAGTGCAGGATACAGGGTAAGAATGGAGAGAGTAGAAGGCTGGGCATGGTGGCTCATGCCTGTAATCCCAGCACTTTGGGAGGCCGAGGTGGGCAGATCACCTGAGGTCAGGGGTTCGAGACCAGCCTGGCCAACATGGTGAAACCCCATCTCTACTAAAAATACAAAAAATTAGCCCGGCATGGTGGCAGGCACCTGTAATCCCAGCTACTTGGGAGGCTGAGGCAGGAGAATCTCTTGAACCCGGGAGGTGGAGGTTGCAGTGAGCCAAGATCACGCCATTGCACTCTAGCCTGGGTGATAGTGTGACACCCCATGTCAAAAAAAAAAAAAAAAGTGTGGAGAGAGAGTAGAACAGTGTTCAAAAGAGTGTCTCAGTCTCCGCTGGAATTAGGGCAGGATACAAGGGCTTCTTAAGACAGAAAGCTCCTGGAATTGAACCATATTTCGTGACCAAAGACAGAGTTCAGTTCCGGTGTCTCTGCAGGCTAAAAGTAGCGTGATCTTGGAAAATTAATTTAGTCTCTGAGTCATCGTTTTCTCAAGTGATAAAAGTATCACTTGTCACTAATTAAACTGTAGATCATGTGTAACACTTAGAGGTCTTCAATGGAGAAATCAGAATTAATTTAGCTTTTTAAATATATGCAAGCCTGACTGCCTCATTACTTTTATAAGAAACCTAGAAACAGAATGACTAAAAAAATAAGGTCAGACAGCAAAGGAAGCCCATACAAATGAGCAGTTCTCTTGTAACTTCTTCAGAGGCCTGTGCTTAGTTCTTTTTGAGGGAGTTGAAGAGATGGAGGTGGACTAGTGAAAGGTGGGGCATGACTCGGGGTGGGGAAACTGACCAGGGGTCATTGAGGACGCCATTGAGAAAGGAGGCTGCTGTTGGAGAGATGGAGAATTGCAGCAGTGTCAGACAGTTCAGGCCGCCATGGAGGGATAGCATGGTCCATCAGAGGTCAGCATATGGGGCTGGGGGAAGGGATTTGAGAAAAGGCCATTGGATTTGGGAGAGCACAGTTTTGTTGGTGACCTTTGGTAATGGTGAGTGCTTATTTACTAGTAAGTGCCATGTACGTAGTTAGCTCATTTAATCTTCACCTTATCCCTATGACGTGGGTCCTATTATTGTCCTCAGTTTACAACTGTCCGCAGTGCCCTAGGGTGGCTTACAGAGGTTAAATAAGGAGCTGCAACCAGTGAGGAGTGGAGGTGCCAGGCTTTGCTCCAGGCCCTTCTGATTCCAAAGCCCGAGCTCTCAAGACCCTTCTGGGAGCTTGATTCTGCAGGTGGAGAGGAAGCGAGACCACAGGAACTAATGGGGGCCCAGGTGGAGAGGCGAAGTCCGGAAAGGCAGACAGCGGGTCGGAAGTTTGGTTGTGAAGGAAGGGAAAACCTGCTGACTCACCCAGGTCACAGGCAAGTGGGTTTTTTTTGTTTTTTGTTTTTTGTTTTCAGAAGGGGCAGACTTTTTTTTTTTTTGTCTTTAAGAATCAGGCTCTCGCTCTGTCACCCAGGCTGGAGTGCAGTGACATGATCATAGCTCATTGCATCCTTGAACTCCCGGGCTCAGGAGAGCCTCCCAACACCGCAGCCTCCCAAGTATCCAGGACAAGAGGCGTGCACCACCACACCCGGCTAATGCTTTCATTTTTTGTAGAGACAGGGTCTTGCTATGTTGCCCAGGCTGGTCTCGAACTCCTGGGCTGAAACGATCCTGCAGCCTCAGCCTCCCAAAGTGCTGAGATTCCAGGGTGAGCCACCGTGCTTGGCCCAAGAAAAGGCAGACTTCTTATTTAGAACTTGTAAGAGAGAAGAGTGCAAGATGCTGGGGGAGAAAGGAGTAAAAATCGTGCCTGGTAGGGATGGATATTCTGGGCCTGCCCTTACGCTGGACCTTCGGGACATCTGGTAAACCAGGCAGTGTATGGTTTGTTTAAAAACCGAGCTATACAGTGGAGTGATGCCTTTGAAGTCATGTTATTAAGGTGGGAGTTTGCCAGGTGGGATTATGAAGGAGGAGGTTATTTCCCCTCCTTCCGTTAGTGACTTTTTGAGGATTTTGGGGGGATTGATTCCAAGTAGTGTATAAATAAGCTGATGAGAACACCCACCATGTTTCAGAGCCGACCACTGTTGACTTTTCCAAGCACAGTCACGTCTACTTGCATGATCCTCTGCTTCCAGTCCTGTGTTCCTTCTGCTCTCTACCCTCTTCCGCTTTGGATTCCTTGGGTGTTGTCCTGTGTGGCTTTTGTCTGACTTGATTGCTATCGTAGCAGCAGATGCAAACTTACCTTGAGAGCTGAACGTCCACAGGCACCTCAGGGCTGGCTTTTGCAGAGCTGTTTAGTACAAGGGAGTGGAGGGTTCTGGTGCACTTGAAAAAAAAGCACACATTTAGAGCTCCAATAAGGGAAAGGAATTTGTTCTCATTATTTCATTAGTGTGCACGTGCAGAATTCTTGGGCTGGATGAGATATTCAGCCACCTGAAGGGCATTTATGTAAAGCCCATGGTGTGGGGTTGCCCGGCTGGACTCAGGCCAGGGTGATCAGCCAGCCATCCAATGCAGGGCCTCAGGTGGCCAGAGGCCATGGCAAAACTTATCTGCAGAGAATTCATCTACAATGTCCTCTGGGCTCCTGTTCTTGGGCCAGTCACTGAGGCAGAGCTTTTCCTAAGAAATAATTATGAAAGAGGTAGCATGATTCCTCCCTGGTGAAAGCCAGGCATTGATTCTTTTGAGCACCCCCTCAGAGGAGGAGAGTGTAGAATCCACGCAGTGCAGCATTTTACAGAGACAATGATGCAGCTCTGCGTAGCCCCAAAGCTATTGTCTGCAGGTGGAAGCATTTCCTAAAGGCAAGCCAGATGGGCCGGTACCGTTTCCTTGAAGGAAAATGGAAGGAGCTGAATACCCAGCAGTGCACCCTGGGCAGAAATGTGCTTTAAAACAGGCCAGTTTAAAGAAGCAGGGGATGAATGTATTCGGCAGCTGAACATGAATGACCCTAGCATTAAAGAAAGTAGGCAGAGGGTAGAATTTCAGCTAAGAGAAGGGAGGGGAAAGGAAGTGTTCTCAATTCTTTTTTCTTTTCTTCTTCCTAGCAAGAACCAGTTGAGTCATCTCTGGGGCTTAGTAATGGAGTAAGTGATCTTTCTCCTGAGTATGCGGTCCTGACTTCAACTATAAAAAATGAAGTGGATAGTACGGTGAACATCATAGGTAAACTGTTTTGACGTCTCATTTTTTATACATACCAGCAGCCCCCTGGGGCCTAAAATTTGTAAAACAGAGAACTTCAAATAACATAGTCAGTGGGAGGAGGTCTTGGAATCATCTCAGAATGCAAGTTCCAGCCCCCAGATTTCAAGGCTGAGAAACGAAGGCTTTTGAGGATCAGATAAAGGAACTTAGACGGGTCAGCCTCCGTGGAAGAAGGCTGGGGTGACCTCCCAGGAAAAATGTTTGTTTCCCGGCGGCTCGTGGCTAGCGATCCCAGTCTTTCACTATTTGGTTCACGTGGGCAAAAGAGTATTTATTTAACTCGGGAACCAAGGAGAGGGAAGATGGTCCTCGCGAGTCCTCTCAGCAACTGCTTCCTGGCAGACAGAGAAACTGAGGCACAGAGACATGTTGCCAAAGGGCCCACTCTGATTCAGCAGATATTTTTGAGCACCTTCTGTATATCAGACTCAGTACTAGGAGCAGGAAATAGATGGAGGAGGCCCAATTTCTTTTCTCATGGAGGGACAGAGATAGTAAACAAAGACACCCCCAGATAACTGCAGTGTTACCATGTGTGGTAAATACTGCAAAAGAAAAGAAAGGCGAGAGAAAAATCAAGGCACCAAATTTAGATTGGAGGTCTCAGAGGAGCAGTGTTTTCCCTCCTTCGTAACAGTTGAACAACTTCCAGATGTAGCTAGCTGCACCCCCTGTAAAGATGCAGGCTCTTTACAATGAAGACACATCTTCTGATGTTCCTTCTCTCCTGTATGGCCAGATGCACAGGAATAGTGCCCAAAAGACCTCAGCCTGCTTTCCCTTTAAGGGGAAGGAGAAGAAAAAACTCCTTTTTATTTTTACTTTCTTTCAGCATTGAATTTTTGTTGTGTGTATGGTGACTTCTGTTTTTGGGAAACGGAAGAAGCCAGCAGCATGCTGAATTGTCCTGACAGGCCTCCGCTGGCCTCTTGCCGAGGTTAGCAGTGCTTTTTTTGTATTTAAACCATCTCCCGGGCAGTGTAAAAAGTTTGCAGGTGCGGACATTCTGTCTGACTGGTCTCGGCAGTGCTCTATAACCCTGTTGTGTTTCTTGATAAAACACAGCCCCACCCTTTAATAAAGCAAAGATTGCTATGAAACCAGAGAGTCTATTCATTACTGTGGAGTAACTAGAGCAGTCTGTAGTGACTAGACATACGGCAATTAGGAAGTCATGGAGTTGGGATTTTTGTCTTAATTTTGGCTGCTCAAAGTGCCCCCTGTAGGATATTCTTTTTTCGGGAATTGTTTCCAAACTTGCCTGTCTTTATCTATGGTGAAACTCAAGCCGCTTTTTAAGGCAAGCCTGCAAACCCAAGTATCAACATGGGCTCCTGAAGGCACAGGAGAGCAGATTCACAGCTTACTGACCAGTGTTAGGGTCCCCACGAGGGCCACCCATTTGAACTCAAGGTTGGCAGACTCTGGCCCCAGCACTTGCCGTGGTTTCAGGATGGCCAGCGGTGACACAGGGCTATGGAACCCTGGGTCTTCATCTCTTCCCATATCCTTTGTTTCACCTTCTTTTTGCCATATTTTATTGTGCTTCAGATAGAAATTTTATTTATAAGATAAAAAGTAGCTCTGAGGCTGGGCGCGGTGGCTCATGCCTGTAATCCCAGCACTTTGGGAGGCCGAGGTGGGTGGTTCACGAGCTCAGCAGATCAAGACCATCCTGGCCAATATGGTGAAACCCTGTCTCTACTAAAAATACAAAAATTAGCTGGGCGTGGTGGCAGGTGCCTGTAGTCCCAGCTACTCAGGAGGCTGAGGCAGGAGAATCGATTGAACCCAGGAGGCGGAGGTTGCAGTGAGCCAAGATGGCACCACTGCGCTCCAGCCTGGGTGACAGAGGGAGACTGCCTCAAAAAAAAAAAAAAAAAGATAAAAAGTAGCTCTGGGTGAGTCTTTAGATGGAAGGCACCACCTCTTAGGAGATCACCCATGCTGTCAGCTGTGCCCATGCCTTCTTCCTGGAAGCTGAGTTGTTCACCCCTTAGGAGAAGGGGCCTGAGACAAGGCATTCGATTTTATCCACACCCCTAGAATGCTCTTAGCAAGATGAAACTCCATATGAGATGTGAACCCTTACATCGCAATATGCCCAGACACAGAACCCACAACAACATACTTTATTCTTGGCTGTATTGGACCTGGAGCACCTGGGCACTGAGGTGAGACTGTGGGGCCACTCCTCAGTCACCAGGTGCCAACCGAGAGACCTGGGCAGTGGAGTTGGGCTGCTGTGTTTTCAGCCTTAAGAAGTTTTTATTTACTCAAGAAAGCTGTCATCTTTGTGTGAGGCTATATATTATTTTCTCCTTCCCTCTCTCCCTGGCTGCCGCTGCCTCGTTTATAATTAGCTGTCAGCTCCTCCTATCTTCCCTCACCGTACTTCTCAAGTCCATCCCCTTGTTTCTGACACTGTGTGTGGGCCTGCCTTGGCTGTCACCTGGGCTCTGCTTCCATTCTGCTCCCCATTTCTTCTTCTCACAAAATAAAGAATGCCAGTGTCATCATGTCACCACTGCCCCTAAGAGAAGGAGCTGAGTTCCCCCAGGTCCCCGGGGTCTGGCATGATCTAGGCCCTGCCCACTGCTTTCATACCTGTCTTTGAACTTGAATTACTCTGAACGAGTTAAGCTCCCTGTGGCTGCTCATAGAGACAGTGAGGTTGGTGGTGGGTCTCCTTATGGTGGAGCAGCTGCAAAGGCTTTGTCCACAGGGCACAGTGAGGGGTGGACACGTGGCAGTTCCAGCAGGAGGTATAGCTCCAGCCCAACACGTCTCATCCACACTTCCGCTCCCAGATCATTGACCCTTGAGACACTGGTTACCTCTACTGAGTTTTGTTTTGTTTTGTTTTGTTTTTGAGACCGAGTTTCACTCTGTTGCCCAGGCTGGAGTGCAGTGGCACAATCTCGGCTCACTGCAACCTCCGCCTCCTGGGTTCAAGCGATTCTCCTGCCTCAGCCTCCCAAGTAGCTGGGATTACAGGGATGCGCCACCATGCCTGGGTAATTTTTTTTGTATTTAGTAGAGATGGAGTTTCACCATGTTGGTCAGGCTGGTCTTGAACTGCTGACCTCAAATGATCCACCTACCTCGGTCTCCCAAAGTGCTGGGATTACAGGTGTGAGCCACCGCGCCTGGCCTCTACTGAGTTTTTACTGGGATACATCCTGTGCTTCCCTTCGTGTAGTAGCCTGAGATGCTGTTTTCTCACGGGGTGCAAGGTGCACGCTGCCCTGTCCCACTCTTGCCTCCTCCTGCACTCTGTCACCCTGGTGAGGTGTATGCAGCCTGTAGTCAGGGACAGCCTGGCCCAGGCACCTACAGATCCCTGTCTCGGAGTCACCGGCCCCGCGGTGATCTTCTCTCCCACCATGGCTCTCGAGTGCCTAAACCAAATCATGGCTGTATTTTATACCGAAAGAGCACGAGATTAGAAGTCAAAAGGCGTGGGTTCTAGACCTGCTTCTGAAGTTTTTTATTTACCATGTGATTTTGGGCAAACTCCTTAATCTTTTGAAATTCAATTTCTATATAGATTGGAAACAATATATAATTATTTATAAAATGGAAATATTTAAAATTATATAGAAAATGGAAATAATCGTACTGATCCTGCCCATCTCGCAGAGTTATTGTGAGGATGAAGTGAAATGTACAGATAAATCACTCTGGGGCTAGAAGGGGGTAAAATGATATGATTATCATATTACCAAAATCATATTAAAATATATTTGATTAAGAAAAGTAGCCTCCATCTGTGCCATGTCATCAAGGCTGGTGTGAAGTTTAACTCCTGAAACTTTCAGAGGGGTCAGGGGAAATTTCCCTGCATGATGCTCTGCTGATGGCCTGATTTTTTATGCCTGCTAGTAAGTTTCATTCTTGACTCTGCAGCTACCTGGGTGACCTTAGCAATTTACCTGAGCTCTGGGTTTCAGCTTTTTTCAACTGTAAAATGGTAGGACCAAACCACCTCCAAGGACCCCTCTGTTTCTAATAATCTGCTTTTAAGCACTTTCTCTGAGGCATGGGAGCAAGTTGCTTTCTCAGGTGGAGACCTACATTAAGTCAACAATTGCTAATAAAGTGAGAATGACCTTTTAAAGAAGCAAACCGGTTCATCAGTAACCAGCCATAAATAATATTGTTATAATTCTCAGCAACTAGATTCAGATAAAATTGCATTCCTGTGGGTGACTCTTTTCAGATGTGCTGACTTTAATAAACTGGAGAAACTTAGTGGATTTCTAGTTCTTCTGTTTGAGAATTTCCCTGGCACACAATAGATAACTGTTGAAAAGAAATGTCACTATTAGTTCTGAGCCTGGAGACTCACTAAGGTGAGATTCAAAAGTTTTTATCCTGAGAGGGGCTAAGAAAGCCCTCAGTAACTCAGTTTGGACTTCATTAACTCTCTCTGTTAGGGAGAGCATATTATAAAGAGTTGAAATTTGGAGTTGGGTAAGGCTAACATTGAATCCCGGTTCTGCTGCTGATTGTCTGTCTGACCTTGAATTAGTCATGTAGTTCTGTCTTGTATGGTTGTTTCAGCATGTCTAGAATGGGGATCACTATTGTGCCTTCCTCATGGGTTGTGAGGTCTTGGGAGGTGGTAGGGAGAGGCAAAGATCAGTGCTCAGAAAGACAGGTTTTGTCATTATTCAGTCAGGACACTCTTTGGTACCCAGAGGAGTGCCACTTCTGACTGTTTACTGTAGCAGGTAAGTTTGTTATTCCTGTCTTTTCACCTGTCAGGAGTCAGTGTTGCTGTCTGTTTTGCCGCTTGGTGGTCCAGGGAAATCAGTTCACATGTCGAGAGAGAGAGAGAGAAACAGATAGAGACTGGTTAGTGAGAGTGTTGATGCTCATCTGAGAGCATTTCGATATTGGGATTTCCCTGCTTCTCTCATGGGCTTTCACTCGAGAGCTGGAAAGTTTCTAAAGTACCCACGATGTCTGGATGGAGAGAAGCCATTGTCCCTTACCAGGGCATAAAGCAACACACTCCTATGGGGGAATTTGGCCTGAGAGATAACGTAATTATATTAACTTGGTATCCAGATCATAGCCCAGAAAACAGACTGACTTTTCTCTCCTGGTCAGCCGCATTCAGGATACACCTAAAATCTGCATGGACGTGCTTATCTACTTTTTTCCCCAAGTCATGTATATTAAGTGAAATACGGTAAAATTCACCCCTTTTAAGGCACACGGTCCTATAAATGTTGACAGACGCACTCAGTGATGTAACTACCACCATAGTCAAGACAGAACATTTTCATCACCCCAACACGTTTCCTCCCTGGCCCCAGCCCTCGCACCCACAGCCGGCTGTCTTTATCACTTCCCAAAGGTTTCAAGAGTCCACTTGTCAGAAGTCTTGACATTTTTCTAGAAAACATTAATTGTCACGTCCCGTATTTGCAGATTGTCACAATCCCCTGCAGGACTCCACTCTGGCTCCAGTCAGTGAGCCTCGGCCCCATCACATGTCCATTTATTCAGGGGAGAGTCCCTGAGCGCCTCTCCGGTGGGAGTTGTGAGCATGTGTCATGACTGGACACAAAAAGTTCATACTTTGGTTGAGGAGAGATGCCATTGACCAACTCAAAGCTCCATACGGGTATATAGCGTTAACCAGCAACTTGAGGTCAGAAGTGTCACAAGGTCGCGGCCCATCGTAGTTTCGGCCGAGTGACGGGGACAGTGAGTGAGAGGCACCCAGGGGAGAGAGGCCAGTCTGTGCTGGCGGGTCAGGAAGGGGCTCCAGAAGTCAGGGGCATGGTGAATGCTGCCTGTTGCTCAACCCCCACTCCTGTGCCACTACCTCATTGAAGCCTTTGATTCCTCAAACTGGAAAAAACACCCCACTTCTCTAGCTTCCATTGTATGGCCCCCTTCTTTTTCTTTTCTTTCTTTTCAGTGCTCACGGCCTTAAACTGACTCTCTAGATGGTTAGTCGCTGGCCTATAGCCATGTATATGAACTTCTTACAAACCGGATCCTTGACTGCATCGATCTTCCGCTGCTCCTTCTAGCCCTGGGAGGCTGGGAGGTGCAAGCAGGTGTTCCATAAATCTCTGTTAGTTGAATAACCGACTAGGACGTCATGGGGAGAAGCAGTGAGAGAAAGAATTCCTGGTTGGAACAAAGGGATCTGACTAGGGGGATACTTGAGCTGCTGCCATTGTTTGTAGTCCCAGCTGGCTTGCCCTCTTTCTGTTAGGAGCAACGTGCAAAGGAGAGATGAGTTTTGAAATATTGGAAGTTAAAATGGCTTTGACTTAAGTCACATTTATCTAAGACCTTCACTGCCTTAGTATGCAAGGTATCGCTGCGCCCTCCCTCCTCAAACTCTCACACCCCATTTGGTTTCTACCTCCACCCACCAGCTGCTTCTTAGGACTTAGGATAGGGCAGGCCATTATCTTGTTTTCCTGCCATTTTATTTTACTTGGCTGGAAGAGGCAGAGGAAACTAGAGAGAGGTTGGTGTAGGTCAGCGTCAGTCTGTGTCTAGTGACCTGCATAATTGATGTCCTCACCCTCACGTAGGATAATCCAAAGGATGAAATAAATGGGCTTGGGAGTCTGCCTGCCATATATAGCCTGCCTGCCTTTTCTTTAATTTTATCCCCACCAGGAAAACCTAAACAGGATCCGGTTTCCCTTCCATTCTGTATGCTGTGGCTTTTGGACTCTTGTATCACAGCCCCAAATCCCCTTTCTGAGCCTCTTTTGTGCCTTTCCTTTCTTTATTAAAGAACCTATGAATTGCCACTGCCCTCTAAAACCTTCCCTGCGTAGAAATCAGATAATGTGCTTGTCACTCCACAGACAGCAATTAAAACAGGAACCTGTTTATAAACAAAAATACTTCAGAAAATAAAATACTTGGAGTGATTAAAACGAGCCTCTCCATGACGCCTGGCGTCTCAAGGAGACTGGAATGCGTTCTAACCTGAATACTTTGCCGATTGGTGAGAAAATGACTGCAACATAGAGCACCACATATACTCCAAGCTGTGCGAGTCTGGACAAGTCACTCTCCCTCTCTGTGCCTGAGTTTCTTCATCTATAACAGGATAACGATGCTTTCTCTGTCATCCTTATGGGTTAAAATGTTAAAATAACAGATACAGGTATGAGTAAAACGTTGATGATGGTGGCAAAGTGCTTTGAGGACCTTGGGAATTATTTCTTCACCTTTATTTATTGAAGCTAATTTTCAGGGACATTTCATCCAACTAACAGTGGTATGAGGTCAGTTTCATTCAAAATGAGGGCAGGACCTTAGGGACCTTCAAATTAAAATGGCCATGAAACATCATGACTTACCTATGAGAATGGCCAAAATAAATAAACAGTGATGACACGAAATGCTGCCGAGGCTGTGGAGAAATTTGATCACTCAGACACTGCTGGTGGGAATGTAAAATGGCACGGTCACTCCGGGAAGCAGTTTGGCAATTTTCTTGTAAAATTAAACATGAAATTACCATATGACTCAGCAATTGCATTCTTGGGCATTTATCCCAGAGAAATGGAAACTTATATTCATACAAAACCTGAACACAAACATCCATAGCAGCATTATTTGTAATAGTCAAAGGCTTGTAGCAACTCAGACATCCTTCAGAGGGGAGAATAAACACACTGGTACACCTATACCGTGGAATACTACTCGGCAATTGAAAAGGAACCGATGACTGATACACACAACAACTTGGGTGACTCTGCGGTGAATTATGCTGAGTAAAAAAAAAGCCAGCCCCAAAAGTCTACTGTATGAGTCCATTAATATAACATCCTTGAAATGAACAAATTAATGAAATGGGGAACAGATTAATAGTTGCCCAGGGGTCATGGACAAAGAGATGGATGGGGAGGTACTGAAGGAAGGTGGCTATGGTTACAAAGAGTAACGTGAGAGAGATTGGTCGTGATGGAACTGTTTGGTGTTTTGACAGTGGTGGTAGGTACATGAACCTTTATGTGTGATAAAATTGCACTTAGTCCTGGTGCAGGTACACACTCACACAAAAGAGTGCAAGTAAAACTGAGGAAATCGGAACAAGATGGGTGGATTGTTATTTATGTCAATACTCTGGTTGCGATATTGTATTCTAGCTTTGTAGCCTATAACCATTGGAAGAAGTTGAGTAAAAGGCACACAGGATCTCTCTGTATTATTTCTTACAACTGTATGTGAGTTTACAATGATCTCAAAATAAACAATATAAGAAAAATATTTGAGGCAGTTTTCAGAGCCAGGGTGGTCAGAATCCATCTTATCAGTGTTCCGGGGAGCTGATGCTACTAATGTTTGCCAGAATTGGAGATCTGACTCTATTCCATTGTGCTGATATTTCAGCCAGTTGGACATGTTGCCTGTAGAGCAGGAAGAGAGCTGGGAGCGTAAGCAGAGCGCCACCCAGCTAGATGGGGACCTTGGGCATTTATCCCAGAGAAATGGAAACTTATGTTCATACAAAACCTGAACACAAACATTCACACAGCTAGATGTGACACAATTGGGTAGATTTTCATGGCCCTTCCTCTTTAGTAAGGTTTGATAATGTCTCCCTGGATTGTAGAACCCAGAAAATAAGCACAGCGCCTTCTTTTGGAGCAAGAGCAGGGAGCAGAAATCGGTCAGGTTCAAAGTACTGTCATGTCTGGCCCTGGGGCTGGGGCTGGATGCCGCCTCTGGTCCTGTGGCCTCGGCTGTGACGGGGTTGACTGTGGAATTCTGCTGAGCTGGAAAGGACATGGCCACCGTGCGTGCCATTGGCAGGCATGCTGGAGATAGACCTGGGGAGCCAAGTGCTGGCCGGCTGCTCCCTGGGAGACATCACACCAGAGCTACAGAGCTCAGGCGTGTTCTTCAGCCCCATGGCAGGGGACAGATGGTGATGGGAGCCTGGCGACCTGGCTCTTTTGGGGAAGACTCTTTCTTGAGAAAGTGTGCTAGAATTGTGAGGTCAGCAGACTTTGCATGATGGCTGTCTTTTCTTTGAAGTTGTAGGACAGTCCCATCTGGACAGCAACATTGAGAATCAAGAGATTGTCACCAATCCGCCAGACATTTGCCAAGTTGTAGAGGTGACCACTGAGAGCGACGAGCAGCCGGTCAGCATGAGCGAGCTCTACCCTCTGCAGATCTCCCCCGTGTCTTCCTATGCAGGTAAGCGTCAGCGGGAGGCTCCGGGAGGCGTGGGAACCGGCCGCGCAGTCCTTTGGTCTAGGGTCACCCATCTCACCACCCCACGGAGCATCCCTCCTCTGTCCTAGGAGTTATTCTCCCTGGAGTTTTTCATACTTTAATTATCTTGATCAACATCTTCTTGGACACTTTTGTTCTCAGGTAGAGGACAGGATCACAGCATTTCTTTACTCAGTTGGCCATGACATTTTTTATTTATTTATTTATTTTTTTTTTTTTTGAGACAGAGTCTCGCTCTGTCTCCCAGGCTGGAGTGCAGTGGGATGATCTCGGCTCACTGTAACCTCCGCCTCCCAGGTTCAAGAGATTCTTCTGCCTCAGCCTCCTGAGTAGCTGGGATTACAGGCGCACACCACCATGCCAGCTAATTTTTGTATTTTTAGTAGAGACGGGGATTCACCATGTTGGCCAGGCTGGTCTCGAGCTCCTGACGTCAGGTGATCCGCCCACCTTGGCCTCCCAAAGTGCTGGAATTACAGGTGTGACCCACAGTGCCTGGCCTCCCATAACATTTTTATATATGGTTACAGATAAGATTTCTTTAGGGCAGTAGTTCATCAGAGTCTAATTTATTAGCCCAAGTTATTAGAAATTTGGCAGAGTGTTTTAATGGATTCTCAGTTTGAGCAGGCTGGATAGGACCTTAGAGATGATCTCTTCCTGTTCCTTCATTTCTGAAAGGGAAGGGGCTTGCGCAGGGTCGTACAGTCAGCAAGTGTTTGGGCCAGGACTTGACCTCAGCCTTCAGACCCCAAGCTCATTGCTAGATCCATTCCATCCACCAAGCGTACTTGTCCTTTCCACATATTTTCTCTTTCTTTTTATATCTAGTACAGGTTCTAATTAGGCCAGATGACTGAGCCATTTCCAATTCTCCAGGGACTTGGCTACATAATGACAGGAGTTGGCCCAGGCAGAGTCACAGGGGGAGGAACAGATCCAGTTGGTTCTTCCATTCTTCCAGAGTAAAAGGATGGCTCCTCTCGTTCGCCAACATTACTTCATCTTCTCCTCTCTTCCTGATGATCTCCATTGAATTTTGTGGAAATCAATTGTAATTAGGAAATATAAATTCTGAGTCAGTGTTACTGCTTGCAGATATTAAAAATAAAAAGCAGAGTCCCCATCCTGGGAAACTGCAGTTCAGCTCTAGCAAATAGTTCAGGGATTCTTCCCTGTGCTCTTTACACGCTGCCAAATGGGATGTCCTCCAGTAGGTGCCACCCCCAACACTGGCTCCGACCAGCGTTGGAATTAGAGTTGACTCAAAGGACTGTTGTTTGTGAATTATCAGCCACTAAGTCTAATCTCATTTTCCCTGAATGCCAACTTTCTTTTTTTTTTCACTTTTAAAAATTGTGGTAAAATACATTAACATAAAATTTACCATTTTAGCCATTTTTAGGTACACAGTTTAGTAGCATTCAGTGCATTAATGTTGTCGCAGCCATCACCAGCATCCACCTCCAGAACGTTTTTCATCTTGCGAAACTGAAACTCTGTCTGCATTAAACACTAAGTCCTCTTTTCCCTCCTCCACCCCAGCCCCTGGCAACCTCCTGCCTATTTTCTATCTCAGTGAATTTGGCTATTCTAGGTACCTCCTATGAGTGGAATCATAGTGCTTGTTGTTTTGTGACTGGCTTATTTCACTTAGCATAGGTCCTAGTGTGCATTTATGCTAGGAGCGTAAGTGGAATGTGAGAATAGACCTTGGCCACAGGAAGATTATAATCTGTCAAACAGGATAAGCTTGTCTTCGGTGCTTTATTCAGCAAATGCGTTTTGGACTCTTACACGTGCCAGTCCCTGTTTGGTCCTTGCCAGAGTGCAGTCACAAGAACTACTATGTTTTGCAAATTTATTGTGCCCTGGGAACCATGCTCAGTGCTTGGGTACAGTTGACTGTTGTTGTTGTTGTTTGTTGTTGTTGTTAATAGAAATAGGGTTCTGCCTTGCTGCCCAGGTTGGTCTAGAACTCCTGGGCTCAAGTGATCTGCTCGCCTCAGCCTCCCAAAGTGCTGGGATTACGGGCATGAGCTGCCATGCCTGGTATGATACAGTTGACTTGTTTAATTATAATTAGAGTAACCCTGTCAGCCTGGGTATCGTCATCATCCCGTTTTTAAAAGTGAGGAATCTGGCTGGGTGTGGTGGCTCACGTCTGTAATCCCTGCACTGGAAGGCTGAAGTGGGAGGATCACTTGAGCCCGGAAATTGGAGACCAGCCTGGGCAACATAGTGAGACCACACTTCTACAAAAAATAAAAAAAGTTAACCGGGTGTGGTGGCATGTGCCCGTAGTCCCAGCCACTTGGAAGGCTGAGGCAGGAGCATCCCCTTGAGCCCAGGAGTTCAAGGCTTCATTGAGCCCTGGTTGCACCATTGCACTCCAGCCTGGGTGACAGAGCGAGATCCTGTCTTAAAAAAAAAAAAAAAGAAAAAAAAATATATATATATGGATCTGCGGCTGGCGTGGGTAGAGCAGCGTGTCTGAGGGAGGAACGATTGGGAGCACAGCTAGAACCCATGAGCCGTTGATGCCAAAGGCCGGTCCTTAACGCCCGCCCTGTGTCGCTGCCCTGGACAGCGCACGGGCTCTGCCGTTCAGAACACAGCCACATCCCGTGATCTCATTTGATTTTCACAAGGACCCACCAAAGGAGGCAGAGCAGAATGTTTATGCCTAAATTTTACAGTAGAGCTAACCGAAGCGTGAAACACTCAGCCACTTTGCTTATATTTACATAGTTATGGCTAAAAACCCATGACTTTCTTCTATAGCCTGCTGCTGCAGGCATCGTTACACTCCATGTGGTTTTCTTTCTCTCTTCTTTTTTTAGGGGGTTGGAGCTTTAGAATAGACTTCTATGTTTATCTGTTGAGTAAGACTTTTCTGAGGTCTTCTTGGGGATTCTGGAAAGACCTCTTCTTGCTGTTCTGCCAGCAGTGGCATTTGCTCAAGCAAAAGATTCCGGAGAACAGCAGATCCATGCAGAGAGAAATGAACATTTCATTACTCTCTTCAGGACATTTGCATAGGTTTGAAAGGAAGGATTTCAGTGCCAGGATGGCAGTCAACAGGAGGTTTTGCTGGAGCCTGGCTTTTCAGCCTGGCCTTTGGTTCTTTCCGTTGTTTTCATTGTCTGGATTCTCCAGAACCTCGTGGAGGGAGGCTTACTGGTTGGAGGCAAAATGTTCCATCGCTGCTGATGTTCTAGAGCTCACAGTGGTGTAAAACATTTCCCTGCTACTGACTGTAGCTAATTTTAGTTCCTCCGTCAGAAATTGTATAACATGCTGTCAGGAAAGGCAGCTTTCTGCGTGTATTCACCTTTCTTGCTTTATGTTCTCCAGTAGAGTCGGCCATTTGCCTGTTTTTCATGATGGAGTTCCTTTGTTTGGGCTGTTCATCTGAATTTCAATCTCCTCTGACCACCTTTTTTTTTTTTTTTTTTTTTTTGAGACGGAGTCTCGCTCTGTCGCCCAGGCTGGAGTGCAGTGGTGCGATCTCGGCTCACTGCAAGCTCCACCTCCCGGGTTCACGCCATTCTCCTGCCTCAGCCTCCCGAGTAGCTGGGACTACAGGCACCCACAACCAAGCCCGGCTAATTTTTTTTGTATTTTTAGTAGAGACGGGGTTTCACCGTGTTAGCCAGGATGGTCTCGATCTCCTGACCTCGTGATCCACCCGCTTCGGCCTCCCAAAGTGCTGGGATTCCAGGCGTGAGCCACCGCGCCCGGCATGCTCTGACCACCTTTATTCATCTGTTTGGGAAACTGGTATTTGGAGGCTGCTGTTTGCTAGTTTTTCCCCCTACTGATCGTTGAATCATAATCCCAGTAGTATATTACAAAACCACATTCAGTTTTGCAAGTCTGTCTTCTCCTCTGTGGTCTAAATATTATGATGAGAAAGAGAAGAGATAGTACTTGCGTTGGATGTTTTAAGACAACATAAAATTCTAGTGTGATTTGTGAAACTTTCATACTAGGGAGGGACATTTCAAAGTGCCACTTTGGGAAGCTCTGGCGGAGAGACATGTCATGTTTAAAGGTGCATTACAAAGTGACCCCTTGCCTGATCTGTGGCATCAGAATTTTATTAGGTGGTTGATGGTTTAGTAGAAGAAAACCACAGTAGAATAATGGGGTGGGGGAGGATGGGTAAGAGGGGCTGGAGAGTAGACTCGAGAAGAAAACATCATCTGAAGGACTCACTGGCTATAATGAGAGAGTGGAGATCGCCTGCTGACCAGCAGCCATCAGTAAAGGCTTTGAATCCTTCGGGAAACCACACCAGGCTTGCATTTTGTTGGGCAGAGCAAAGACACAATCGCTTTGAGATTAAGAGGATTCCGATTTGAAAATAATTTACTCCTGGTGAAAGTAATTGAGAATATGATCAATAGAAAGAAATTCAAATCAAACTTGCTGAACAAGAGCCTTCCAGAAAGTGTAGCAGAATGTCAGAGTGCAAAAAGCCTTTCAGGTGAAAATGCATCCTCTCCCTTCCCGCAGTGTTCCTGCTTAGACAATATGTATATCCTCAGCGAGGCGTTAAAAACTGGACTGGATAGAGAGTGAACCTACAACCAGTGTCACCCTAGAACTGGAAGAGCTTTTGAGATCATCTAATCCAAATCCTCCCCTTCCCTCCCACCCTAGATGCTTTCAGGAAAACTGAGACCAGAAAGGTTAAGTGAATTACTCATGTGCCTGTTGGTACTGTACGAACACCTTCAGCTTCTTCATTTGTTTGGAGTTGCTGGAGAAGCAACTCCAGACTTCTTTATTCCATTGTATTCGAAGTAAGTAATAAACAAAAAGCAAAAACAAATTCAAACTAATCAAAAGGGAAAATGAAATGACAACGTATGTTGATAGTTCGATAGTAACACTGATCTGGAGGCCCAGCTGCAGTCAGCTCCCTTGTGTAAGAAGTCAGCGTGGAAGTGGCAATGGTGGTCAAACCAAGGAAACAGAGGACACGGGGCGCAGTGCATCCAACAAAGCACTTGGAGCCACCGATTCTGGGGTCACAGAGAGAACTGCTCCCCTCAGGGGGAGGTTCAGGGTTCTCTGCTCCTAAGCTAAGGTACTGAAGGCCCCTTTTTGAAACTGTCAGTGTCCTAATAGGGCGCATCTTCCTGACGACTTCAGATGCTGTGGAACTTAATCTAGACACGACGCTCTTTAACTCGCATTTGTGTCAGCTGAAAACATAAGTTCGGAGCATGTGTATCTTTTCTTATCTGCAGCTATTTCCCCGAAGCTGAAAACTGGGTACTTAAAGGAAGTTAGCATCCCGGTCACATTCATGGGCGGTGCAAGGTCTTACCCGGGAGCCTTACCCCAGGATCTGACTTCCAGCCCCTCCTGCACCTGCGACTGGGGCTGTGCTGGAATCCCAGCCCCCAAAGCATGCTTGGTTGCGTATCTTTGTTTGTATTTGGAGGGGAAAGGAAAAGAAGACAGTGATATTTATGGAGAGTCATTAGGAGTGAAGAGCATCTGAACCCGTATGAAAGGAAGAGAAAGCTTGGCTTTGGAGCACAAAGAAAGCTAAGCATAAAATGGAAAGCGGATCTTGAAATGTTGTCAGAGACCAGAACACCAGGGAAGCAGGGCTGCTGTGTGCAGTGCACAGGCCCTGGAATCAGAAGTACAGTTTTGTTTTCTCTCCTCTGTGCTGTCTCAGTTGGCAACTTTGGCAAGTTTCTCAACATCTCTGTTCCTCATTTTTCTTCTTGGGAGTGGCTGTTCCGATTCCTGCCTCCTCAGGATACTGAGCCAGCACGAGGGTTCTCTGAGGAGGGGAATTTTCTTTTTCTGTTGGTTTTCATGTGTTTCTGCGTGGAAACAATTCTTGTGCTCGGCAACGTCAGCTCATCTTCATAGCTGGGATCGTCGTCAGCTGAGGCTGAGGGCTTCTCTGGGTCTCTGTGGCTCCCAGCACGGGGTGTTTTGGGGAAACATGCCCAGTCCGAGGAGTGGAGAGATCTGTCTTCTGCATGCTCATGGCCAGCCCACCGCGATCACTCAGGTTTGTGTGAAGTTACTGGAGAACAGTGGCTGAGAAACAGGCCCAGAGACTCCAGGCTGGGACCAGTGGAGTCCACATTCTTACTTTCCTTGTTTAAGGAATGCACCTGTGGCACAGTTTGTCCATTTGTTCTTTTGCCTTTAATTGATAGAGAGCCTGGTCTGGGGCTAATGCTCTCAGTGGAAGAAAGGGCTCTGTCTGGGCTGGAGCCATCTCATCCCAGCTCTGCCACCAGGAAGATGTGAGACAGAGGCCAGCCCCTCAGCAGGGACCGGGTGGAAAGCTGGAAGGCACTGGAGCATAAGAGCTCTTCTGCGTAACGGGGGATGAGAGCAGCTGCTTGCTGACGTGGGACCCCTGTGAGACCTGCATGCAAAGCCTCTGACATGGCACTGACCCATAGGGCTCCCTAAATGTTTGCTTCTTTTAGAACACGAGCTTCACTTTTGGATTTTCTTGTGTTGTGAAATATACGTCACCTAAAATTTACCATACTTTTGGGTATGGGGTTATTAAATTCAGCATTGGAACTAAATAGGAGGAAAGGCAGTTAAAGGTTGCCATCAGGAAGAGAAGCTATTGCAGTTACTCTTTAGGCCTTGTCTGTAAAACGAATGGCTCAGGCTAAGTGATCTCTAAATGCCTAAATATTGCACAGGCTCTGCCCTCTGTGATTGCATTTCTCAATGGTTATGGACACTGGAATAATCGCACACCATTGATATTTTATTTTACAAAATCAAAATGTTTTTACGTTTAAAAAGCTTTTTATAAGCATAGGTCATGTGTAATCACTAGACTTCGATTCCATTAATCCAGCCTGTTGTGCAAACCCAGTGTTAAGCAGTGCTGATGTATGGAGTGTGTGCTGTGTGCCAGGCCCTTGCTAGGCCTTTCCCATGTACCCTCTCACTCACTCTCCATGTAATCCTCTTAGATGGTGGCAGTGCCCTCATTTTACAGAGGAGAAAACTGCAGCTCAGTAAAGGTGAGAAACTTGCCCAGTGTCTCACAGCTGGCAGGCCAAATGGGGATGGCAACTGATTGGCTGCCATAGCCATGCAGCCACAAACTTAGTGGCTTGAAGCGACACACATTTGGATCTTACAGTTTCTTTGAGTCACGAATCCAGGCGTGGCTTAGCTGGGTCCTCTGCTGCAGAGTCTTGCAAACCTGCCATGGAGGTGTTGGCTACAGCTGCTGTCTCATCTGAGGCTCAACTGGGGAAGGGTCCATTTCCAAGCTCATGTGGTTTTGGCAAAATTAAGTTTCTTGCAGGTTGTTGGACTAAGGGCCTCAGTCTCTTGCTGGCTGTTGGCTGGAAGCAGTCCTTAGTTCTTTGCCATAGGAGCCTTCCCAACATGGTTGCTTGCTTTATCAAGGCCAGCAAGGCAGAGTGTTTCCTCTCCCAGCAGGTTTCTGAGTTATGTAACATGATCATGGACACAGGATCACATCCATTTCATCCCCTTTGCTGTATCTTATTTGTTAGAAGCAGACACATTCCATCCACACTCAAGGGAGGCAATCCCAAAGAAAGTGAATCCAAGGAGGTGAGGATCATGGGGAGCACCCCAGATCTGTCCACCTACAGTAACCCACATGGCAGATGCAACTCTAGAAATCCAGGATCTAAGTCCTAAAGGGGTGAGAGGTAAAGGAAGGATCTGAGTGGGATGGGGATAATGTAGGAAGACCTTTTGGAAACGGTCAACTCTGCACTGGGAATTAAATGAATTGGTTGGCATGGATTGAAAGACAGGACCCATGTGGGCATTGTGGACAGAGCTGCAGTGAGGAGGGCCCCAGGGACCAGCGCCCCTTCCTGGGAGGTAGTGCCCAGTGTATACACAGCCCGGCCCTGGCCAAGGGAGCCTCCTCACAGCTCTCAAGCCTGGTTTCTCCGAAGATTACAGAGTTGAAATTCACTCTAGCTTCTCCCATGTAGAATGTTTCGCTTTACAAAGGGAGGGAGGTGATGCGTTTAGTTACTCAGTCTCCTTTTTATAAACACTGCCTGAGCCTGGGGACAGCTTGAGGGACAGGAATGATGGCCCTGTGTTTTTCTCTCTGTGAACAGAAAGCGAAACGACTGATAGTGTGCCCAGCGATGAAGAGAGTGCCGAGGTAAGCCACTGCCCAGCCTGCCCACGATGCTGCCAAGGAAAAGCCTCCCGACCAGCTCCGGGCTTTCCTTGCTGCTGGTTATGCACCTTTCCTTTAGATCACAAGCTTCACTTTGGGATTTTCTTGTGTGGTGAAATATGCATCACCAGAATTTACCATACTTTTGGGTTTGGGGTTATAAAATTCGGCGTTGGAACTGAAAGGAGGAAAGGGAGTTAAATGTTACCATCAGGTAGAGAAGCTGTGATAGCAGGAAAAGGGAATTGAAGTGGAGGCTGGGAAATGCCGATGCTCTTACCACTTAAACATCCTACTTCACCGGCAAAAATAGAGCAGCCTTCCCAGCCAAAAGCAGTGACCAGTACACGTCACAAAATGCTAAGCAAAAGCCTCTTCCACGTGTGCGTGGGTTCCCTCCCGCTGTGACCCGTGCCCAGAGCTGGTTGTGTGCCCCATCTCGATTCCGAGTGGGTCCCGTCCCCTCTCCCTCCCATAGATGGGGCGTGCACAATGGCAGAAAGTGGCTGGAATGGAGATGGAAAGCATTCCTGCTGGCCACCTGCTGGGGGTCTGCGCTTGAGTGAATGAGAGAGAGAGAGGGAGGGAGCAAGAGAGAGGGAAGCTCATGGTTGTTTGAATTAGTGGTTTCCCATGTACTAAACACTTTGAGAAAAAGTGCAGGGATTCTGAAAAGACAGATGTACACGCTCCCATACACCCTGGCCTGATTTCTTCAAGGTTGCAGCTCTAGCCACTTCTCTGAATGAAGCCAGCCCTGAGGCCGCTGCTTGCTGTACACCGTGGAGCTCTAAGCCGCCCCCATTTGAAAGCAATCAAGGGGCATTCATTGCCTGTCACTAAGTTCCTCGCTGCCTTTTCTCTGAAAATGCAGGTTGGCTCAGGTTGACTGGGCCAGCATTGAGGGACCGAGTCGCTGTGCCACACTGGCCATGGTGACCTGAAACCTATCGAATAATCGGGCCGAGCCGCAGAGCACAAGGGAACCAGAAACCAAGCTGCTGCCTTCTTTTCCTGCCTTCACAGAGTAGTCTGGAAAGTATTTCTGGGAGGTAGCAAATGGGAATTGATTTTTTAAAAAAAAAGAAAAGGGAAGAAAAACCATTACTTGGCATATGAATAGCTGGGTGCAATAGATTTCAGTTGAGGGATGTAGAGGTGCTAAGCCTTTGTTCATTCTGCAGTTCTTAAGAAACTCAGCTAAAGCACCAACACATGGGAACGACACATTTTTCATTTTAAAATTTTTTTTGTGGGTTGTTGTTTTGAGACAAGGTCTCATTCTGTTGCCCTGGCTGGAGTGCAGTGGCGCAATCATAGCTGACTGAGGCCTTGACTTACTGCGCTCCAGTGATCCTCCCGCCTCAGCCTCCCGAGTTGCTGGGGCTAAAGGTGTGCACCACCATGCCTAGCTAATTCTTACGTTTTGTAGAGATGAGGACTCGCTACATTGCCCAGGCTGGTCTCAAACTCCTGAGGTTAAGTGATCCTCCAGCCTCAGCCTCCCAAAGTGCTGGGATTACAGGCATGAGCCACCACACCTGGCCAGTGATGCATTTTTAAAAAGCCATCCAATAGAAGGAGAAGGAAATACATATCTTAATTACTTTCTTGAAAGGGGCGGCCACACTGGCGGAAGAGGAATATTGAAGGCAAACAGTACCTCAGCAACATGGGGACTCGAGGCTCCTACCTGCTGCCCGGCATGGCGTCCTTCGTCACTTCCAACAAACCGGACCTCCAGGTCACCATCAAAGAGGAGAGCAATCCGGTGCCTTACAACAGCTCCTGGCCCCCTTTTCAAGACCTCCCCCTTTCTTCCTCCATGACCCCAGCATCCAGCAGCAGTCGGCCAGACCGGGAGACCCGGGCCAGCGTCATCAAGAAAACATCGGATATCACCCAGGCCCGCGTCAAGAGCTGTTAAGCCTCTGACTCTCCGCGGTGGTTGTTGGGGCTTCTTGGCTTTGTTTTGTTGTTTGTTTGTATTTTATTTTTTTCTCTCTGACACCTATTTTAGACAAATCTAAGGGAAAAAGCCTTGACAATAGAACATTGATTGCTGTGTCCAACTCCAGTACTGGAGCTTCTCTTTAACTCAGGACTCCAGCCCATTGGTAGACGTGTGTTTCTAGAGCCTGCTGGATCTCCCAGGGCTACTCACTCAAGTTCAAGGACCAACAAGGGCAGTGGAGGTGCTGCATTGCCTGCGGTCAAGGCCAGCAAGGTGGAGTGGATGCCTCAGAACGGACGAGATAATGTGAACTAGCTGGAATTTTTTATTCTTGTGAATATGTACATAGGCAGCACTAGCGACATTGCAGTCTGCTTCTGCACCTTATCTTAAAGCACTTACAGATAGGCCTTCTTGTGATCTTGCTCTATCTCACAGCACACTCAGCACCCCCTTCTCTGCCCATTCCCCAGCCTCTCTTCCTATCCCATCCCATCCCATCCCATCCCATCCCATCCCATCCCGCTCTTTTCCTACTTTTCCTTCCCTCAAAGCTTCCATTCCACATCCGGAGGAGAAGAAGGAAATGAATTTCTCTACAGATGTCCCATTTTCAGACTGCTTTAAAAAAAATCCTTCTAATCTGCTATGCTTGAATGCCACGCGGTACAAAGGAAAAAGTATCATGGAAATATTATGCAAATTCCCAGATTTGAAGACAAAAATACTCTAATTCTAACCAGAGCAAGCTTTTTTATTTTTTATACAGGGGAATATTTTATTCAAGGTAAAATTCTAAATAAAATATAATTGTTTTTTATCTTTTCTACAGCAAATTTATAATTTTAAGATTCCTTTTCTTGTTTATCAGCAGTTGTTATTACATCCTTGTGGCACATTTTTTTTTTTAATTTTGTAAAGGTGAAAAAAGCTTTTATGAGCTCATGTAGCAATCAGATTTTCCTGTGGATTGATAATAAATGAATATGATATATAGTTAAATTTTTAAGGGGCATCACTCCTGGCTTTGTCTGTGTCTGCTTTAAAAGAGCATAATCACGGAATAGGACTGACAAAGGATTGTTTCTTTTTGGGGACCAAAATGTTTTCCCTTGTTGACCACAAGAAACCGTGGAGGTTCTTACTGTGAGGCTTCAGTTGACTTCTTCTCTTGAGTGCTCGCCTGAGCAGGGGCCCGTGCTGAGCGTTTTGCATGACTTCCCGTCTTCATTCATCACACTTGTGCTGTAGAATAGGCATTCATCTCCATTTCATGTGGAGGAAATGAAGACTGAATGTGAAGATGCCTTTACTTGGCTCATAGTGGCACTAAGAGGCAAGGGCACAAGTTGGGCACAAGTTGAGCCCAATTCTCTGTGCTATGAAGGGGGTCTTTTTTCTTGTAAGCATATCCGTTATCTCAAATGTCTGTCTTCCTCTGTGTTGGGAGCATTCCCTGTGGAGGGGGAGTATTTTAGCCACGCCACTGGTTTCCTTCTCTGCTGTGAGCAAGGTTCACCCCACTCTGTGTCTTTCCTGTTTTCATCCTTAGGCTTACACGTACGACAAACGTCTTGTGTTTATGTCACTTAGAGGGGTGCATGGATAAGACATTTTCCACAACAGGAAATATGTATTGGGCTCTAACACCATGTCCGTCACTCGTCTTTCTAGGACCCGAGGCCTTACACATAGACCGTGCCCTCAAAACTTGGGGTCTGTCTTGTGGAATAAAAGGGGTGACTTCAAGAACACCAGTCTTTATCAGCCACTTGGTGTTTGAAGGTATAGTCTTGGCCTGGAGAAAGCCACAGCACCAGCCTCCCCTGCATCCCCAGTATCTTACTCTGTAAAATCAGAATATGAAAACTTTGCTACCCGCCTACTACCTCTGGGGGGTTGTGGAGGAGATTGCTAAGTTAATATTTGAAGAGGTTCCTTTAATGAAAGGACAAAAGGCTATTTTTATGCCTATCTCCATGTGTGGCTGCAGATATAATTAGCGGTCATAAAGTTATCCAGCCCTGAATGGAAATCAACTGGAGCATTTTCCTGGCGGATGCGTTGTAGTTGAAATGCCACACACAGAGGCGGGGCTGCTTCTGGAAGGAGCACTTTCGTTGACTGTCTCAGTTTCTCAGTGGAAGGGGAGTTATCAGGAAGAAACAGATGCTCCCTGGCTCCTTGGCACCCGACTTTTCAGTTAAGACCTGCTCTTCCCCCAGGTCCTGAATGGAGAAGTTCAGTTCTTTGAGACTTACATCTAAAATGTTTTACTGAGTCATCCTATTTTAAATAAATTAACAAAACAGCAACGGAAGGTTGCCCTGAGTCACGTGGCCTGGTTATCAAAGGGTTTAAGGTAGCTCAGGTCTCCTCCCCCTTCCTTCTTCCCAACACAGACTCAGGGCTTCTTCCTGCATCTCGGTCCCGAATGCCATTCCTGCTGCCCTCCCCTTGCTTCTGTAGCGTAACTAGACTTCCCAAGGCCCATCAAGTGGAAGAAAATTCAGGACTTGGAAATGCACCATTTAAGTTCCAGAGATGATACTCCATTGCCAATAAGGCCATGAAAAACAGAATCATGTTTAAAATCCTTCTGAGAAAGCCTGTATTGTTTCTAAGTGATACTTGCCAGCAACGCAGGAAAACAAGCTAGTCTCAGGATGCCTGGGGTTGACATGGGGAAGGAAAACAAAGGCATTGGGGCAGCTCCTGGACCCAAGCCTCAGACCTTGTCGTCACTTAGAGGAAGTGCCAGGGACGCATGCTTCTGGTTGGTATTTGTGTGAGCTGATAGGCTTTGATGATGGGCTTGGGTGTGTGTGTGCACGTATGCGTTTAATAGCAAGTTCAAGTTCAGTGTAACTGCCTTTGGAACAATAGTTTCCATTCTCTGCAGCCAGTACCTGGGTCACTCCCTTGATAATGGGCTCACTGTACAGCTGTGAACTGTGAATTCAGGGACATGTATTTCTGCCCAGCCTTGAGGTTGCAAGCACCCAGCACATCCACACACCTCGATGAAAGGGGCTTCTGGAATGCCATTTGCACATCTAAATAAATCCACCCTCAACCGTACTGTTTTGTCCGTGTTTTGATGAACCACTGCCAAAGGTGGTATTTAGTCTATTTCAAAGGATTTGTAAAAAAGAAATACACATGGCTATGGAATACAAATTCTTTGGACATCAAAACCCTAAAACAATACCCTTTCCCCACCCAAATCCCAAGTGTACCGTACTATCATGTAACCACTACTGAGACAGAGATTTTAGAAGTGAAGGAGATGAGTGATTTGATTTCAGGAGTCTGAGTTTTCAAACTTGTGCTTTTGGAAGTGCTTTGCATGTGAATGGAAAGATGGTAAGCCCCAGCTGGCCTCCTGCCCCTAATTCAGAGAGATGGAACATGAGACGTTCCTTCTGCTTGAGGCCACTCTGTAACCTGCGTTCATTAGGCTTTAAAGGCCCCCTGCTATTGTAGTTTTGGACAAATAAGCCCAGATAAAAGGTTAAAAAAAAAAGAACCCCCACTATTCTGCCAGATTTCTCCTGATAAAAGACAAAAGCTAGGGAAAGGTTTACACACAGGTAGCCAAGATGAGTTCATTGGCATTCAGGGGTCAAACAGCTAATGTCTGAGTGCCAGTTTGGTTTGGAGGCACAAACTGGTTTTTACATGGTGCCGTTCAGCCGCCTACCTCACCCTGAAACTCCATCCCACAGTACAATGACGTGCCTGGGGCCAGAGTTATCAGAGCAGGTGGGACGTGACTCTGACCTCCCTCTGTCCCCAGGCTGCAGTGGACCCCTCCCAAGGGCAGTTGGGTGACACCATCAGCTTCTTGAGGCTGCTTCTCACTCATTTGCACCCCAGCATGTGAATCAAGGTTGGGTACTACTAGGCTGTCATCCCTGGGATCTCCTCCTCCCCAGAGCCCCACCATCCCGGTGTCAAAAGAACAGGGCTGGGACTGTTGGCTTCACCCCCTTAGGAATGTGTCCAACCACAGGCCTGGAGAGGAGAGCCCGGCCGTGCGAAGCTTCAGGTCAGGAGATGCAGGAAGCTGGCAGGAGTCAGGGGGAGATGCTTTTTCGTGAGGCTGTCTGGCCTCTGGGTCCCCACTGGCCCCATGGGACACTGGTACCACCCCCATTCCCTGTCTGGGCTTGGGCATCACTGGTCCTGCTGTGCAGACAAATGAGGGTTTTGTAGAGGTTTGCTTCTGTGGCCACACGAACAACAGGTGCAGAGGCACTGTGTCTCTGCTTCCGAAAATAGTGCCTGGAAGGAAGGAAGTGGTCAGGCCTAATAGCTGGTTTTAGCAAAAATGTTAAGTCTATCCAAGAACCCGGGTTGTGCCGTGGAAGGATCAAGATGTAGCACATTTCAGAGTTCACATAGTCTGAAAACAGCCTGCTCTGGAGTCTGACCAAGTTTCTTCAGAAGAAAAGCAGTGTGTGTGCTTCTGTTCCTGTAAGCACACTGCCCTTTGGAGGTTTGGTCAGTTTCCCCGTATCTGCTTTATAAACACGTTCAGACAGAGATTGCTGGTGCTGTGGAATGTAGTGTGCTGGGATTGTGCAACTGCTGCCCAGTTAACCCCTTACATGCTTGGCTGGAGAAACACCAATATCACATGCAACAGACTGTGTCGCGAAAACAGTTAATTTTAAAAACACAAATTTTTGTTTTGCAGGTGCAAAAAAACTCCAGAGTGATAGCATCTTTAAGTTTCACTTTTGGTTGGGAAGCATATTTTAAAATCTAAACACCCAAACATCTCTCCACATGAATCATCAGGGAGAGGATATCCAAGATGTTCTGGCAGCTTGGGTTGTGTGTCTGAGAATACTCTTATTCTCCAAATTTTCTCTAATATGCCAGTTCAGAAGCGTTGACATTTCGAATCCACACATTGCACCGGAACTCACTGCCTGAAGTTTCAGGATAATGTTAGCAGCGAGATGGGAGTGCGTTCCTTAATCGGGGGAAGGTGATGACTAAGCCTTTATTCATCCCCAGAATTAACATTGATCCATATTTTCTGCAGAGTTCACTCTGCTGGATCCCAAGGGGACTTCCCCGGTGCTGTGACTCAAGAGCACATGTTTATGCTGCAGTATCTTTTCTCTGGGAAGCTCATGTTTCGAATGTAACTGAGATGCAGAAAAGATTTCACAGGCTCAGCTCTGAAATATTCAGGGTACAAGCAATAGAAATTTTAGTAAAAAACATAAAATACAACCCAAAGCCATTGCTTGGATTTTACCTGATGGTTCCGGGGATCCTGTGCAACACAGCTGATATGGGAAGGAGACCACAGGTGGATTTGTGTCTTCAAACTTTTATTTGCAAAATTGATCTAAAGTAATGTAATTACAGTGCCTTTCTCAGCAACTAAGATATTTAATTAGGATAACCAATCATCTTTTTGCCCAGAACTGAGGGGATTCTCATGAACATGGGGCTTTTAGTGCTAAAACCAGGAACGTCTCAGGCAAACTGGGAGGGGATGTCACCTAAATGTAATGCTGAGTTACATAGCACAAATGATATTTTGTGTTTTTGGAGGATTTTTAAAACCCAGGTAAATGTTTCATGAGGAGGTGTTATTGAGGATATCTTGTCGATGACCCTATTAATGCATGAATTTAATGTGGTGTTTGGTTAAGAAAGGTAGATTTCGTTCATTCAACCCTATGTACTGAATTCCTGCTATTTTCTAGTACTCTTCTAAATGTCAGAGAGTTGTCACAGAAGTGAACAAAACAAAGTATCTGTTCTAATGGAGCTTAAATCCTAGTAAGGTGGACAATCAACAAATAATAAAAATAATCTTTGGGTGACAATCACTGCTATGGAGAAAAACAAAGCAGGATATGGAGTGATGAAGATATTCAAGGCTTTCATTTTAGAGCTTAAAGGATCGATTGCGGGGTTGGCTGTTGTGAAAACCAGCAGTTAGAGGGAAAGAAGGAAAACAGCATATATCAATGGGGCTTAGTTGCAGGAAGCAAAAACCACGCCAGCTATTTTAAGCAGAAAGTCATTGTCTAGAGAGAAGCAGGTGTTTACAACGTCGTTGGGAAGGCTGGAGGAGCCGGCTTGCGGGTGCTTCCACATCTGCCACCACCGTAAAGGGAGGAAATCAGGAGCCTGTCACTGGGAATAGTGACTCCGAAGACACATTGTTTTAGCTGAAATCTGTTCATTAGAAAGTTCTGTCACCACCACTTTAATGTCTCTCGACACCCATGCAATCAGTGGCTGAACTTTGAGACATGGCTTCAGAAAGCCCCGGTGTTACCACAATCATGCTTGCCAGTGTTTACAGCCAATCAGTAGGAAGTGGCTTCTGCCTCCATTCTGACTTCCAAATCTCTTGCAAATGCATATAATTGGTTGAACCTAATTCACAGTTAGAACCCCAGCTGCAAGTGAGACTGGAAAAATGGCTCTCAGAGTTCCCGCCTCTGCAGTAGAGGAAGACACTCCAGAAGGAGTTGAGAATGGGTGCTGAGTGCCTCTTCAGGATGTCTGTCACACCTCAGGAAACCTGCCAGGAATACCAAAGGGAGTGAAAAATCCAAGGTAAGAATATCCAGAGAATGAAATCTGCATCCCATACCTTCCAGAGTAGTTGGGAAAGCAACATATGTAGTGGGAAGAGAATACGTTTTTTGAAATCAGATAAACCTGGGTTCAGTCTGCTCTTATTTGCTGACGACTTTGGGCACATCTCTTTGTATCTATGAGAAAAAGTTTCTCAACATATAAAATGGGGGTATTGACACCTTACTTGCAAGGTGAGAATTAGATAAGATAATGTAAAGTATGAAGTACATTGCAAGCACTCAGTTATATCAGCCACACCATCTGCATATAAAATAGCTAAGATCCATATTTTGGAGCACTGATTCCAAAGTACCCATCTTCTCCCAGACTTCCATGAATTCAAGATTTGACCACTGAGGCTGTCAGAGCTCAGACATGTGACCCCAGTTTCTATATAGCTAAAATTAGTCTTTCCTTCTCTGAGCTATCCCTTTTTTGAGCAAGCCTCATTCTGTTGTCAAGTGGCATAAAAGGAGCTGAGAATTTATTCCTTTCTGGTAGAAGTTGAAGGGGATATAAACCTGCTGGCAGTTAATTCAATTTGATTTTTGTTTTTTAAGACAGGGTCTTGTTCTGTCACCCAGGCTGGAGTGCAGGCTCACTGCAACCTCTGCCTCCTGGGCTCAAGCCATCCTCCCACCTCAGCCTCCTGAGTAGTAGCTGGGAATACAGGTGCATGCCACCATGCCCAGCTAATTTTTTTGTATGTTTTTTGTAGAGACAGAGTTTCACCATGTTGCCCAGGCTTATCTCAAACTCCCGAGCTCAAGTGATCCACCCGCCTCAGCCTCACAAAGTGCTGGGATTATAGGTGTGAGCCACCGTGGCTGGCCAATTTTGTTTTTTAAACAACATAGATTCAAACAAACTTTTTAAGCTTTATAAAGCCACCCAGTAGAATTACATTAACTTTTGATTATTGAAGTGATTCTAATTTGCTTCATTCTGGCCGTTGATACAGTTTCCCTTGTGGACCAGTTTGCATTATAATTCCCACTAGATCCTGGGATTCATGACATTTTGACTCAGCAATTTTGAAATTGGGAATATTTCAACATATTCATAAAACAGAGCCACAAACGTTAAGCTTTTGTGCTTTCTTGGTATCTTTCTACCCTATGCTAGAATCTCACACTCAGGACAGGATGAGGGAGCTTACATGGCAGGTGCTTTGTCAGAACCTAACCTGTGCCAGGCATGAGGGCAGGGCCAGGCCTTCTGTGTTATGTTTGCATAAACAGATTAACGTAGGGGCTGAGGAGGCTCCTGGGAAAAGAGCTAGAAGAGCTTGCAGAGAAGGGATCCCAGGAAAAGAATCTAGCCTGAGGATGGGGCCAATTAGGCTCTGAAGGTGGTAGGAGGTGTTCTTGGTACAGTGTCTTGACGGCTGCCTGAACCCGTGAAGACACCTGCCTGCTTCAAGGGGTGTGTGTACCTTGAAGAGAGAATGGCTGGGAGTGTAAAACTGCCACTTCAGGTCCCAGTCACCCCTTGTATTAGCCCGTTTTCATACTACTATAAAGAAATACCCAAGACTGGGTAATTTATAAAGGAAAGAGGTTTAATTGACTCATAGTTCCACATGGCTGGGGAGGCCTCAGGAAACTTACAATCATGGCAAAAGAGGAAGCAGGCATGTCTTACATGGCGGCAGGTGAGAGAAACCCGTGAAGGCAGAACTGTCAAACACTTACAAAACCATTAGATCTTGTGAGAACTCACTCATTATCTCGAGAACAACATGCAGAAACCACCCCGATGATCTAATCACCTCCCACCAGGTCCCTTCCTCAACAGTGGGGATTATGGGGATTACAATATGAGATGAGATTTGGGTGGAGACACAGAGCCAAACCATATCACCTATATTAAGCAGAGTTTTCCCTAGCTATTTCTTAGTGGCCTGAGCCTGGGTGACAGATCAAGTAGAAGATGAGAACTTCCCCAGTAATGACAGAGGCATATGGCCCGGTAAAAGTTCCTAGACATTCTGGAATAGGACTGCATCAGTAGATGCTATGGTCTGAATGTTTATGTCCCCTCGAAATTCATATATTGAAACACAATCTCCAATGCAATAGTATTAAGAGGTGGGGACTTTGAGAGATGATTAGGTCATGAGGACTCCGCCCTTATGAATGGGTTGATGCTCTTATTAAAAAGGCCTAAGGACGCTTGTTTGCCCCTTTCACCATGTGAGGACAGATAGAAGGTGCCATTTATGAGAAACAGGTCCTCCCCAGACACTGAATTTGCTTATGCCTTCATCTTGGACTTCCCAGCCACCAGAACTGTGAGAAATAAATTTCTATTGTTTATAAATTACCAAGTCTGAGGTATTTTGTTATAGCATCCCAAAGTGACTAAGACAGTAGGGAAAGCAGAAGCCTTAGCTAAGGAATGAAAATTGCCTAAAGGCAGAAAGGCAGTAGGTAGGCCGTTGGCCCAAGCAGTGGCAGCTCCAGGGCTAGGGATGGCAGAAGTGTACTTAGTGGATTGGCACACAAAAGCAGAGAACCCTGGATACTAAAGGTGGGAGGGACCTCAAAAATGGTAGTGGAGGCTGGGCACAGTGGCTCACACCTGTAATCCCAGCACTTTGAGAGGCCAAGGTGGGCAGATCACCTGAGGTCAGCAGTTTGAGACCAGCCTGGTCAACATGGTGAAACCCCGTCTCTACTAAAAATACAAAAATTAGCCGGGCATGCTGGCAGGTTCCTGCAATCCCAGCTACTTGGGAGGCTGAGGCAGAAGACTCACTTGAACCCAGCAGGCAAATGTTGCAGTGAGCCGAGATTGCGCCATTGCACTCCAGCCTGGGCAATAGAGTGAGACTCCATCTCAAAAGAAAAAAAAAAGGTAGCAACAGGGGGTGCTGCTATTGAATTCCTGAGGTTTCATAGGCTGGGGTCTCAAGGTTAGGACTTGAATGTTTAGGACAGCTCATGTAGTAGTAATATGACATCATGTGTACCTACAGGTTGGGAAGCCCTGGGACATTGAAGTTACAACTGGACGATAAAAACAGAGTTTTTTCCTTGTGACGTGACCACTGTGATGTAAAGCTGTATCTCCTTCATTTCATCAAGAAATTCTTAAAATTCTCCCCCAACGTGCTTTCATCTTTCCCTTCATTGCCAACTCTGTAAGAAGTACCACGCCTTTTCTTTGAATCTGATTCTCCTCCAAGAAGCAATGCTTCTCTGAGGCTTTCACCTTTGCTCACATCAAAGCCCCCACACTGAATAAATACCATCCTTACATGCCCTTCCAGAGACTCCACTAATGGACGAGCTTCATCCAGCAAAAGATAACTGGGGAAACTTCAGCAAAAGGACTGTTGATGAAAATTTGCTGTATTTGATTATATAGCTAAGACTAAAACAGGGAACATGGTTGGAATTATACTAAGTAAATATGATATGTTCTCACAAAGTAGAAAGAATGCAACTAACTAATATAGAAGAAGAGGGAAAGTAAAATAGTATTGTTTACAATTTTATAGGTATTGGGTGTGAGTTAAATTATACCACTTAAAATGAACAGAACAGACAGTAAAAAGTGAAGTAAGAAAAAAGGACAGAGGTATCATAAAAGATACAAATTCAGAGGTATTGAAATACTTATGCATCAAAACAACTATGGCAAAATTTTACTGATTCAGTATTATGCCTATGAAAATTATTCAGTTCAGTGATTTGGAGAAGAGGGTAAAGAAATGTTTACACATCAGAATCTGTGGAGGGGAGAATGTGTGTCTGGAAAGAAAATGGTATTTTGTCTCATTGGTTTGATTTGTTTTTAGTTATAATATTTCATCTATTTTGAATTTTATAAAAATAACAGTAATGTATGTGATTTTTATGCTGATGAAGAGAAAATGGATTCAAAAAGGTTAAGAAACACTAATCCAAGGGAGCCTCCAGAATAATTGTGGCCATCTGAATTTGAACCTCCTCACAGAACCCTTAAATTCAACAGGAGCACAAGATAATCACCCATGGTCCATGCCTTCAGCGTTAGTGGAAGATGGAGGATACCGCAAATGTTAAGTGACCAATAAGTAGAGAAACAAACACCATATTCCCAATGAACTCCCATCACTTATACCCACTGTAAGCTGTGTGCAGAGAGTGGGAGAGAGAAGACTTAAAATCCCCAGGAAAAAGAGGAAAGAGGCAGAGAAAACTTAGACATAGCATAAACAAAATCACCTCCAGAAAGTAAAAGTTTCACTGCTAAGTGACACATTCACAGCACAGTTAAAGGGAAGGGGATTGAAAATAAGCAGAACCAGAAGTAGCAGCTTCAAAGGAGCATTGCTTCTTGGGGAGAATCACATAAACTAAGAAACAGTAGTGCTCCTTAGAGACTTGATAGTGATGAGAAAGAAGGAGCTAAGAGGGAAAAATAGAGGATCTTGCAGAAATTAGAGAGAAATAAGACATAATGGCCCACTATCCCATTACTACCCATTTCTGCACTGCACTGACAGGAGAGGATATTCCTGAATTAAGAACCTGTCCAAAAAATTTTAAAATAAATTTTAAAAAGCAACCTAATTCCAAAAAGAGCTACTATTAGAAGAACACATACACACACAAATGCGAATCATTACAGTTTAACTGATGAGAATTCTTAACCAAAACCAACCAAAGAGCAGAAGAAAACTGTAACCCAACATTCCAAACTGAAGTAGTTATCTTCAAACAATGGGACGTATTTAGAAAAAAAAAAAAACCCAGAAACAGAAATTTGATAACTAAGGCCATAGTGGGCACAAAATAGGAAGACATGCAATGAGTTGATTGAGCTATGGAATGAAATTCAAGAAAAATACAAAATCATTTCAAAAATGAAGAATAGATTACAAGGTAGTGAGGGATAGTAGATTTGAACATTGAACAATTTCAACATTGAAAAGGGGCAGTAAAATAACGAAGGGAATAAAGAAGGATGTAAACAGGGTTAAACACAAGTGATTGGAATGGAGGATGGGCAAATAGGATCCAACATACATATGATAGGAGCTCCTGGAGAAGAAAAACAAAGCAATGGAATGGAACTGTAATTCAAGAAAACTTTCCAGAAAGAAGAGAAAATATAATGTATGTATTGAAGAGGCCCACTCTATATCTAGAAAAACTGACCTAGAGAGAATAACTGAGATATTTTTAGTAAACTATGAGGCTTTAAAGGTAAACACACACACACACACACACACACACACACACACACAGATAATCCTCAGGGCCTATGTTATTTTCCTGTGGCTGCTGTAACAAATGCCCACAAACTTGGTGGCTTAAAAGAATAGAAATGTATTATTTCACTTTTGGCCAGAAGTCCAAAATCAAAGTGTCAGCAGGGCTATGTCCCCTCCAAAGCCTCCAGGGGAGGATCCCTCCTTGCCTTTTCCAGCTTCCAGTGCCTCCAGGTGTTATTTTGGCTTGTGAGTGCATGACTCCAAACTCCACCTCTGTCTTCACATGCACTTTTCCTCTTTATCCCTGTCTCTTTCCTCTATTGTCTCTCTCAAATCCCCCCTGTGCCTTTCTCTTATAGGAATACTTGTCATTGAAATTAGGGCCCACCTGGATAATCCATGATGATCTCATCTCAAGATCCTTAACTTAATGACATCTGCAGAGACTGGTTTATCAAATAAGGTAAGATTCACATGTTGCAGGGACTTAGACATAAACATATCTTTTTGAGGCCATTATTCAATCCACTACAGGGCCTCCAGGCAAAGAGCTCAAATTACTTATAAGGGTAAGAATACTAAACTGGCATCAGACTTCTCGTAAGCAACAGACAAAGCAAGTCAATAATGGAACAGCCTTTTAAAGGACTTATGAACAGAGTGTGAGCCAATGTTTTTATATCCAGCCAGGCTCTTTCAAGTATCAAGATTAAAGTAAAACAGTTTCAACATGCAATAACTCAGGGATACTGTACACATGTACAGGAGGACTCTCCTAGAGGTTGAGCTTTGTTTGAGCAAAACTAGAAAAAAATTAGCAAAAGGACTGGTGGTGAAAATATATTTTGTGGTTGATATGGTCTCGTTCTGTGTCCCACCCAAATCTCATCTTGAATTGTAATCCCCACAGTTTGGGGAGGGACCTCCTGGCAGGTGATTAGGTCATGGGGACAGTTTCCCCCATGCTGGTCTCATGA